>NC_000010.11:35487083-35791365 GCF_000001405.40 Homo sapiens | reverse complement strand
TGCGTGGATCCAGTTATGAGAAACCACCACTGAGATTGTTCCTCTGGTTTCTTGTGTCTCTCTTTCTCCCGCCATGGGGCTCTACAGACACAAATTACCACAGGACTCAGCAATGAGACAGATGAGTAGAAACACAAAGCCAGAAGCTGAGAGTTGTTAGTGATAAATCACTGTTCTACCCTCCCTGTTATGACTTTGAATTTGTAACATCTTTATACAGGCAAGTCCCAGCTAGGAAAAGTTTAATTATTTATAGCTCTGCTAGATACAATTTTTATAAGACGTGAGCGTATGTATAAGTACTCTGTAGTCAATAAAGCAAATAAGGTAATATCAGGATGAATGTGATGTAAAAGGGCTTTATTATAGTTTAGAGAGAGAGGCATTCTTCATATTTAACCAAAGTCCACTGTCTGCTATGAACTGAGTCTCTGAAAGCTCATCTTCCCAGCACAGCAACAACCCAACATGAAACTGAGTTAGAACAAGCATCTAGTGGCACAAGAGAAATGTGGACTTAGAGCAAAGCAAAGTACAGAATTTTAAGTACAGCAAAACTGGTAATCCCTTCCTGGGTCACAGCTATTGCCTGAATTGACGATACCAATTCTTTCAACCAAGTTGATCTGCACATCCCAATGTCTAAATGATGGCTTCTTGCTTTTTGATTATTTAGTAATGTGTTGCAAAACATTGCTATTGGAATCTTTGATATTATTTTCAGCGATTATTGAGCCCTCCTGATTAAGCATTCTATATATTCTACTATTTCTGAAAATAAATTTTTTTTAAATGGTCAGCATCATTTGATTTGGAAGTTCTACTTTGAAAATGAGAGGGAGAAAGTGATGACTTAGACTTATACAGCATTTCTAAATCTTGGGAGTGAAATTAGTCAGCAACTTAACTTTAAAATGTTAATTAAGTTGCTGTTATTACATGTTCTCTTTGTTTACTATTCACTTTTTAAAAATTGCTCCATTTTGTATCTCTACAATCAGTGACTAGCTGAACACCTAGATAAAGGCAAAAATCCTGTCCATTCATTCATTTTGGCCTTCAAACAAACAAGCATTGAACATTTACTATGTGCAGGACATTCTGCTAGACACTGGTGGTTTCATGAGTCAGGACAGGTCCCTATCCTCGGGGAGAGGGTGAGTAAGACACATAAATAAATGTCTCAAATAAATCATTGTATACGTGGTCACAGAGGCATGTGGATGAGGTACTATAAGGGACCTGTGTTTGTCAGTTTTGCATTGCTATAAAGGAACACCCGAGACTGGGAAATTTATAAAGAAAAGATTATTTGGCTCACGGTTCTGCAGGCTATACAAGCATAACCAGACGTCGGCATCGGCTTGGCTTCTGGTAAGGCCTCAGAAAGCTTTCAGTTATGGTGGAAGGGAAGGTAGCCAGCATGTCACATGTTGAGAACAGGAGCAAGAGAGAGAAAGCAAGAGAGAGATGAGGTGCCAGTCTCCTTTAAACAACCAACTCCTAAGTGAACAGAGCAAGAACTCGCTCATTACCATGGGAAATGCACCAAGCCATTCAGGAAGGATTCAATTCCATGACCCAACACTTCCCACCAGGCCCCACTTCCAACACTGGGGATCACATTTCAACATGAGATTTGGAGGGGATAGACATTCAAACTATATCAGGGACCAAAGGGAAAATAGCTAGCTCCATCCAGGGTATTCATGGAAACTTGCCCCCAGAGGTAACCCACTGGATTGGCCCTGAGGTATGGGTAGGAGATCACTTGGCAGACAAGAGTGGGGTAAGCCCAACAGAAGGAGCCACATAAGGGCAGGCACAGAAGGCTGGAGCCAGGGTATACGCTTGGGGACTGAAAGGTGTGCTCCAAAGTCTCCCGTGCAGTGCATTACAGAGAAGCAGCAAGAAGTGAGGTGGGCAAGGCCACCTATGCAGGGCACGGCATGCGATGACAGAGATTTGGCCTTAACCCTGAACAGGGAGGGGAGATTTCCCTGGATTAATCATTGCATGATGATCTTGCTTTCTATTTAACTGAGAAAGCGAAGGTGATCAGAAGAGAACTTTCACATGCTCTCCTCACTTGTCTGCCCACCTATCTGCATCTGGACCACTATATCATGTCTTTCCTTCTATTTCAAAAAAACAATTGGCCAAGACACCAATTATCCAGAGGCAAGCAGCAGCGGGACATCTCAGCCAGATGGGACCAGGGGATGAGACATGATGAGCAGCACCCCAGCAGAGGCAGCAAAGGGGCTGCAAACGTGTGTATCTTAACACCTCCAGCTTCTGCCAAGAGGAGCTCCCTCTCATCCACCCAGACCCTACCTGGGAGAGTTAAAAGACAACATTTTTTCCATATTCTCATAACTTTTATTACAGTATATTGTTATAATTGTTCTATTTTATTACTAGTTATTGTTTTTAATTTCTTCCTGTGCTTAATTTATAAATAAAACTTTTTCATAGCTCTGTATATAAAGGAAAAGAACATAGGACGGCCAGCCCTTCATGCCCATGGGTTCCACATATGCAAATTCAACCAACCTTGGATCAAAAATATAAAAAAAAATAAAAATAACCATACAACAATAAAAATAATACAAATAAAAGCTAATATAATATAATAACTATGTACATAGTATTTACATCATATTAGGTATTATAAGTGTATTTAGTCTGTTTTCACACTGCTGATAAAGACATACCTGAGACTGGGTAATTCATAAAGAAGAAGAGGTTTAATGGACTCACAGTTCCACGTGGCTGGGAGGCTTCACAATCATGGCAGACGGCAAAAGGCACATCTTACATGGCGGCAAACAAGACAGGATGAGAGCCAAGCGAAGAGGGTTTCCTCTTATAAAACAATCAGATCTCATGGGACTTATTCACTACCATGAGAACAGTATAGGGGAAATCACCCTCATGATTCAACTATCTCCTACCATGTCCCTCCCACAACATGTGGGAATTATGGGAGCAACAGTTCAAGATGAGATTTGGGTAGGAACACAACCAAACCATATCAATAAGTAATCTAGAGAAGATTGAAAGTATACAGGAGGTGTAGATTATATGCAAATACTAAACTATTTTATATAAGGAACTTTTGAACACCTGTAGGTTTTGGTATCTGCTGGAGATGCTGGAAGCAATCCCCTGCAGATACTAAGGGCAACTGTATATATATAAGGTTCTATATTATCCAGGGTTTCAGGCATCCACTGGGTTCTTGAAACATACCCCCTGCAGATAAGAGGGGACTACTATATTTAGATTGCTGCATACTTTAACAAGCATAGTCTACCTCCTCTTTCTCTTGGAGGGTCTATTTGCAATGAGGAAATTGAATAGAAAGGATTGCATAGGAGTCCCCAAAACTATTTGTAGGAGCCTTTCACCTTTAAGACTCAAGCATATACATGTCAGCACCTAGATTTTGAACAGACTGAATATTTATCCAAAGGGATGAAGTTACCTAAGACAGGTTGCTGGATTGTAGACAAGGGAATAGTGCTATGATCTGAATGCTTGTGTTCCCTTCCAAATCCATATATGGAAACCTAATCATTCATGTTTTTGTATAGGGAGTGGGCCCACTGGGAGGTGACTCGGTCATGAGGACAAAACCTTCATGAATGGAGTAAGTGCCATTATCAAAGAGAACTAGTTAGCCTCTTCCACCACGTGAGGACACAAAAGGTGCTGTCTATGAGGAAGGTGGCCTCACCAAACACTGAATCTACCAGTACCTTGATCTTGGACTTCCCAGACTCCAGAACTATGAGGAACAAATATCTGTTGTTTATTAGCTACTCAATTTATGGTATTTGTCATAGCTGCCCAAACAGACTAAATCAAGCCATACTCATGTGCACTCTATAAAGGTTGACGGTAGTGTGCAAGGTGCATTAGAAGGGGTGAAAACAGAAAGGAAGACGGCATCCCATCATGATGACTGGTATGGTTTGATTGTGTCCCCACCCAAATCTCATCTTGAATTCCACATGTTGTGGGAGAAACCCAGTTGGAGGTAACTGAATGATGGGAGCAGGTCTTTTTTGTGCTGTTCTCATGATAGTGAATAAGTCTCATGAGATCTGATGGCTTTATAAGGCAGAGTTTCCCTGCACAAGCTCTCTCTCTCTTTGCCTGCTTCCATTCATGTAAGATGTGACTTGCTCTTCCTTGCCTTCCACAATGATTGTGAGGTTTTCCCAGGCACGTGGAACTGTAAATCCAATTAAATCTCTTTCTTTTGTAAATTGGCCAGTCTCAGGTTTGGATTTATCAGCAGCATGAAAACAGACTAATACAGTAAATTGGTATCAGTAGAGTGGGGCACTGCTGGAAAGATACCCGAAAATGTGGAAGTGACTTTGGAACTGGGTAACAGGCAAAGGTTGGAACAATTTGGAGGGCTCAGAAGAAGATGGGAAAATGTGGGAAAGTTTGGAACTCCCTAGAGACTTGTTGAATGGCTTTGACCAAAATGCTGATAATGATATGGATAATAAAATTCAGTTTCAGGTGGTCTCAGATGGAGATGAGGAACTCATTGGGAACTGGTATAAGGGTGACCCCTGTTATGTTTTAGCAAAGAGACTGGCAACATTTTGCCCCTGCCTAGAGATTTGTGGAACTTTGAACTTGAGAGAGATGATGTAGGGTATTTGGTGAAAGAAATATCTATGCAGCAAAGCATTCAAGAGGTGACTTGGGTGCTGTTAAAGGCATTCAGTTTTAAAAGGGAAACAGAGCATAAAAGTGCAGCAAATTTGTAGCCTGACAATGCAATGGAAAAGAAAATCTCATTTTCTGAGACGTTCAAGAAAACTGCAAAAATTTTTATAAGCAATGAGAAGCCAAATGTTAATCCCCAAGACAAAGGGAGAAAATGTCTCCAGGGCATCTCAGAGGTCCCCATGGCAGCCACTCCCATCACAGGCCCTGAGGCCTAGGAGGAAAAAGTGGTTTCATAGGTTGAGCCCAGGGTCCCCATGCTGTGTGCAGCCTAGGGACTTGGTACTCTGTGTCCCAGCTGCTCCAGCTCTAGCTGAAAAGGGCCAGCATAGAGCTCGGGCCACGGCTTCAGAAGGCGCAAGCCTTAAGTCTTGGCAGCTTGCACTTGGTGTTGAGCGTTCAGGTGCAGGGAGTCAAGAATTGAGATTTGGGAACCTCCACCTAGATTTCAGATAGGTGGGCAGACAAAATGAGGAGAGCAGGTGGAAGTTCTGTTCTGATCACCTTTGCTTTCTCTGTTAGATGGAAGGAAGGAAGATCATCAACTGAGTGAAGAAGGTGCAAGAGGGCAGAAAGGACAGTGAGTCATGGGCAAGGGCCAGGAGCACTGAGTGGACCATAGAGATGGAGCCTGGCTGCCACGTGCACTCAAGTCCCCCTGGAAGCGCAGGGTGATGAAAGAGACTTAGAGCAGTAAGCCTGGGCATGTGGTTTTTTCTGGACACAGTTAAGGGGTGGAGGCAGGTCAAAGCATCATTGCGGACAGGGCAGTGAAGGAAGTGAGTGACAGGGGAAGGAGGCTGCAGCTGGAGCCCAGGATGTTTGCAATGGAAATATAGACTTTGTAGCTATTCCAGTGTGACTGTGGAATGGGGGACTGAAGTGGTGTCTAGAATAAGATCTTTGGAGAATAGGTCAGGGAATAGAGAGACCAGCTTATGTACAGTATGTGGGTATTTAAGTCACCAAGAGTTAAGGCAATGGTCATATTGCAAAAACCAACAGCGAGCAGCGGAAGGGCCCTGGGGTTGTAGATGACTATAACAGTGACTAGTCAGTCTAACGTGCCATTCAAATGCAGGGATTCTGGAAGAGGAGGGGAGCAAAGTGACAGCCTCTGTGGAAGTGGCCATGCAGAGACCATGGTGGGTCCCCCGCAACCCAGAGGCTCAACACAGGAAAGAATACAGGTGATGAGATGCTGTTTTTGGAGAAGGCAGCAGGGAAATGAAGCATTAACCTAGGTAGCAAGAAACTTGGTATTTGAGACATTTCTTCTCTTTTTAATTGATACCTAATAGTTGTGTGCATATTAGGAGTACACGTGCTATTTTGATACCTGTATATAATGTGTGATGATTAAATCAGAGTAACTGGGATTTCCATCACCTCAAACATTTATCTGTTCTTTGTGTTGGGAACATTATTCTTCTTCTCTTCCCTCCCTTATTCTTCTCTTATTCACTATGCATATTTGTAAAAATATAAAAAAGAGTGATGATGTTGAGGCTAAAAGATAAAATGTGTTCAACGTTGGCTTTACGGGGCAAGGACATCATCCTAGCTCATAGAAAACATGAGTCTGTTAATACTGAACTGTGCCTACTGTGTTCGGCTGGAGAGGCAGGAAATCCAGTGTGACAGCCCTGAGCGTTCCATGACCAATCACTTTGGTCTTTGTCCTGAGGAAATATAATAGGCAGCTTGGAACAGTGCACCATTGTTCACATTACATGAGTGGGAAGATTAAGCTCTTAATTAACAGAGAATGGGTAATTGATCATTGTTAAATGCCTGAAAGTAGTCACGATTACATATGGGGCCATGAAATTAATCATTGTCTTTTTCTCTGGAAATGATCATGATTGCTTATGAATAACTTTATAATGAACACTGAGCTCCACCAAATCACTAATCACCTGGGAATGAGATTTGTGATTTGGTAGAGTTCAGGGTTTGCTCATTGTGGAAGTCTTCCCACTCTTCATAATGTTAGCCCCTTTGAGAGGAAGATTTCCAGATTTAAATACACCCAGAAGAACAAAGGAGCAATAGACGGAAAAAATAACAAAAAGAAAACCAACGTTTTTAAACAAAAGTGATGTGAATTCAACACCCAAGGAAACCTGGTAGCAAAGTGACTTTAAGGATAATAATTTAAAATCACAATATTAAACCTTGTTCCCAACTCTACTCCCACTGGCACCATCTTTGTGGGCGGGGGGGCGGTCGGGGAAGAAAGGATGGGAAGGAAGGGAAGTAATTACAGGTATAAAGACAGAATAACTGCCAACAAGATTTAAAATTCACCTCCATTTCCTGGCTGTAATGGTCTCAGGTTGTAGATTAACTTTATCCATGTTCTTCATGTTACTGTTTTCCCAAAAAACCTTCTTGCTTGGCTATGTTCAGGCAAAGAAAGAAACAATGGGGTTCTTTCAAGTCATGGCATCTGTGGTATGTCTTCAGCAGAAAAGTTCCTATCCTTCTGTCAAACCTGCTGTTAGCCTGGTGCTAAGAGCATCTATATAAATAAACATGAATGGATGCAAGCATGTAGCTGTATTTTGCAAACACAAACAGTACTTCCTAGTAATGTCATAGCATGAACTGCAAAAATGAAAGGTTCACCAGGAGAATCTTCACGAAGAAGTTGTATAAATTGTCAGCACTGGACGTGATAGTTAACACACAGAGCCTTGATCAGCCGTTGTGCAAATGTTTATTCAGACAGATTTGGAAGGGGAATTATGATGTATTCCTCCCACTGCATTTGCCTGTTTCATCAGGCAGCAGTTAGCTCTGATTGTATGAGAAACTCGAGAGTTGTTTCACATGACTCTGACCTGCCGAACTAGAACTTCGGCTGACTGTGCACAGCACGTTTACCATGCACAATAGGGGTCCATGCAGGTGGGACTCACTCAGCACACCAGACCTCAGGCCATCAAGATTTGTGGAGCAGAAGCAGGAAAGTGATTATTCACTTAACTGCAATGCAATGACAAAAGAGTGTGTGATTCATCAAAACTCCACTCACCGTAACATTTATTTGAATGTCTCCTAAAGCAATTAAAAATTATTTTTATTGAGAACATTATGCGAACTATTGTGCAATGAGTATTTGCACTATCATATTGTGCAAAATGAAACACCCCTGCAAATAAAAATCAGTCTGCCTTGACAGCCTGAGTTCCACCTCACCTGATTGGCATCACAGTAAGTTAAAACAAAGGCTGACTTTCTTTGTCTCCCCTTTCTGCAAACACAGAAGAATTCTTCATTCGTACAAATACTGACCCAGTTAAGAGAGTGTAATCTTTTCTCACAGGGTTTGTTCAAGCATGCTTTTTTTTTTTTTTTTTTTTTTTTTTTGAGACAGTGTCTTGCTCTGTCACTCAGGTTGGAGTGCAGTGGCATGATCATGGCTCACTGCAGCCTCAACCTCCTAGGCTCAAGTGATCCTCCCACCTCAGCTTCCTGAGTAGCTAGGACTACAGGTATGTGCCACCACACCTGGATAATTTTTTTTTTTTTTTGAGATGGAGTCTCTCTCTGTTGCCCAGGCTGGAGTGCAATGGCATGATCTCGGCTCACTGCAAGCTCCACCTCCTGGACTTACACCATTCTCCTGCCTCAGCCTCCCGAGTAGCTGGGACTACAGGCACCCGCTACCATGCCCAGCTCTTTTTTTTTTTTTTTTTTTTTTTTGTATTTTTAGTAGAAACAGGGTTTCACCGTGTTAGCCAGGGTGGTCTCAATCTCCTGACCTTGTGATCTGCCAGTCTCGGCCTCCCAAAGTGCTGGGATTACAGGTGTGAGCCACCGCACCCGGCCTGGATAATTTTTCTAAGTTTTTTTATAGACAGGGGTCTCGCTATGTTGCCCGGGCTGGTCTCAAACTCCTGGCCTCAAGTGATCCTCTCTCCTCAGCCTTCCAAAGTGCGGGGATTACAGGCATAAGTCACAGTGCCTGACCGAAGCAAACATTTTTAAAGAGGAAACATTTGGTTTTGGTGTTTCTTCTGCCTCTCTTTTTTTGCTCTCCTTCCTTTTGTCACTCCCTCTTCATCTCTCAGAGCTCTCCTAATGCTTCCTCCCAATGAACAGGGACTTCCACAAGTCTGCCCCACCTGGCAGGACCCATGCTTACCAGTTGTCTGGTTCTTTCTCCCAGCTCCAGAGTCCATGGGTCTCATTTTAGAAACAAATTCACGTCTAGCTAATAATAGATAATTTTTCATAGCATTACCTCTTTCATGTAATGTATTTGCACCAAAATTTGACTTCAAGCCAAAGAATTAAAAATCCAAATCACTGTCCCCAACTCAATCTTTCTTCTCCCAGGACAGATGAAGAATCTCCTATCATTAACCCAGGAGGACACTTACAAGTTGTGAGCTCCAAAGAAAAATCTGAAGCAGCCAAGCATATTTCATGAGCCCCTTGCAGTGGATTCATGGCCCCTGCCTTCACTGATGCCAACTGAACTATAATAGAATAATGATTCTCACCACCATCTTCATCAGACTTGTTAATTTTGTAGGAAGCAGCCACCCCAAGCCTCCCCAAAACAGATTCTCATATTCTCTAACCATAGAAAGGAGGCTTAGAGGATTAGAAGTTCAGAACAATTCCAGAGAGATTGGTTTTTTAATGCTTATGAGGAGAACTCGAATGGAAAACTATTAAGTAGTGTTATAGAGGAATCTGATCAAGGTGGTTCTGCATAGAATTAAGATGTTGTAAGATGGAGCCCAGGTCGAAGTCAGAATGAGACGCCCACCAGAGGGCGTTCCCTGGAGGACTTCCAATACTAGAAACAGGAGGTTGAGAAGTTTGTCCAAAACATGTGCCGGGATAGCTGGGGAAATACTGTTCTCTTTTCTCTAGGAATGTGAGTTGCAAGCAAAATGCAAAGCATCCCCACAAAAAAGAAACTATACTTCTAAAGTTTATGACAAAGGCAATGCCCTGAAAACAAGCTACCATTAATGTGTTAAACTGAATATTCAATGGATACTAAAATGGAATAATGGGAGGTGTCTTAGTCCATTCCAGCTGCTATAACTAAATACCTTAGACTGGATAATACATAACAGAAATGTATTGTTCACAGTTCTGGAGGTTGGGAAGTCCAAGATCAAGGCACCAGCAGATTCCGTGTTTGATGAGGGTTCTCTGCTTCATAGATGGCACCTACTTGCTATGTGCTCACATGACAGAAGGGGCAAACAGGTTTCCTAAAGCTTCTCTTATAAAGGCATTGATCCCATTCAGGAGAGTGGAACCCTTGTGACCTAATCCCCTCCCAAAGGCTGCACCTCTTAAATACCATTGCATGGGAGACTAGGTTTCAATGTATTAATTTTGGGAGGACATAAACTTTCAGCTCATAGCAGGGAGCACGATTCCTCTTTCTTCCTGATTTTCACTGCAGAAGGTGGACCTCCACTGGCTGACATTCCTCATTTCTCTGTAAGTCTTTGATCACTTTGTTCCTAGGAAAGGTGATACACTTAACTGATGGTTAAATCTGAGGTAGAGTTTCAGGAGGATTGGTACCAGCTCTTCTTTGTATGTTTGGTAGAATTTGGCTGTAAACTCATCTGCTCTTGGGCTTTTTGTTGTTGCTGGGAGACTTTTTATTGATTCAAGCTCACTATTTGTTACTGGTCTCTTCAGGATTTCTATTTCTTCCTGGTTTAATGTTGGGAAGTTGTATGTTTCCAGGAATTTATCCATTTCCTCTATGTTTTCTAGTTTGTGGGCATATTGTTGTTTCTAGTAGTCTCTGATGATCTGTTGTATTTCTGTGGTATCATTTGTAATGTCTCCTTTTGAATTTCTGATTATGTTTATTTGGACCTTTTCTTTTCATAGTCAAGCTAGGAATCCATCAATTTTCTTCATCTGTTTCATTTTGTTCCTCACTTGTATTGTTCTTTTTTCTCAATTTCATTGAGTTCTCCTCCGATCTTTGAAGTAAATGACTCCATATGCATGGCTCTTTGTCTTAGGGAAAAACCTGTGCTCAGAGAGCCAGTGTTCTCTGTGACCAGTGCTGTGAGTTGCACTAAGTCTCACGGTTGTGGGATGAATTGTGTCCCAGCCCTCCACCTAAAAGACATATTGAAGTCCAAACCCCAGTGAGAAGTGAAGCCAGCTGGACTTCCTGGGTCAAGTGGGGACTTGGAGAACTTTTCTGTCTTACAAGAGGATTGTAAAATGCATCAGTACTCTGTAGTTAGGATTGTAAAATGCACCAATCAGCATTCTGTGGCTAGCTAGACGTTTGTAAAATGGACCAATCAGTGCTCTGTAAAATGGACCGATCAGCAGCACTGTGTAAAATGGACCAATCAGCAGGACGTGCATGGGGACAAATAAGGGAATAAAAGCTTGTCACCGCAGCCAGCAGTGGTAACCAGCTTGGGTCCCCTTCCATGCTGTGGAATCTTTGTTCTTTTGCTCTCCACAATAAATCTCTTTGTTGCTCACTCTTTGGGTCCACATCACCTTTAAGAGCTGTAACACTCACTGCGAAGGTCCGTGGCTTCATTCCTGAAGTGAGACCACGAACCCACCAGAAGGAACAAACTCCAGACACACCAGGACCTCAAAATGTGACCTTATTTGTAAATGGAGTCTTTGTAGATGAAATTGTTAAGATGAAGTCATAAGTGCGGGCTCTAAATCCAACATGAATGGTGTTGTTATAAGAAGAAAATTTGGCCAGCCATGGTGGCTCACACCTGTAATCCCAGCACTTTGAGATGCTGAGGTGGACGGATCACTGGAGGTCAGGAGTTCGAGACCAGCATGGCCAACGTGGTGAAACCCCATCGCTACTAAAAATAGAAAAATTAACCAGGCATGGTGATGCATGCCTGTAATCCCAGCTACTCAGGAGGCTGAGGCAGGAGAATCACTTGAACCTAGGAGGTAGAAGTTGCAGTGAGCCGAGATCATACCACTACACTCCAGCCTGGGCAACAGAGCAAGACTCCATCTCAAAAAAGAAGAAGGAGAAGGAGAAGAAGAAAAAAGAAATTGGACACAGACCAAGATAAACAGAGAGAAGGCCATGAAAGAGCTGAAGTGGAGATCTAAGTGATGCAGCCACAAGCCAAGGATTGACAGCTCCACCAAAACCTAGGAAGAGATAAGGAAGGAAGGACTCCCTCTTATGGGTTTTGGAGGGAGGAAGACCCTACCAACACCTTGATCTTATACTTCTAGCCTCCAGAACTATGAGATAACAAATTCCTATTGCTTCAAGCCATCTAATTTGTGGTACTTGATTATGGACCTGTAGCAAACCAGCACACCCACCCTCCCGCATGGCCTCCCTGATCCCTGAGACAAAACAATATTGAAATTGGGCCAATGAAGAACCTTATATTGGCCTCTAAGTGTTCAAGTAAAAGGAAGAGTTGCACTTGTCTCACTTTAAATCAAAAGCTAGAAATGATTAAGCTTGGTGGGGAAGGCCAGTGCTGCGCTGCCTGGGAGTGGAGGGGGACCTGCCTCTAGGCTCGGTATTCACAAGCACACTTGGCTGTCAGCCCTAAAGCCACATTCTCCAACTTTGCTCTTTTTAACTTGATATTTTAACCCTATCTGTCTCTCTTAGTTTAAATTTTCAAATTCTTTATATCCCCAGCAAAGTTGAGAATGACATTTATTGAGAGCCCTTCAAAAACACCAACCTCACACAGCTAAATAAGGTATACCACACAACCCTCCACACTGGGGGGAGTCTCTTAGGAGACAAAAATTATCTTTCCAAGTACACATTTCTTGTCCTATAACTTCCATAGGTATTCCATACATTTTTCCAACAACATAGCTAAATGGAAAGTTGTTGAAAGAAATAAAGTTAATGAAATCGAGAAGTTGTTGAAATAAAGAATGTTGACCACAGCTGTCATACTATGATATAAATCCTAATGTTTAGGTTAAACATAGTACTATAATTGGCCTTAGGACAGAAAGAACTGTTTTAAAACGAGAGGCCAATGTTCAGTGCACTGTGGCAACCACAGACAGGAAGACAGCCCTGGCCAGGCAGCTGCGAACTCCGGCAACTTACTGTAACATCCGCATTTGGAGATGAGGATGTGGGGTCACAAAAGTAGCAAAGTGCAGAGCTCATTTTCCATTTCAAAATCCAGTTATTTTTCTAGGATTCCAAATTGTTATCGTGAAAATGCTTAACTCACTGCCAAGGAAAGCATTTCCATTTTACACGGTACATGTCTCATTTGCAAAGGTTTGCTTCCCTGATCTTGCTGCAGCCTCAGGAGATAAGAAGCGCACAGCTCGGGCTCCTGATTGGGCCAAAGCTTCAGGACGGAATCAGGGACATTTACCAGGAACAAACAGCCCAGCTTATACACTGGCCACAGTGAAGGTAACCAGTGGGGGAATGAGAGTACGTTGCATTCTGCTGATTTTTAAGTTGACCTCCACTCTTTCTTCAGAGGCATCTTCCTTCACAAACTGGGTTATACCATTGTTCATTGCTCTGCTTACAGGGGCCTCTTGCATCTCCTTGTCTCTGATCCTGGAAACAAGTTCTCCAGGCTTTTACATCTGGCCACAGACTGTGTGAAGTGTGAGCAGCTGGAGGACAATTCTATTATCTCCAGAAGCTGCTCCTCCACCCACAGAATGACTCTGAAGCCTCTAGGGAGGCATAGCAAATGCATTTCCCTACTCCTCTATTTCCAACATAAATCACAATGGGTGGCACTACATGCACACTATACTTCACTTTCGGAGCTGCATAGAGTTCCCAAGTCAGCTAAGGGCATATCTTCTGTGTTGTGCATATTTTATTTATTTTATTTTATTTTATTTTATTTTATTTTATTTTATTTTATTTTATTTGAGACAGAGTCTCACTCTGTCATCCAGGCTGGAGTACAGTGGCATGATCTCAGCTCACTGCAGCCTCCACCTCTCAGGTTCAAGTGATTCTCCTGCCTCAGCCTCCCAAGTAGCTGGGATTACAGGCGTACGCCACCACACCCAGCTAATTTTTGTATTTTTAGTAGAGACGAGGTTTCACCATGTTGGCCAGGTTGGTCTTGGACTCCTGACCTCAGGTGATCCACCCTCCTCAGCCTCCCAAAGTGCTGGGATTACAGGCATGAGCCACCACGCCGGGCCCATACTTTAGCTTTTAGAAGTAGATACACTTCCAAGAAAACAATTGTTTGCTCAGCTACAGGCATGCCTCGTTATATTGTGCCTTGCTTATTGCTCTTTGCAGATGGTGCACTCTTTACAAATTGAAGGTTTGGGCAACCCTGCATCAAGCAAGCATCTTGACACCATTTTTCCAACAGCATGTGGCTCACTTAGTGCCTGCGGGTCACATTTTGATAATTCTCACAATATTTCAGACTTTTTCATTATTATAATATCTATTATGGTGACCTATGGTTAGTGATATTGCGCATTACTATTGTAATTGTTTTGCCTATGTAAAGCAACAAACTTAATGTGTAAAGGTTGTATGCGTGTCTTTGGTTTTACCGACCAGCCATTCCCCCATTTCTCCCTCTCCTCAGGCCTCCCTGTTATGTGAGATGCAAGAATATTGAAATTAGGCCAATTAATAACTCTACAACGGCCTCTGAGTGTTCAAGTGAAAGGAAGAGTCACACATCTCTCACTTGAAATCAAAAGCTAGAAATGATTAAGCTTAGTGAGGAAGGCATGTTGAAAGCTGAGACAGGCTGAAAGCTAGGCCTCTTGCACCAGCCAAGCTGTGAATGTAAAGGAAAAGTTCTTGAAGGAAATTAAAAGTGCTTCTCCAGTGCACACAGGAATGATAAGAAAGTGAAACAGGCTTGCTGCTGATAGGGAGAAAGTGTGAGTGGTCTGGATAGATCAAACCAGCCATGACATTCCCTTAAGCCAAAGCCTAATCCAGAGCAAGACCCTAACTCTCATCAATTCTATGAAGGCTGAGAGAGGTGAGAAAGTTACAGAAGAAAAATGTGGAGCCAAATTTGCTCATAAGATTGAGAGAAAGAAGTTGTCTCCACAGCATAAAAGTGCAAGGTTCCGAAGCACCAAGTGCTGATGGAGAAGCTGCAGCAAATTATCCAGAAGATCCAGCTAAGATCATTGAAGTAGGTGGCTACACTAAACAACAGATTTTCAGTGTAAACAAAACAGCTTTCTATTGCAAGAACATACCATCTAGATCTTTCTTAGCTAGAAGGGAGAAGTCAATGACAGACTTCATAGCTTCAAAGGACAGGCTGACTCAAAGTTAAGTGAAGGGTTAATGCAGCTGGTGACATTAAGTTAAAGCCAATACTCATTTACCATTCCAGAAATCCTAGGGCCCTTAAGAATGATTCTAAATCTACTCTGCCTGTGCTCTAGAAATGGAACAACAAAGCCCAGATGACAGCACATCTGTTTACAGTATGGTTTACTGAATATTTTAAGCCTACTGTTGAAACTTGCTCAGAAAAACATATATTCTGTTCAAAATATTACTGCATGTTGACAATGCACCTGGTCACCCAAGAGTTCAAGAGATGTACAAGGAGATGAATGTTGTTTTCGTGCCTGCTAACACAGCATCCATGCTGCAGCCCATGGATCAAGGAGTCATTTCAACCCTCAAGTCTTATTATTTAAGAAACACATTTCATAAGGCTATAACTGCCATAGACAGTGATTCCTCTGGAGGATCTGGGCAAAGTAAATTGAAAACTTTCTGAGAAGGATTCACCATTCTAAATGCCATTAAAAACATTCACAACTCATGAGAGGAGGTCAAAATATCAACATTAACAGGAATTTGGAAGAAGTTGATTCCAACCTTCATGGATGACTGAGGGATTCAAGACTTCAGTGGAGGAAGTCACTGCAGATGTGGTGGAAATAGTAAGAGAACTAGAATGAGAAGTGGAGCCTGAAGATGTGACTGAATTGCTTCAATTTCATGATAAAATCTAATTGAATTGAGCAAAGAAAGTAGCTTCTTGAGATGGAACTTATTCCTGGTGGAGATGCTGTGAACACAGTGGAAATGACAACAAATTATTGAGAATATTCCATAAACTTGGTCAATAAAACAACAGCAGGATTTGAGAGGCTTAACTCCAATTTTGAAAGTTCTACTGTGGGGAAAATGCTATCCAACAGCATTGCATGCTACAGATGAATCTTTCCTGAAAGAGTTCATCAATGCAGCAAACTTCGTTGTTGTTTTACCCTAAGAAATTTTCACAGCCACCCCAACCTTCAGCAACCACCACCTTGATCAATCAGTAGCCATCAGTGAGGTGACACGCTCTACCAGCAAAAAGATTACAACTTGCTGAAGGCTCAGATGATTAGCGGCATTTTTTTAGCAATAAAGTATTTTCAATTAAGTTATGTCCATGTTTTTACATATGATGCTACTGCAGCTGTAGAGTCCAGTGTAGTAAAAATATAACTTTGATGTGCACTGAGAAATCTGTGTAACTGTCTTTGCTGCAATATTTGTTTTATTGCAGTGGTCTGGAACTAAACCTACAATATCTCTGAGGTATGCCTGTATTTGGGAATAGTTATTCTCTTCAAAGGGAAAAAAAATGCATCTGTAATTAAAGTTAAAAATGCATATAACATTATTCTCTCTGCTCCCATCATTCTCTAAAACCAGCAGAGATCTGGGAGAGCCAAATGCTTCCTACAACAAGCCCATGACCAGAACCCCTTAATTGTCAGCTGGTTCCATATAAAGCTCATAATAGTCAATGGTTTGTCTTCAAGCAGATCTTGGCTGACAGGGAGCACAGACTTTGAATTCAGACACTTCTAGTTTTGAATCCAGCCTCTACTCATTGTGAACTGCTTGATGAGATATTTAACCTTTCTGATTTTTAAATTTTTTATCTCTAAAATGCAAATAATAATGTTTTTCCAGGGGATTACTGTGAAATTAAATAGCATGTGTTCAATGTACCTACCCTCTGTAAGTGATTCTGCCAAATGTAAAATTTATTTGCCCAATCAAGAATGGAGACTGGGTGTGGTGGCCCACACCTGTAATCCTAGCACTTTGGGACGCTGAGGTGGGAGGATCACTTGAGGCCAGGAGTTCAAGACCAGCCTGGGCAACATAGCGAAACCCCATCTCTACAAAAAAATTACAAAATTAGCCAGGCATGGTAGTATGCCTGGAGGTTGAGGTGGGAGGATCACTTGAGCCCAGGAGTTCAAGGCTGCAGAGAGCTATGATCTTGCCACTGTACTCCAGCCTAAGCAAAATAGCATGACGTCATCTCTTATTTAAAAAAAAAAATAGAATGAGTTGATGATGATGATGATAGTAAATACTTATGTGGCATTTAAAACATGTCAGGCACTGTTCTAAACTCTCAATATTGATTCACTTAATCTGCACACGGACCTACAAAGAGTTCTACAGGTAATGAAATCAAGACCCAGGGAGGTTAAGTAACCTATCCAAGGTAATACAGCAAGTAAACAGTTGAGCCAGGACTCCGTTCCAGACAATCGCGCTTCAGTCCATGCTCCTAATCATTCCTCTGGGTTGCTTCTTGCTGTGTAGTGATAATTGCAGTGGTCCTGATTCACAGTTTTCCCTTCTAAAGGCAGCTCTTTAACCTCCCTTTTCCTGTTGCCTTGAAAAGGTGCTGCTGCAGTTTCCCACACGTCTGGCAATCATTGGTTTTTCTCCAAGGCTCTGAGTGGTCTCTCCAGCCTCTCTTTCCCCCGCATAGGGCAGCCCCCCTCCTTCTCCGTGTTCCAGCCATGCAGGCCTCCTTTCAGTTCCTCATGCTCACCATACTTCCTCTTGTGCACGGAGCACTCTTTGCTCCCCATTTCTCCCAGAATTCCCTTCAAATCTCAACCCAACTATTATCTCCCCCTGGAAGCCTTGCAGGACCTCCCTGATCAGGTGGTTTTCCCATAGGCATGGCTCCAGGGACTCCTCCCACTCAGCTTCTGCCTGTAGAGTGGGGACTATGTGGCCCTTTTTGCTCACCCTGTGCCCATAAAGCCTGGTCTAGTGCCACACACATTAGGGGCTCGATAAATATTTGCTAAATGAACGAGTGAACTTTGCTCTGTGTTTGGAAGTGGCTGGCGGAGTCGTCTTCACACAGCTTCTCTTAACTCACTTCTGCTGCTCCCCACAGGCTTGGGAAAACCTTCAGGAAGTCTTTGCAGATACGGAAAATGTCCTTTTATTGTAGTAGAGGACTCAGGGATCACCTTTCTTTCATCATTCAAAATATAACTCAAAATATTATTCATTGAGAAATGCAAATTAAAACAATAATGAAATATTGCTACACACCTATTAAAATGGCCAAAATCCAAAAGACTGACAACATCAAATACTGGCCAGGTTGTGGAGCAACAGGAACTCTCATTCACTGCAGGTGGGAGTGCAAAATGGCACAGCCACTTTGGAAGGCAGTTTGGCAGTTTCCTACAAAACTAAACATACTTGGCTGAGTGCAGTGGTTCACGCCTGTGATCTCAGCACTTTGGGAGGCTGAGGCAGTGGATCACCTGAAGTCAGGAGTTTGAGACCAGCCTGGCCAACATGGTGAAACCCTGTCTCTACTAAAAATACAAAAATTAGCCAGCTGTGGTGGCACACACCTGTAATCCTAGCTACTTGGGAGGCTGAGGTAGGAGAATCACTTGAGCCTGGGAGGAGGAGATTGCAGTGAGCCAAAATTGCACCACTGCACTCCAGCCTGGGAGACAGAGCGAGACTCCATCTTAAAAAAACAACAAGCAAACAAACAACAACAACAAAACTAAACATACCTTTAACATACAATCTGACAATCACAATCTTTGGTATTTACCTAAAAGAGTTGAAAACATGTCCACACAAAAAATGCATATAGATGTTTATAGTAGCTTTTTTCATAATTGCTAAAGCTTGGAAACAACCAAGATGGAATATCATTCAGTGCTAGAAAGAAATCAGCTCTCAGTCCATGCAAAGACATGGAGGAAATTTAAATGCATATCACTAAGAAAAAGAAGCCAATTTGAAAATGCCACCTACTGTATGATTCTAACTATATGACATTTTGAAATGGCAAAACTATGAGGACAGTAAAAAGAGTAGTGGTTGCCAGGAGTTGGAAGTGGGGTGGTGCAAACAATAGTCAGAACACAGAATTTTCAGGGCAATGAAAGTACTCTGTATGATACTATCATGATAGACACATGTCATTAGGCAAATGTAGTATATGTGCCCAAACTCATAGCATGCACAACACCAAGAGTGAGCCCTAATGTAAACCATGGACTTTGGTGATGATGTGTCAATGTGGGTTCATCTGTTGTAACAAATGCACCCCTTGGTGGGTGACATTGTTAACTGGGGAGGCTGTGCAGGTGTAGAGGGAGGGGATAGACAGAATATCTCTGTACCTTCCTCTGAATTTTGCTCTGAACCTAAAACTGCACTAAAAAAAATGAAGTCTCAAAAAATACTATTAGTTGCAACCTCAAAAGCATGATAAGGATATTGAAAAGGCAATAGAGTACACACACGAGGCTGTATCCACAGTTACCTGTGACTGCGCTGTAATCAACAAATCCTTGCCCAACACTCAATAACAATTGTTCTGTTTCAAAATGAGTTGAATATTTGCAAATCCTTTACAAGAGAGTTCCCTGCAGTCTTCTTTTCCCCCAACTTGCAGTAGAACACTATTGAATTTCAAATCTTCTGAGCATGGTTTAGCTTGTGGCAGCCAGCGGCTTTCCATTTTGGTGCAATTTGTCCTATGCGTGGTGAGAAAGAGATGGAATTCCAGTGAAGGAAGTGACAGGAACTCTTTGCCTTCCTGTATTTACCATTCTCTTAACTTGGACATCTTCAACTCAAAATACTTGGCAAGCAGTTTTTTTTCTTAAGAGCTATTTTTTATTTTATTTTACTCTTTGAGACTCATATTCCTGACCATGGTGAGTACTCTTTTATTCAATCACAGAGAATGTAGCATACAAATATTTTAACATTTTAATTAATTGCATTTTCATTATGCTTGTCCTGAGGCTTCCTGGGCTGAGTAAAATGTATTAAATCTCAAAGAGAAAAACTATGACTGCAATTAGCTCCTAAGTGGGATCGGTTTCAGTTTTAGACGGAAGAAGCATTTTAATGTGACCTTAGTGGCACAGATAGTCTCTGGAGGGCTTATTCTAATGATTGTCCAGGCTCCTGGCCCCAAATTAGCAATATCTCCCCAACACACACACACACACGCACACACGCACACTTAATGCCTGTTATTACTCCACTATTTCTTTAGCTCTTGAAGGCTTCCTGGCCTTTTAAAATACCACTCCAAGGTATTAAGCCTTATCAGTTCATAGCTTTGTTATCAGCCAACACCTTAGTTGACAACCAGCTGAGAGTGAAAGCGTGCCAGGAATGTGACCTGGATAGGTGCTGGTCCTGGGAGAGGGGAGGGGAGTTGTCAGGAGGAGAAGAAAAAGACTGTGAGGGAAAGGGAGAGTCTAGTGACAGCCTGGGACAGCAGGATGCTGGCCTTGCTGCCAATAGGCATGTTTCGTTCAATGCTAGAGTTCAGCTTCCCAGATAGAAACACCCCTGCCCAGGGAGATAAGGAGCTGAAGGAGCCAGAAAGGGCCCCACTCCACCCATCCCTTCTTCATTCTCTGCTCAGCCTGCAACAGAGCTAAGGGGGTTCTGCAGACCTTGCTGCAGTCACCAGACACATGTCTCCTCCCACTTCTCAGAGGATGAAATCAGCCTCATCCATATTGACCATGCAGTTCATCTATATTACCAGCACAAGCTAGCTAACAGTGCTGGAATATTTACTGCATCTCAAACAGCATTCTGAACGCTTTGTGCCCGTCATCTGATTTAATCCTCACTGCAGCTATGTAAGTAGATGACAGACTACAGTTGACCCTTTAAGAACATGGATTTGAACTGCAGAGGATCACTTACATGTAGATTTTCTTCCGCCTCTGCCACCAGAGACAGCCAGACAATCCCCTCCTTTTCTTCCTCCTCCTTAGCCTACTCAAAGTGAAGATGATGAGGATGAAGACCTTTATGGTGACTACTTCCACTTCACAAATAGTAAATACATTTTCTCTTCCTTATGGTTTCCTTAATAATATTTTCTTTTCTCTAGCTTACTTTAAGAATACAGTATAGAATACATATGTTGTATAAAATGTGTGTTAATTGACTATGTAATGGGTAAGGCTTCTGGTCAACAGTAGACCATTAGTAGTCAGGTTTTTGGGCAGTCAAAAGTTATACAAGGATTTTCAACTGTGAAGGGGGTCAGTGCCTCTAACCCTCACATTGTTCAAGGTTCAGCTGCATGTGATTCACCATCTTCTACAAATTAGAACTGAGGTTAAAAAAAAGTAAAGCAACTTGCCCAGGAGCACATAGCTAGTATATGGGAGAAATCCTATTAAATAGGATTCAAACTCAGGTTTGTCTAACTCCAGAGCTTGGAATTTTAGCCACTAAACCTTTTAACTTCTTCATGTTTATAAAGTGCTTTTTAAAAGCTAGTATTTCACTTGCTGCCAAAAAATTCTGGGAAATACAGAGGCTGTGCATGCTCTGTTATTTCCATTCCAGAAATTTAAAAGCAAGGACAGAAACTAAGTGGCCCTGGTTCCTCAGTCAATTGCAGAGCATGGACAGAAACATCCCCTAGGTCCCATCCAAGACTTCCTGTAGGAAGAACATATCTTATCTCCTTCAATAATACAAGTCATATTTTCATTTGTTTGCTGATTTTAGCATTTGTTCTATACAGTTGTCCCTCAATATCTGCAAGGGGTTGGCTCCACGGCCTCCTGCAGATACTAAAACCCACAGATGCTCAAGTCCCAGATATAAAATTGTGTGGTATTTGCATATAGCATTCACACACCCTTTGACATGCTTGAAATCATCTCTAGATTACTTATAATACCTAATACAAATGCTATGTAAACAGTTATTATACTGTATTATTTAGGGAATAATGACAAGATGTAAAAGTCTGTATATGTTCAATACAGACCTAATCATCCTTTTTTAAAAAATATTTTTGATCCACATTGGTTGAATCTTCAGGTGTGGGACCCAGAGATCCCAAGGGCCCACTGTTTCTACCACCAAGAATATGTCTTTGACAGAGGTAAACATAGCAAAACTTGATCTGTTCGATGCATTCATGGACCCAACTGTGTGTTTCTGGATACCATTAAGATAAAAAATTATGACATTAGGAAGCTCTAATCAAAGTGAATGGCATCTGCCACGATTATCCTAAGCGTTCCCTAAGGCCTCCCGTGGTCACTCAAGCTCAGGACAGTCCCCTGAAGAAACAGAGCAGAGGGGCCACAAAGTGGCTGCCAACAAAGAAGTTTTAACAAGCAACCCCAGCTTTTTATTGACTTAAAGGAAAATGGACTCAAGAGAGAAATTCCAATGAAACTGTAGGTAAGTCAAAGATTGTTTTTGTTTCTATAGATTAGTTCTCACACATTTCCTGTTACTAGACTTAATTTTGGTAATGTGTAATTATAACCACAAACCTACCATTAAGCAATGAGTATTTAGAGTCTATTTCCTGATGAACTCGAGAAAGGGCAGAGGTTAATTGGGCCATGCCTAGTTAAAATGTCATAAACTTAAAGGTGTAGCTTCTCACCTTCACATAGGGCCTTGCGACATTATCAGAACCAGGGACGGTTCTACAGTTTAGCAAAAGGTAGACACGTGAATGACTTAGTTTCAGAGAAACCCGTCTAATGTGTCTTAACTGTGCTACACTAAATAAACGACTCAAACTTCCTGAAATCTTAAGAAAACACAAAAGGCCCTTAGTCTTAGAGTCTGGGCCTCACCAATATGACCTTACATCCCTGCCCTTGCTACAAAGAACAGAAGCAACTGAAATTTATACTCATCATCAATTACACAGAATCAGATCTGTCACCAGGCTCCAGAGCTGAATTTTCCTGGGGAAAATGAATAGCATATATTAACCAAAAGTCTAAAGGGGATTTCGAAGAAGAGGAGAGGGAACTCCAGAAAAGAGTTACAGAAGGGCCTGTGTGCAACCACAGATAAACACTGAAAAGTGAGTTCCAAATCACTTAGCTTTGCTGCCTGGAAATTCAATCAATGTATCTAAAGAATAAAAAAATTATATATATAACAGTTTTTCCGAAACACAATTATGGATTTCCATTTAGAATTTCAGTGAAAAATGATGAGGATGATCATCGGTAGCAGAAATAAAATAAAGAGAACAGCTCAGTGCCTAGGTATTTTCTATCCAAGATTTTCTGTCTTGAATCAGCAAAAGAGATTGGCAAATGCCGAAAGAGTCATGTGAAAGTTGCACTGAAATCCACATCATAATAGGCAAATAACTGCTGGGATAGGGTATTTACAAATACTTTTCAAGTAGGGTAAACCAGGACAACGGCTATACAGACTTGAAATCGTATTCATCTTTTCAATTAATTGCCTAAATTATTTATTTTAACTTTTATTAAAACAAACAAACTTGTCCCAAAAGCATTGAGCTGCCGAGGACTTTGAAACCTTTCTAGGATCAGCTCAGCATATTTCTGAAACTCACATTCCTGGGACAAGAGAAGAATGTGTCAACAGAAAAGACTTGTGAACTAATTTCTCACAGGGACAAGCTAAGAAATGTCTTTATCAGAAGACACCCCCAGCTGAAGGAGGATTTTTATGTTGCTGGCACATTCTCTGACTACCCATTCAGAGCTTTGGAGACAATCTTTCCAACAGAATATCTTACTTTACTTACTGAAAGAGAGTCTGATATTTTAAATTATTTGAATCATCTAGTCTAAAAAAAATTCCATTTTAACTGAAGAAGTTCAAGAATGCTACTAGGAGGTGGAGAGTCGTGGTGTTTTCCGTATTTGAGAAGATAAACCAAAAGATACAAAACAAAATTTTTCTGGATTTATATCTTCACATATTTTTACTCTAAGAATATAAATCTCAGACTGGGAAAGGCAGTATATATATATAAAATGTTGCCCTTCTGTCTCAAATGCAAGAGTTAGTTCTACGAAGGAATATATTCAGCCAGATTCTCTTAGTAAGAAAGACTGAGAAAGGTCACTTCAGGAGGCCATAGCCATAGTCCATGACACTTTCTGAGAACACATTGGGTTTTGGTTAGGCACAAACTGAGAAAGATCAGATTGCTCAGGCCATCTGAACTCTCAGGATTATCCCACGATGAACCACGTATCCTGCTATGCAACTTCCTTCAAAGAAAAAAAAAGATTTCCCTCCCTGATAGAATATATGTAAATAGAAATGTATTAAAGCAAACAAACAAAAAACAGAATATGTCCATTAGGATAAGCCAAAAAACAGGCCAGACGCAGTGACTCACACCTGTAATCTCCACACTTTGGGAGGCCAAGGCGGGTGGATCACTGAGGCCAGTTCAAGACCAGCCACCTGGCCAACATGGCGAAACTAAAAATACAAAATTACAGAACCCTACTAAAAATAGTAAAAATACAAAACTTAGCCAGGTGTGGTGGCATGCACCTGTAGTCCCAGCTACTCTGGAGGCCGAGGCATGAGAATCACTTGAACCTGGGAGGCGGAGGTTGCAGGGAGCCAAAATCACGCCACTGCACTCCAGCCTGGGCTACAGAGTGAGATTCTGTATCAAAAAAAAAAAAAAAAGAGAGAGAGATAAGCTGAAAAACAGAATGCAAAAATGCATCTTAAAAAAAAGAACAAATATATACTGAAAAATAAAATCGGCAAGAAGAAAATATGCCAAAATTTTATCAGTGATTGCCCCAGAAATGGGCAATTTTTCCTTGACACTTTTCTCAAACTCCCAAATTTCATACAGTGAATAACTGTTACTTCAAAAGCCATTAAAAAAGCACAAAATAGGAAACAAAACCAAGAACTTCTAGTGAAGATAGCACTGTAAGGCCATGATTTGTCAAACTCCCTCTGCTCAGTATATATGGCAATCACACATACAATGTTTAAAAAGAGAAAATTACTCCCAAAGAATAAAAGATTAGTAGTGATAATATATAAAGAACCCCAGATAATAGGCAAGCAGTTGAAGAATGCAAACAGGAAATTCACAAAAAGATACCCAAACTCTGTCATCATGAGGTCACTGGAAATTAAAAGACGCCATTCCATATCCATAATATTGGAAAAACTTTAAAGTATTAAAATTCCAGGTATTGGCAAGGATGTGGGGAAATGGAAGCGACCATGATGCTAATGGTTGCATCAGTTGATATACTACTATGGAGACAGTTTGTTAACATCTAGTAAAGTGTCCATAGGCGTGCTCTATGACCCGTGAATACTGTTACAAAGTGTGCCTTTACCATGTGGACACAAGAGGCATTGTGCTAGAATTTTTATTGCAGCATTGCTTGAAATATTGAACAGCTGGGAACAATCTGCAGTTCTGTCAATGGAGAAAAGGATCAAGGAAATTGCAGGATCTCATAAAATACAACCACTTTCAAAAAATTAAAATAAACAAGATATAGCTATAGGAATATGGATAAATGTCAAAAACACTGATTTGAATAAGAAAAGCAAATTAGAGAATAATGTGCTGCATATAGCATTCTGGAACTTTCTGTTCCAGAACTGCTGTGAGCCAAGATGGTGTCACTGCACTCCGGCCTGGGCGACAGAGCGAGACTCTACCTCAAGAAAAAAAAAAAAAAAGGATAAACCAAAAATATGCAGCGCATTACCATTTGTGTGCATTTTTAAAACACATAAAATAACACTACTTTTAAATCTTAAAACTTCATAATCGCCAAAGAAAAAAAACTTTACATTTTATTGCTAAAAAACAACAACAAAAAAAAAACACTTTACACACCTTAAGCAAAATATAGGGTCTCTGTATCTGACTATTGGGCAGATGAGAGTATCCTATTATGATCTGTGTTTTTCAAAATGCTTGATCTATTTCATAATTTTAAAAATTAAGTATCCGCAGGATTTATCAATCAAGAGCCACTGTTGATTTTAGCCAGAGTAAACTGTGGGAGTGGCAGAGGAGAGTCTTTATTTCCTGTGGGGGAGGTGGGCGTGGGAGGCGAGGGGGCAACGAGCAACCCCTGAGCTTCTGATGAGAGCCGACCTCGAGGCTGACGGGGAGGCCAGAAGGTCCCGAGGGGGCTGCAAGCGACAGGCCTGGCGTCCAGGCTGCACGGTGGGAAGACGGAGGTGTGGAGAAGCTGCTGGAAACAGAGGCGGAACTGCTGAGCGCCCTGGGAGGTCCGGGGGTGCGGCTAAGACAGCGGCGGGAGGGCAGGCGGCGGGGGTCACACGGAGAAGCCTGGCGCAGACTGGCCCAGAGGAAGCCCTGGCTTGAGTGAAAGAGGCTGGGCCCGGCATGGTCAAGGCGAGGGAGGAAATGACCTGGAAGTCACCAGGACTGAGCCAGGACCTACAGGCAGCAAGGACGGCAGAGGGAGCAGGGCTGTAAACTGAAATGCCCAGCACCTGAAGGCACTGATGGAGGGGGACACGGATTACCTTCCTGAAGAAGACTGTCTCACATTCCTTTTGCCAAAAAAAAAAAAAAAAAAGTCATTTAGGAAAAACAAACATCATTAGCAGAGGTGGCTTCACCGTGGTTTAGATTCCTCATTCCCAGGCCCTGGGAGAAGGCCTGGGACAAAGGGCATACTCTTTTGCTAATTTCAACTCTTGTTTTAGATACAGGGTGTACATGTGCAGATTTGTTATGTGAGAATACTGCGTGATCTGAGGTTTGGAGTACGGATCCCATCACGCAGGTATTGAGCAGTTTATTATTATTATTATTATTATTATTATTATTATTATTATTATTATTATTATTATTTGAGATGGAGTATCGCTCTGTTGCCCCAGCTGGAGTGCAGCAGCGTGATCGCGGCTATCTGCAACGTCCATCCCCCAGGTTGAAGCAGTTCTCCTGCCTCAGCCTCCCGAGTAGCTGGGCTTACAGGCACGTGCCACCACGCCTGGCTAATTTTTGTATTTTTAGTTGGGGGTTCACTACTTTTAAGTGAGTCAGGTGACCATCATTTACTGAGGCCATTTCCATTTTCTGTTGAAGAATGTGCAGAACTGGGTGGTTTCCCATTATTTCTGGGGTTTGCAGCCACTTTCTGCCTTTCTGTGTGATGAAATTAATTTCCCCACGTTGGCCAGGTTGGTCCCGAACTCCCGACCTTAAGTGATCCGCCTGCCTCAGCCTCCCAAAGTGCTGGGATTACAGATATGAGGCACCGTGCCTGGCTCCAGTTGGCAGTTTTAAACCCACCCTCACCTTCCTCCACCCTCTAGGAGTCCATGGTGTCTATTGCTCCCATCTTTGTGTCCATGTGTGCTCAATGCTTAGCTCCCACAGGTAAGTGAGAACATGTGATATTTGGTTTTCTGTTCCTGCATTAATTTGCTTAGGATTTTGCCCTCTAGCTCCGTCTGTGTTACTGCAAAGGATATGATTTCATCCTTTTTTGTGGCCACATAGTATTCCATGGTATATATTTGCCACATTTTCTTCATGCAACCTACCATTGCTGGGCACCTGGGTTGGTTCCATGTCTTTGCTATTGTGAATAGCACAGCAATGAACATTCAAGAGACTACATGTTTTCTGTGTAACTTGCAGAGATAGGTATTTTAACCGCAGTCCACTGAGACTCATGTCTCTTTGCCCCCCAGCTTTTCCACTGTTACCCTTACCACAGTGTCAGGCAGAGAGGTGGGGGCAGTTTTGGATGCTGGTTAAAGAGGTAAGTTGAAGGTACTTTTAATTTAGATCTAGAGGGACATATTTATATAGTTTGCATCACTTCTGTGGATAGGTATTACTAGCCATCTAAGGTAGGAATCGTTTCCAGGAATAATCCTGCCCACCCTGCCAACTCACTTGCCATCCTGACACAGGTCAGGGCCAGAAGTTTCATTGTTATGAGAATGAGTCCCATGTTGTTCAGTGATAGGAGGAAGTGTTTGTAACAAATAAAAGTGGAAGCCAGTCTGTGGAAAATCCTTCAGCCATCTAACAAGTACAACAAAAATCAAGGAAATATCTGGGAAAAGTATTTTAGCAGCATATTATGGATTAGTCTAAAAGGACATTGTTGTCTATGGTAATGTCTGTGGAATTTCTAAGTTTGTGATGCGATGTGATTTTTTTTCACCCTGAACAAACATTCAGCCCTGTGCAGTGGTGAGCACCTGTTATCCCATCTACCTGCGTGGCTGAGGTGAGAGAATGCTTGAGCCCAGGAATTCCAAGCTGCAGAGTGTGATAATTGTGCCTGTAAATAGAGAGACCCAGCCAGGGCAGCATAGAGAGGCCCCATCACTATAAAAGTAATTAATAAATAAATGTTCAATTTCATACCTAACTTTATATTCATAATTTAAAGAGGGCCCTTCAAAGTTGTATAAGCTTCAGGCCCCCCGAAAATTTGGATCCATTTTTGATAATTAAATGTTGGATTCAAAACAATAATAAAGAGTAATAAAGAATTAAGTGTGCTTCTTCATCTTAAATTCACAAGGTTTTGCCTTTTCCCCAAAGAAATACATAAGATTTAGCCAAACATCATTTATTTTATTAAAATTTATGTAATCACTTTTTTTTAATGTAATCCAAAGACTAGGGAATGAGACCAAAATTTCGAATGTAGCAATTCTTGCCAAGTTTAATGGCCTCTTAATGGTATGAGAGTTTCCATGATTTTATATTTCTAATTGCTTTTTTATTATTGTTGAACAAAACTCTTCAAAACAAGAAAAAATACTACTAATGATAATCATAGCCTTTTTTAAAAAAATGAAGATAATTGAATTCTACTCATTATATAATGACTCAATTAATTCCGTAGAGCACTCTGTCATTTGAAAACAATCCAAAAGTGGTAGTCACCAGGATCCCACAGAGTCCACCTAGCCTATCCGTGGGGAAATTAATTCCGTCCACATACAAAGGGAGAAAGTGGCTGCAAACCCCAGAAATAATGGGAAACCACCCAGCTCTGCACATTCTTCAGCAGAAAATGGGAATGGCCTCAGTAAATGATGGTCGCCTGACTCGTGCAAACATTCTTTTACTTAATACTATGTTTTTAAATGACCTGGCCAATCCAACTGGAAACTTGTATTTAAAAGTTCCATTTAACAATACCTTCAGATGATTTACTAGGTGGGTGCAAAGGTAATTGCTGTTTGGTGCTGATCATTTTGTCTTTCCAGTAGACATCCTTTCAGGTTTTAAAGTAACCTTTTGAGATAGATTGACCTTTCTTCTTAAAATGTCTTTAATTCTGGCAAGGTGCAGTAGGCTCATGACTGTAATCCCAACACTTTGGGAGGCTACGGCGGGCGGATCACGAGGTCAGGAGTTTGAGACCAGCCTGACCAACATGGTGAAACTCCGTCTCTACTAAAAATACAAAAATCAGCCAGGCATGGTGGCGGGTGCCTGTAATCCCAGCTACTCAGGAGGCTGAGGCAGGAGAATCACTTGCACCTGGGAGGCAGAGGTTGCAGTGAGCCTAGATCATGCCACCACACTCCAACCTGGACGACAGAGAAAGACTCCCATCTCAAAAAGAAAAAAAAAGTCTTTAATTCTGTTTTGTTTCTTGGGAGAAAGTAACGAGTTGCCCACTCAATAAAGGTGTGCACTGTTCATTGTGTTCATTCTCAAATTCTCCGGTGCCTTCTTGGAAAGCACATTGAAACATGAAGCTCATCAGAGCCTTGCCTAAGACCTGCCATCCATGCTCTGCTCTCAGAGCTCTCGGTGAAGCTCTCCTGGCTGCTACAGATGGAATCGGACCACCACCCAACAAAATCTGCTCCAAGGCAGGGATGATTTGCTGGACAGAATGCTTCTCACTGTTCTCTACCACCCATTGGTATTTGAGGACTGAGATGTCTCTTTTGTCAGAATTTACTAATAACTGGGAGAATATTTATCAAATGGGTTTTTGTTTTCTCTGGGCTCACCAGCTTGTTTCTTTTTTCTTTCTTCCTTTTTTGAATACAGAAATAAAAGCAGAAATCGGTCACTCCAATTTCTCCAAATTATGAACTCTGTGCTTTCCAAAAATGGCCCACTTGTGGGACAATGGATCACCTCACCCAGGATATTTAACAGGGAGCAAAGAGATGGCGAGATCTCAGGGCTGGATGGGGCCTAAGTGGCTTTTCATTCCTGTGCTTGCATTTTACTTGACGCCCAGGGAGAGTGGGATTTGCTGTGGACCAGCTGACAGCCATGAACTCCAAGGCCTCTCATTGCCAATTTATTGGTGTTTTCATGATACGAGACTATGCTTGCAAGTTAACAGAAAAATTAAAATTATAGGGTTTAAAGGAAAAACTTACTTCTACTTGTTTTGACTTGTGTGCCCTTCAAGACACAGATAATCTAATTTCACCTCTCCAGTCTGGCCCCAGAGTATCTTCCATTCTCACCTCCCACCTCTTCCCCTCTACATACCCTGTACAGCTGGCTCACTCATCACCCCAGGCTATCCTGGACATTTTCTGATCTTTAGGCTTTCACTCAAGCTGAGAATTCTCCCTTAATACCTTCCCTCCTCCTCTATAGACCAGGCAAACTCTGCTAACCCCTCCAAATGTTACCTCAATTCCTGCCCCCCAAGTCCTGCAGTCGTCCCAAAGGTGTGCAGAGACCTGTTCCCCTGAGTGTCTCTTAGCACGATTCCTTTAACACTGGATCTGTAACACCATGGAGAAACCTTCCCCTGCCACTTTCAGCCATTCTTACCACTCGTACTCTTATTATTTTGCATATATATGTCTTAATTTCTCAACTACATTGGAAAACTCTTAAAGGCAGAGCTCTTTTTGTCATAATTATCTGTACACCCCAGAAAAAAATATTTGGTACAACTCTTTATAACAGGTACTCAATAAATATTCATAAATGCACCTAAGTTTAGGACTGGCAGATGGATGATAAGTAAACAAATACGTACCCATGTGTAAATCATTGAGTTTAGGTCTGTGAATTTGAAAACAATGTTGTTATCTGCAGTGTTTCCAAACAGAATTCTACTTATCCAGTTTTTCCCACCCCAGTGCTAACTCTAGAGATCAGGTATATTGCACTCACTCATTATATGTATATTTAGCTGTATCTTGAGGGATTCTTTAACTCAGAATGTTATGGATTTGTTGAGAATGGCTGAACACACGGCCTACAAGGAGAATCCTGACCATTTGCTGGACACACTTTCATAGAATGACCTCTAAAGGAAATGCAGTTGTTCTGATAAGAATCCCAGTTCCTCCTGACCAACCCACTGCTGATAATCTGGTAACCCCAGCCAAGCCAAGGATGTCATTCTGTCTGTCCGGATCTTCTGAAGGCCTCACATTTCTCTTGTGCCGCAACTCTTGTACGGGGTCATTTCCTCTAAGGACCACCATAATTGAGTGTGTCTTTGTTCATGCACTAACTTTAAGAAGAGAGGTAAATACTAAATCCTCGCCAACTTTACCAACTACAGAAGATTCTAGAAAGGCAGATCAAAGCTGACTGTGGCTGGCTGAGATCGCAGGTGCCTTTCCATGCTGAGTGGCCTGAGTCTGTGATCTTCTTCATGGCTGCTGTCTCTCTGTGGATCAGATTTCTCTCCTGTGTGGGAACTATGGGAAAAAGACCTGAACACAAAAACTCAAAATGCTTGAATTAAATTTTCTCTTTTGTTGTGAAAACTTGATGAAAATGTCAAGAAAAACCAAATCTCCCTGGACTGTGTAGGAGTGTTTTCCTATTCAAAGAGTCACTTAAAGACATTTTTAAGGATTCCAAGGTAAACAGTCTCCATGAGAAAGTCAAGATCAGCTCAAATTATAAATGAAAAGTCTCCAAATAAGTCCTTTATAATATCAGAAATATACACTTAATTATATGAAAAATGAAAAAAGTTACCTCTTTGTAAGTGAGTACATCAAAATTGCCTCCTTTTCATCTCCTCATATTGAATCATGGACCATGTTTTAAGGGCCTATTCAAATATGTGGGGTGTAAATATTTTGTGGTTCCCAACACTCTTCACCTAGCTGATGGTTATTTGTAACAACACATTTCTCTACTGTGTCTTCCTTGAGGACCGTATGTGTTTCAGATTTGTCTGTGTGTCTCACCTAGTGACCAGTACTGAGCTTTTTGCACTGCAGATACTCAATAAATATTGCTTATATAGAGAAGTGAATCAATGTTTTCTTATATTTGGCAAGGTCAGAAATTTTGGTGTCAGAAGTAGGATGCCCAGGTCCAATAGTCATGAACACTGTCACTGTCTAATTGCTACAAAGGAGAGTCACATATCTAAACAACTTATGCATGCTCAAAATATGCCAGAGCCCAACAGCAGGCTAAGGACACACAACCAAAGAGTCCACGTCTACTGCAGAGAAGGGTGTTCTGTTAGCAACCTTCATCTATTCACTCAGACATTCGATCAGCCAATAATTCGTTGGGGACATGAAAAAATGTCAGGCACTGTGCAAGATACTAAATATATAATACAGAGGTAAGTAAAGCACAGACTTTGTCTTCAAGAAGCTCACAGTCTATTGGAAAAGAGAGACATGCTGAAAATAAATACAATTCAAGTGACAGATCAAAAAAAGACCAAGTGCTAAGGGTTTCCAATAAAGGGAGCGTAAAAATGGAGTTTTTCTTCATTTTTTAGAGAAGAAAGAACAGGCTTTGAAGAAGAGATGGTGTTTGAGCAATATTTTCTACAAGTAAAAGTGTGCCTGAATGAAAAGCAAGGAAATAATATTTTAGGACAAGAAAATACCCGATGTGTGCTTGCAGGAAGGTTAGAGTGAAAAATGACAGTATGAGGAAGAAAATCCAATTATTGTGGCTGAATATATTGAGCAGGACAGAGGGGCAAAGGCTAAAGATGAAGCTACAAGAAATAAGTTGGGGCCAGATTATGACAAACACATGACAGCAACATTCAAAAGTTTGGAAGCTGCCAAAAAAAAAAAAAAAAAAAAATTGAAGTGCAAGAAAAACTCAATGAAAGGAGGAAAAGATATTAAAACAATAAACAGGAGGAAGAGATATCAAAAAGAGGCAGCCTATGCGTAAGTGCATCAGTGATGTTTCTTTGATTGCTTAAGTTTCCGAGAACCAGCTCCGGTTCTTAAGCCCAGAGGGAAGCTACTGGCAGGAGTCAGGGAGTTCACTGCATCGTCCAAGCAAGGCTAGAGATGCAGGCTGGGACAGCGCAGAATGCTTGCCCGGGTTGGGAGAGCAGGGACTACTCAACAGTCTCATCCAGACACAATCGTGGAAGAAAATGAACTCCAGCCACAGTCGGACTTTTTATCACTCTGCTGGAAATTCAAATTCCAGGGCGAAGACTCACATTCCTTAGTGAGGAGAGGGCAGGACTCCCAGATAACCAATCCCACCAGAATGCACCCAAGGAGGGAAATGCAATTCCCCAAAAAGACATCAAGCTGGGGTCAATGATGGGCAGCCAAAAACTCAAAGATGCAGACAGAAAGGTCACTGCAACAAGCAATACTGCAGAAGGGAAAACCAGCACAGAAAGAAGAAATAGTCAGAGTTGAAAAGAAAATCTTGCTAGACCAGAGAAAGCCCTGAACCTGGCCATCCGTAGTTCACAACATGTAGCTCAGAACATTAATAAAAAGAGTGCAATACCAGGTACATCCCAGCAAAATGTTCCTGGTGCCCCAGATCTTGCTCTGCACAAGGGGAGAAATGAAGGCATCTGTTAATTCCTGTTATACTTAGAGAGATGGATGGGGAGGGAGGAAGCCATGCCCACAATTTGAGCTGAACTTAAGTGAAGAGAAATGAAAATTCCCCTGCCCATTCTTCAGGTATCTAATGTTCATGGCTGGAGCAGACTGATGTTGAATTTGAAAGGCACAGTGGTGGGTACCACTTGTATGAACAAGGCATGATCTGGAGCCAGGAGGGTGACAAGGGGACCCTGACAACGGCTTTCAGTAACAATATGAAATACTGTCTTCACCAGGAGCAGAGAAACCCTGAACATGTTGCCTTTAGGAAAACAGTTCTCTGAGTTGGTTTTAAGAGATTTTAAAAGATTTTCTCTCTGCAAATTATCATCTGTTTTTGGAAAGGGTGAATGTGTGTTGTCCGAGACTTCCCCACAGACCAGCAGGCCCCAGGAAGATGGAGGAAGCACATCTTCACCCCCACACTGATAGGGACCCGGGAAGGAACTCGCCCATGGGGTGCACAGTACACCCTGCACTATTTCGCTTGACTCAGAAGCCAGAACCCACCAGAGTCTACTGTGCCCAAGCTCTGCTTATTAGCTGGACCACATACACCATGCTTTGGGAAATGTGAGGCTATGAATTAGTGGGACCTCCAAAATGTCCTGGGGAAATGGGCTACACTGTAAAAACTCACCCGTCTGGACCCTTAAGATTGGTTTAGTATATGCAAGTTGTACCTCAATTGAAGAATGGCTGCAGGGGCCAGGGCATGAGAGGTTTTTTAATTGTGTGGTGAGGCGCACTGTGAAGAACTGAAGGAGGGGGTCCTCTCGGGAGAATGGATGGTGGGGACTCAAGGCAGAGAAGCAAGGCCCAGAAACAGGGTGAAGCCAGGAAGGGATCCCAATCAAACATTGATATTCTTCCATTCTTTTTCCCTTAGCCTCTATAGAATATTCTACTAGGCATCGTGCTTAAGAATTTTTTCCTAGCTGGTGCAGTGGCTCATGCCTGTAATCCCAGTACTTTGGGGGGCCAAGGCAGTAGGATCTTTTGAGCCCAGGAGTTTGAAGCCAACCTAGGCAACATAGTGAGACCCTGTCTCTGCAAAAAAAAATTTTTTTAATTAGTCAGGGGTGGTAGCCTGCGCCTCTGGTCCCAGCTACTCAGGAGACTGAGGTGGGAGGATCACTTGGGCCCAAGTCAGGCTGCAATGAGCTATGATTGCACCTCTGCACTCCAGCCTGGGCAGCAGAGTGAGACCCTGTCTCAAAAATAAAAAAAAATATATTCCTATTTTATAATATCCTCCAGTTCCTTTCAAATTTTCAGTTTAAAAAAGTTGGAGGAGAAAAGAGGAAATTACTGAAAGATGTAATCTAAAGAGATGAATAAAATTAACTCAAGGTTGGAAAATTTGTAGTAAAAATTATAGGCAAAAAAAAAAGTGCCTCAATATGACACAAAACTAATTCTAAATCATTGTTCATATGATTACAGAATGCAAGGTCAAAGGTAATTATTGACATATAAGATGCGAAAGATAAGTAGATAATAATTATCTGGATTTATAATTCCAGTTTCATCAAAAAGAACTAGAAAATAGAGTGAAGAGTAAGGGAGGAATTAGCTCATTCTAAGTTGATCCTCTTATAATAAAGGAGTAGGTAGTTGCTATTTCATTCATGGTATTGATCATTAGAGAAAACTGCATTAAATAGAGTTTTTACATTTAACAGTAAAAGGAGGGGAAATAGCTTTTAAAGTCACCAAATCATTAGAGGGCAAAAATAACTACAAGAAAACATAATCCTCATAGTGAAAGACCCAAGTTTTAAATAACAGCATATCTTTACAATTTTTAATTTAATGTTTTTCATCCAAAGCATTTTGACTCATACCACCTTACAAGAGTAATGTATGATGATCTTTTCTTCTTAGCAGCAAAGCTGTTGCTGAGAAGTAACAAGACTTTCAACATGGAAACATAATATCCCATAGAATTCTGTTTCTGTCTAGTAAGCTTTTGAATTGAAGTTCTGGCAAATAGAATGAAAACTTCACCATCAGGGATGGCAAACAGGATTTCTAGAAGTTCTTGTTTTCCCCAGGACTAAGATATTTGTGTCTTGCATTTTCCTGTTTGTATATTTTCCTTTTCCAACTCTCACAACTGAGACTAGGTCTTCTTGACCTTTTGTAAGAGTCAGTTTTTGTCTATGATTTCCAAGCTGTGACGTATGATTATGTAGGAAATTATACAAAAACTCCTAACATCAGCTATCACAAAAATATTTTTATAGTTATGAAATTATAATCTCATACCAATGGCATTGCTGTCAGCTATGAATTTTATAGTATCTGTGGTATTTCTACACTATCTATGAAATGCAGTTAGGTAGATGCCTTCTCATTTTTGCTTTTTACAAGCTAAGTCATTTGGTTTTGGGGTCCTGGTGATTAAAAGAAGGATATGTATACCTCTGTTAAGTGACACTCAATCACCGAATGTACCTTATACACTCAAACCTTGAATTGGATCAAGAATTGTTCTTAAATTTCTATCATCATTCTTAGTGGGGAAAAACTGCTTGCAAATGTTTTAGATCCTTCTTAATATTCTATAGATATATTGGGCAAGAAAGCTTTCTAAACTAGCAAAAAAAAAAAGCATTTTGAATTAAAAGTTAAATGGGCTTTTATTCTAAACTGCTTGAAGTCTAAAAAATGTTCAATCTAATGGTGATTTGTGAAGTGGGTTGAAATTTGGAAGTAATTCTTGAAAACTAAGCAAGACGTCTGCTTTCTGACAAATTATCCAGGAAAGAGTAATTCCAGTTTTGTTTAGGCCCCAGCCTTTATCGACATAGTTTGACGTTGCTGTCTTGGAGCTAAAATAATAAAAGCAATAGGTCTACAGAATTTATTCCTCACTAAGCATTTAAGCAACTTACTCTGTTACACTTCTGTCTTTCAATTACTTGATTGTTTCCATTGTGGCCAGCCAGAATTTAACAGACATGAATTAGGACTTCGCATTTCCTGAGATGTCTTTCCTGTGTATTCAGGTCTAGGTCCTGCAGCCCATCAGACACAGGGCTAACCATATGACTTGCTGCATTGTTAAGTCTATTGGTACAATTGGCAGGCTAGCAGCCACAGGGACCTGGTCATGTAAATATGATCATTGCCATATAGATTAAAAACATAACCGAAGCTCGTGAGTGAGCAGTGTGCTGTGCTACCTGAACTCTTCTGAGTCATGTCTCAGGATGTTGGGAGTGAAACGATTCAGGCAAGCCTTGGAGAAATGTGGAAATGATGTAAACTTTATTTCATAAGAATACCTTTTAATACTTGATCTCTTGGATTTATTGATTAATATTGATTACCTATTTTTTAGTTTTTATTTTTTAAATAATACATGATAATTATATATATTTATAGCATACATAGCAATGTTTCCATACATCTAATGTATACAGATCACATCACAGTAATTAGCATATCCATCAATTCTATCATTTATCATTTCTTTTTGTTGTGAACATTCAGTATTCTCCTTCTGGAATATAAACTGTTCTACAATAAAGACATATGCACACATATGTTCACTGCAGCGCTATTCACAATAGCAAAAACATAGAATCAACCTAAATGCCCATCAACAGTAGACTGGATATAGAAAATGTGGTTCATACACACCATGGAATACTATGCAGCCATAAAAAGAATGAGATCATGCCCTTGGCAGCAACATGGATGGAGCCAGAGGTCATTATCCTCAGCAAACTGACACAAAAACTGAAAACCAAATACCCTATGTTCTCACCAATAAGTGGGAACAATGAGAACACATGGACACTAAGGGAAAAATAGACACTGGGGGCTACTTGAGGGTGGAGGGTGGGAGAGGGGAGAGGATCAGAAAAAAAGATACTTACGTACTATGCTTATTACCTGGGTAATGAAATAACCTGTACACCAAACCCTCGTGACATGCAGCTCCCCTATAAAACAAACCTATGCATTTACCCCTGAGCCTAAAATATAAGTTTAAAAAAATCCTTCTAGCTATCTAAACATATATACTATTGTAACTGTAGTCACCCTACAGTGGTCTAGAGAACTGGAACTTTTTCCTCCTATCTAGCTGTGATTACCCATTATTTCATATTCATTTCTCCTCCCTGGAAAGACTGCCTCTCAGCCCCTGACACTTATTGAGCATGTGCTGTATGGTGACTTTATGCTGAGCACCTGACTTCGATGATCTCGTTTAACATGCTTGAGGCTTGGGGCTCTTTCTTTCTTAAAGGGGTGTCATTTCATGGAGTTTCCCCTTAGTCATGTGCCTTGATCACTTTCACTGTCATAGAAATGTTGCCCAAAGATGAAGGGCAGTGCATCTTTAAAAAAAAAAAAAATCACAGCTTACTATTAAACAGAGTTTATTGTTCACTTATCAACAACTAAAATGCCAAGAGAAGCTTGCCATGACCTGTTCCGGTCCAGTTAGATCCAAACCGAGAAAGCTGGAACTCAGCTTCATCATCATTCAACAGCCAGGAAACACTCTTTTCAATGCAGTTCCTTGGTCATAAGAAGCAGGGAGCTGAAATCAATGTGGGGACGTGGAATTATCCTCAATTAGAATTAGATGCCATACATTTTAAGCACTGAAGCTCAGATTCAGACTCTGCCAAAGAGCAATCAGACACGAGTCCCCCAGGAGTTACTCAACAATTAGAGGACTAGGCTGGGAGTGTTCGCTGGGATATGCGTCAGTATCTTCCCACCAGGGAGTGTGGCTGACCTTGGTTTCTAAAGTAGAACTCCCCCAACCCCACTGCCTGCGCCAGCCCCTACAGCACCTGTGGGTAATTGAAAAACCCCTCCCGCTCCAAATCCTTTTAAATTAAGTGAAGTTAAATTCTTTCTGTGATTACTGTAAGTCCGGAAGAAAAAAAAACAGAAGCAACAGGTTTGCAAAATTCCTTTTAGAGATGAACATGGCCTGAGCCAGAGTCCACAGCTCTTTGGAAGGGGGGAAGGTCCCAGCCCCAGCTGGCCCACGTGGCCTGGTGCTCTGATGCCCATGTGGCCTGATGCTTTGGCACCCACATAGCCCGGTGCTCTGGCACCAGCATAGCCTCTACCTTCCCTGACTAACCAGTGCCTATGAGAACCAGAAAGTGCTAGAACACAGAGGGATCCTACCAGGGACAGTTTTCTTCTTTGGTTATTATTTTATTAAGATTTCATGTGTGTTCTCTCTCCTGATATAACCCAAAATCAAATTATACTGAAACACCTAGATCTATGTCAAAAATGTTACTTATAAACCCCATCTCTATTAAAAAATGCAAAAAATTAGCCAGGTGCAGTGGCGGGCGCCTGTAGTCCCAGCTACTCTGGAGGCTGAGGCAGGAGACTGGTGTGAGCCCAGGAGGCAGAGCTTGCAGTGAGCGGAGATCGTGCCACTGCACTCCAGCCTGGGAGACAGAGCAAGACTTCGTCTCAAAAAAAAAAGTTACTTATGCTTCGTAGCCTTCGAAAAAGACTACAGCAAACTGCTAAACTAGAAAATGTTACCAGTGTGGAATGATCCATTTGGTCTACAGTGCAGATTAAGTCCAATGTTTTCTTGTTGATTTTCTGTCTGGACGGTTTTCCCAATGCTGAAAGTGGGGCATTGAGGTCTTCTCTGATTACTATGCACTGCATGCCTGTATCAAAACGTCACATTCACCCCATAAATATGCACAACTCTTATGTATCCATAATATAAAAAATAAAATTTTTTATATATTATCACACCACCACCACTCCCCTCCACAGACACACATACACACGAGCCCTTTATATACTAAGCCTTGGTCAAATTTCCAACTATGATTGGACTCAGCAGACAAGATTATGGAATCTGATGATAAGTGAATGACCCTGCTCCAGTGAAAAGCTCCAGTGCCCTGGAGCTTGGAAAGGCAGGGAGAAGAAGTTAAGGTGGCCCAGAGAACAGAAACAACACCAGATATTCTGAACAGAGGGGATTTAACACAGTGACCTGATTACAGAACTAATGAAAGCATTGAGGAAACAAAAGAACAAGTCAATTAGCCCAGAAAATAGCAATAGGAAGCTTGCTGGTGTGTTGAAGGCCATGGCATTGTTTACTCTGTCCTTCTAACAGGACCTCATGCTTGTTGACAAAGAGGGTTCCTTTGAGGAATGTCCAGCAATGTCTCCTCACTGACAGACTCTCAGAGCAGCTGTGACCTTCGCACCACAATTCTCTGTCTTCTGGAACCTCTGTCTAAGTTAAGTAAGCACAGGAGATACAGCAGAATGAGGGGCCAATGTGAGAGAAATGTGATCGGTTCAGTGCAGAATGAGGTTTCCCAGAGGCAAAGCAAGAAACCCAAAGAGAACAGGCAACTGAAAAATAGATCACCTTTCAGATGAGAAGACATGAAACAGAACATGATCACATTAGCAACACTTTTTGTTGGGATAGCTACATCATCTAAATGTTAGCACAAATATCTCCTCATTTAATGCTCAAAAAAGCTGGAGGGCACTGGAAGGGAGCTGGCCAGCAAAGAGGGAGCAAAGGATGATGGAACCGCTCAGAAACACAGGAGGATGGTGCAGTTTCCCTGCAGTGAAGAAAGACAGCTTCCAGGAGGAAGCAGTGGTGAAATGCTACCAAGACATTAAGAAGAATGAGGCTAGGCTGGACACAGTGGCTCACACCTGTAAACCTAGCATTTTGGGAGCCCAAGATGGAAGGATCACTTGAGCCAGGAGTTTGAGACCAACCTGGGCAAAAAGGTGAGACCCCATCTCTTCAAAAAATAATTTTTAAAAATTAGCTGGGAATGGTGGTACATGCCTGTAGTCTGAGCTACTTAAGAGGCTGAGGGAGGATCCCTTGAGCCCAGGAGTCAGAGACTGCAGTGAGCTATGACTGCACCACTGCACCCCAGTGTGAGTGACAGAGCAAGACCCTGACTCTGGAAAAAGAACAGAAGAAGAATGAGGCTGTGGAAAGGTAGAAAAGGAAGCCACTGAAAACCCCAAAGAGTTCATTCAAGTGACCCGGGAGGACAGCAGCTCGATGACAGAGGCAGAAAGTCAGAAGACACGGAGGTAATGGATCTTAACGGATTTTGCCATGGAAACGGCAGAACATAAGATAGTATTTTATCTGTGTTTTTTCTTTTTGTTACTTGTTTTTTAGCGAAAGCTCCTTACTGCCTCACGTTATAATAACATTGACATTTTGAGGTTTTGAGGGTGAAACTCGAATTCTCTCTGTCTGTCCCTCTCTGTCCCTCCTACCAGCCTCAGAGGGAAGAGGCCCCAAGGACAGGAGGAGAATGTGTTGGATCCTGCCAGACATCATGCTTTTGTTCTTCTTTTGACTTTTTAGACTTTTTTATACAGAAGGAATTTGTCAGCAAGTTTAACCTTTTAATTGCCTAAGGGATTCAAGCCTTACTGTCGTAAGTCATCATCATGTGATTTATTTCACTGTTGAAGTTCTCAGCATTCCTATTAGTATCTCACATGCAGAGGCACAGATTCTGCTCTGAGCATCCACTGTAGAGAATCATTGCAGACATCACTACATCTCTGGTTAAAAAAAAAAAAGTTTAAACCAAAAAGAGGGCATTTAGGCTGGGCACAGTGGCTCCTGCCTGTAATCCCAGCACTTTGGGAGGCCGAGATGGGCGGATCATCTGAGGTCAGGAGTTCGAGACCAGCCTGGCCAACATGGTGAAACCCCGTCTCTACTAAATATTCAAAAATTAGCGGGCGTGGTGGTGGGCACCTGTAATCCCAGCTATTCAGGAGGCTGAGGCAGAAGAATTGCTTGAACCCAGGAGATGGAGGTTGCAGTGAACCAAGATCGTGCCATTGCACTCCAACCTTGGGGACAAGAGCAAGACTCTGTTTCAAAAAAAAAAAAAGGCATTTAAATGGACTGCAGTTTTCTTTTGCTTATTTTTAAAGTGGGCTGGGGGAAGACAGTCTTCAGATGGGCAGGACAGGAGGCATGAGGAGGCCTGGGTTGCTCTTGTTGGGGTCTTAGAATCCCTGCAGATTCAGAGGGCCTTGCCCAGCAGCTGAGGGGCACGCTTCCCAAGCACTACAGCCTGGGAGCTCAGTTTCACCTGGTCACCAGGTTCCAGGCCATGGTGCTGGGGCAGCTTCTTCTAACTTCAAATAGGTGGAGTTCCTGCCACAGCAACATTTTGTCACCAGAATCTGCTCCTCCTCCCCGAGGGATATTTTCCCATTGCTCTCGGTGGACAGCACTGCCCAAGGTACGTTTCCTGTTCCCACTGGGTTATTCAATCCAAACAGATCAATGAATTTGCCCTTGTTTGTTTTGCTTGAGAGACACAATTGCTGCTATAGGTAAGTCCCTTTAACATGACCTCAAGCATTAAAATATCTCACAAGCCACGTCAGAGGTTTACTAAGACATTTAGAACTGGCTTAATCTTCATTTTTACGCAATAGACCAGACAGGACTAAATCAGTCCTGGACTAAGACCTGTGGGAGACGAATCGTAGAGCACTTATTATGTTCTGGTATTATCTGGAATCCATGCAGTTTCATCAGCCCCACCAAGTCTTATTAGCCATGTTAGCCTGTATCACACCATACTCACTATTGTCCTAAAAGGGGGAAACCACAAACTAGAGATAGAAAAGGGTGAAGTTTGTGGTCCTGAATTCCAAATTATCCTCAGAGACTTCCCTCCCATGATTTCCTGTTTTTTTCTTTCTTTTTTTTATGGAGACAGGGTCTTGCTCTGTCACCCAGGCTAGAGTGCAGTGGCAATTGTAGCCCACTCACTGCAGCCTTGAATTGCTGGGCTCAACCTACCTCAACCTCCTGAGTAGCTGGGATAACAGATGCATGCCACCATGCCTGGCTAATATTTATTTATTTATTTATTTTGTAGAGAGGGGGTCTTGCCACGTTGTCCAGGATGCTCTTGAACTCTTGGGCTCCAGCGATCCTCCTGCCTCAGCCTCCCAGAGCACTGGGATTACAGCCGTGATTTTCTAGACCTGATGTTCTCTGAATCATTAAACTGTACTGTTACTTCAAGAATCAATTTCAAATGTTACCTCTTTGATGAAACTTTGACCCCTTGCACTAGGTCGGAGTAATGTCTTCCACCTTGGACTCCCAGTAGCTTTTCATCTGTCCTACTCAATAGGGATGAAGTATAAATATATATATATATATTTGGAGACAGGGTCTCACTCTGTTTCCCAGGCTGCCAGCAGAATGCTCTGCAGCCTCCAACTCCTGGGCTGAAGCAATCCTCCTGCCTCAGCCTCCCAAGAAGCTGGGACTACAGCTGTGTACCACCACCACCCCCAGCTAAGGTTTTAAATTTTTGTAGAGGTAGGTCTTGCTGTGTTGCAAAGGCTGGTCTCAAACTCCTGGCTTAACGTGATCCTCCTCCCTCGGCCTCCCAAAGTGCTGGGATTCTCAAAGGTGAGCCACCGTGCCTGATGCTCTATTTTCATATACTGCTTCCACGCTCAGATTCTAAACACTTTGAGGCTGGGGCTGTCTCCTCTGTATTTACTGTGGGTGCTGCACGTGGTAGCTACTCAGCAACTATGTGGATGACTCCAGGTTGACCACACTGCATTGGTCTGTGCCTGCAGTTCCTAGGCATGTGTGATTTTGGTCTTTTACCAGACCAGAACTTTTTAGAGGACAGGACTGTTGTCCTGCCTTCCTTGGAATATCCATAGTGCTTAAGACATACTGAATGCTATCCATGAAAAGATATCACCAGGCTGATTGATTAAGTGTTATAGCCATCTTCAGCCTCTGATCAATTTTGGTTGTCCTGAGAATGTCCTTGTTCATAGTAGAGCATGATTTGAGCAGACTCAACTCGTCTGTTCTTATTTTGGACCTCTGAAGGGTCTAGGATCAAACATACTCATCACAAAACCGGGTGGCCATGGTCTGACTCAGGGCCTGGAGGAACTTGTGAAGCTGCACATTCCTGTATCGGAAACCAGCATCCATCCAGAAGGTTGAACTGCAAATAGCCCAAGCCTATGCCTTTTGTACTTCAATCAGCATTTTAGAAAAAAATATAAATAGACTAACTCTAACAAGTTTTAGGGGGTGAGGGGATGGGAAGATGCAAATATCTGAAGTAAATAACTTTAGACTTTAACTATGGATACTGTGAAGTCAATTCCCTAATTACATATATAATAAATCATTTTCCCCTCAGCAAGAAAACTAATTAATGAGCAAAACACAAGCAGACTCTCACCAACCCTTAACAGATGCTTATGTAGAATTGTCAGGATACCAGAAAAGATCGTTTTCAAAAGAAGGAAGTTCCAATTCCTTCCATTTCCAGTCTTCCTGCTGTAGGTAACAGTTGCTGTACTTAAAGCCACAGCTGCCCTGAAGGAAGAGAATCAGTGCACGGGGCAGCTGAGAAGCCCAAGTACCAGTGAATAATTCAGGAGCAGTAAGCTGTCCCGTTGCTCTCCTGTACTTTCTCCACAGAAGTTTTTTTCTGGGGGGCAAAGGATCCCTGGGAGTGATTTCCTTCATTTCCACCACAGAAAAGACCAGGCAAGGAGGAAACGCCAAACCCAGAGACTGCAGCAGACCTCACAAAACAGAGGCCGTACTTTTAAGGATTTTCCCTCTCTTTTATTGACTAGCCAGCCTCCAGCCTCAAAAAAAAGAAGTCATATACCCGTCTTGAATTCATTTGTTTTCCTTTTTTTTTTTTGAGACAGTCTTACTTTTGTTGCCCAGGCTGGAGTGCAGTGGTGTGACCTCAGCTCACTGAAACCTCCTGGGTTCAAGCGATTCTCCTGCCTCAGCCTCCTGAGTAGCTGGGACTACAGGCGTGCACCACCACGCCCAGCTAATTTTTTTGTATTTTTAGTAGAGACGGGGTTTCTCCATGTTGGCCAGGCTGCTCTCGAACTCCTGACCTCAGGTGATCCGCCCACCTTGGCCTTCCAAAGTGCTGGGATTACAGACGTAAGCCACTGCATTTGTTTTATTTTTTGGGACAGAGTCTCACTCTGTTGCCCAGGCTGGAGTGCAGTGGCACAATCACGGCTCACTGCAGCCTCAACCTCCCAGGCTCAAGCCATCCTCCCATCTCAGCCTCCAAAATAGCTTGGACTACAGGTGCACACCACCACACCAGGCAAATTGTTTTAATTTTTATGTAGAGACAGGGTATCACTTTGTTGGCCAGGCTGGTCATGAACTCCTGGGCTCAAGCGATTCTCCAACTTTGGCCTCCCAAAGTGCTGGGATTACGGGTGTGAGTCACTACACCCAACCTCATTCTTTAATTTGGATAATAAATGCTTTTCACACCTGCCCAGGCTCTTAAATATTCACAAGAGACTTAAAGGGACTGAGTGACTGATTCCTCCCAGCCTCTAAACCACCCTGCCTGGGGCTTGTCTCAGGGATCTCTAAAAGCCGCCACCACCCCGGCCTCAGCACCCACCGTGCAGCTCAGCAACTCTACAGCAACTCCCAGCTCCTTGTGGCTCTCTCCTTTGCCCTCCTGCTGTTAATGAACTCTGCAGGGTCACACAGCTATTCATGCCTGTTATGACTTCTTGGCTCCTTAACTAGACTGTAGGCAGATATTATCTGAGGGGGTCTACTCATCAGCAGCTGTTTCTTCAGACTAGCTTCTAAGAAATTAGCCCCTTTTTCCAATGGGCAGGCTCTAGCCTCTCCTGGATAATTCACAGCAAATGGGATTCTGTGCAACTAACAAGAGAATGCAGGTGCATACAGGGTGTGCTAGATGGACAGGAATTGCAACCCCAGTACTGTAAAAAGAACTTGTGTCTCAGGGTAAGAAGTATGCGTTCAGATTCCTCTAAAAGTTCCCTGCCTAAGTCTTTGTTCTAGCCAACATTCCCAGGACATCTGTTAATACAAAAAAGAAATAGCCCTCCATCTACTTGTTAAAAAAAATCATTAAATAGCTAACATTGACTGCACACCCACCAGGGGCTCAGCAATGTTCTGAGTGCCTCATGGGTATCATCTTAGTTTGTTCTCAGTGGCCCTATCAACAGGCACAGCCGTCTGTTTCTATAATCACCTCTGTTTCACAGAAGAGGTAAGTGACCGTCCAGCCATGAAGCAGGTGCCCACACTCATGGATGCTGTGCCAGGAAGTCCGGCCTGCACAGTCCACTCCTCACCTCTGCACTGCACCAGGCCACCTTTCCTCCACCTGCGTCAGCACAAAAAGCTGTTTTCCTCATTCTAATGTACCTTCTGGTATAGTTATTCACCACAGGATTGATGAAACTTATCAAAATTTCCTGGGTGAAAGAGAGTAGAATTTTTTTCAGTCACCCCTTTTTACTGTAATAATTCCCAGTCGTGATGCCATACACCTCCAGGAGCACCTGGTCTTCTATACAAATAGCATCCTCTGGATTGGGCCAAGATTACAACCCAAGCTCCTGGCCCCCTTCTTTTCTCTTTCCTCTTTGAGGATCAGTATGTGTTATTCATTTGCCCATTGTAAAAGCACAAAAATGCTTGAGATCCTGTGTTCCCTAAGTGCTATGTGACTTAGAATTTTTCAGGTTGTAAGTAGCAGAAACGAACTCCAATGAGCCTCAGCACAAATAAAAAAAAAAAAAAAATCTTTTTTACTTATTCACCTAACAGGAAGGCATCCAGGGCGTACACCTGCTTCAGCTACAGTGTGATCCAGACACTCAAACGATGTCCTCAAGTTTTGATCCTTTAGTTTGCTCTGGTTTCTTGTGTATTGACCTCATTCTCTTAAGATGGTCATCAGATGTTTCAGGCTTAATACTAGCAATTATAGAAGACAGAGAGTACCATTTTTATATAGCTCCATAAATGGGACTGGGGAGGGCTCTGATGGACCAGACAAGGTTACTACCCACCCCTGAACTAGTCATGTGGCCTGAAGAGTATGAAATTCCAATTGGCCAAGCTAACGTGTTTTGGCCACCTGTGGGGAAGTCACTCCCACGTGAACCCATATGAAATGGGTCCTTCATAAAGAGAAAAGGAAGGGTGAACAGAAAAAAAACAACAAATTGTAAGAGAGATCCTGTCAACGCACATATCAACACACATTTAAAAGGCAATCCCAAATTGCAATATTCTCTGCATGCAATATTTATTCTTTGCAGAATCCAGTAGACCAGGCAAACTAAAAAGGTGTTTAAGCAGGCTTGTGGCCATGGATAAGTCAAATACTGTCTCTGAGCCTCAGTTTCAAGTGAGTGAACTGGCCTAAATAACCATTAAGAACCTTCCTTCCCTTAAAAAAATACATAATTTAAGTTGTGTTCTCAATTATTAAAATACCAACTCAAGAAATTATTATATTGTACTGGCAATCAAAACTATATTTTGTCCCAGCTGCTAGATCACAGAATTATGTATAATTTTTTAATGACTTTAATAATCTGAATCACAAGTTAACACAATAACTTGCCAAGCAAAATACTGCACTTGCTCACTGCAAAGATTTTATTGGTAGAAGATCAGACACACAGCAGCTGTATTTACAATCTGACTTTGAAATTTGGGAAACTTACATGTTTCCTGGAAAGCTATTTGGATTTTAGGGCATGACAATTTTGCTTTGTAGATCCATTCATCAAATGAAATCATCTTCTTTGGAATGTTATTTTCTTGGAAGAAAAATAATGACATGCACCACATTATGTTCAAAAAGTTTTCCATTTAGACCACATTTCCAATCTGTAGCTCTATGAATTCTAATAAGGTAGACAGACTCACATTGTAAGATAAAAGGCATTATGTACGCAACTGAAGTCAAACGCAAGAATGAGCCATGTGCAGTAAGGAGAATCACATCTTTGTTGATTTTGACCTAAATTGTTGAAATACTGTTTTTAAGAAATTAAGCAGTGAGTTGATTTTTTCCATAAATAGCCATTCACATGTGAAAATCTTTACCATAACCCAACCATGTTTGAAGAATAAATTATAAAGCTCTCATTTTGTCTCTTAAGTTTTCATTATATCATTTTAAAGACAACTTTCATCTTTGCTTAAAAGGCATGGATTCCAGATGTATGTTTGTTAAGTCCAGTAAGAAGACACAACAATATCTGAGTAAGACATAAAACTATCAGTCAGGCATCCAGATGATCTGTTTCTTCTATAAGCACTAATGACAATGTGTGGAAACTTCCAGAAGTTCAGGACCACATAGCTGGAGTATAAACTCAATCAAACTTGCTTTCTCCCCTTGGCCTATAAACCCCTTCAAGTCTCCAACTCCCTTCTTCTTCAACTCTCCTGTGGTTTTGTTTTTCATATCAGTTATAATTTTATCACATAACACTTAAATTTTGAATTTGACTCTGTATTTCCATTTTCTGAATATTATTTCATTTAATATTCTTAAATGACAAAGGTGGCCAGGCACAGTGGCTCACGCCTGTACTCCCAGCACTTTGGGAGGCCAAGGCAAGCAGATCACCTGAGGTCAGGAGTTCAACACCAGCCTGGCCAACATGGTGAAACCTCGTCTCTACTAAAAATACAAAAATCAACCAGGTGTGGTGGCACACACCTGTAATCCCAGCCACTTGGGAGGCTGAGGCATGAGAATTGCTTGAACCTGGGAGGCAGAGGTTGCAGTGAGCCGAGATTGCGCCACTGCACTCCAGCCTAGGCAACGGAGTAAGACTTTGTCTCGAAAAAAAAAGAAAGAAAGAAAGAAAGAAAGAAAGAAAGAAAGAAAGAAAGAAAGAAAGAAAGAAAGAAAGAAAGAAAGAAAGAAAGAAAGAAAGAAAGAAAGAAAGAAAGAAAGAAAAAAGAAAACAAAAAAAGAAAAAGAAAAAGGTTTGGGGACACATAATTTTTTAATCTTCTTGAAGGATTCAAACTGGTAGCATTCAGCTCTTGCACTCATTCTCAAACATGTTAATTAATATTTGGCTACTTTGTTCTGTGGTCAATAGAAAACATGCAACTTCCCATTGACCTACAGCTGAGATATGTTGGCATTTCAAATGACAGCTCAGAAGGAGTAGCCTTCTCTCAAACCTAGAAATTCAAACTTTTCTTAACTGATTGGGTCAAAAGAATGTCATAGAGGCATAGATCTTGCTTGGGCTGTGATGATGGCTGTTTTATCTGCTGCATTTAGGAAACACACTCACCATCATTCGCAGTATGGAGTCTGAGGTCTAAGGATGAGTAAAATGCTCCAAATAAGAACAGTGTAATTACATAAACTTGGTTGTGAGTTTTAAAACAGCAGTTGTTTTTAAAACATTCATTGATTTGTGTTACTTCAAGTCCAAATTCCTACAAAAGGGATATTATTCTCACCATGTTTCCAGCTCAATTTTCACCATATCTGAAGCCCTTAAGTAGCATACCCTCTTCGAACATGCCAGACAACTCTTTGTCTTATTAACCTCCGAAATTTGAGGCTGGCTCACACCTCTTCCTTCTACTCGTATTTAAAATACAGAATTAAGTAAAATTTTTAAAAATAAATAAATAAAATGGAATGAAATAAAATACATATCTGCAGATTCTTCGCCAATGCTGAAAGATAAGAGGTTTAGATTTTTTACAACTAATCCAAATCTAACTGTAAAATAAAATTGAGATGATTTTTGTTTTTGTGATTGTCATTAAACTTATCCATTCCAACTCCTAATCATTTAAATCCTGCCTCTACCTCTTTGCCATAATTGCCACTGCCCTAGTTCAGAACTGTTTCTTGCCTAGATTCCTGCATCAGTAGGTTAACTGGTCTATCTGTCAGTAGCCTCACTCATCTACAGTCTGTCCTCCCCAATTTCATCATTTGGAAAATCCCTTTAAAATCCTTCCAGAGGGGTCCTTCTCTATCAAATAAGTGTTAAGAGTTGGTCACACTCTACAATTTGCCTACCTATTTTCCATTTCCCTCCATCCCTACTAATAGACCTCTTAATTTGTGTAGGGTGGCAATGTGTCCAGTTGAAAATAATTTATTTCCCCAGACCACTGTGACCAGTTCTGGCCAATGAGATGTAAGTAGAAATCTTTGCATGGCACTTCTAGAAAGCTTTATTTTTCTGATCAAATGGGATAGTTAACATAGCACTTTTGCCCTTTTCCCTTCCTTCTAATTCCTACCTGGAATGCAGCAACAATGGCAGGATGCATGGCAGTGGCCTTAGTGCCTTCAGGAAGAAAAGCACCCACCAAAGTGTAGGAGCAGAGCAGTAGAAGAAGTGGGTCCCCATCATCATCTTTCGGATGTCACATTAACCCTGGCTACACTGAGCACTGCTGGCCTTCTCCCTTACAGGAGAAAAATAACCTTTATTTCATTTCACTGTAACTTAGATTTCTTTCCTAAGGGACAAACACAATCTAACTGATAAAGTGGGTCAGAATAAAAGCTTCATGAAATTTCTTCCAGGTCAAATGTTCCATGGTTCCAGAATTCAATGCAAATTCATGTCATCAATGGTGTTTAATCAAAGAAAACTTATGTCAGATTATCTTACTTCTAAAACTATAATGTCCATTTCTTCACCATGGGGTAACATCTAGAGGCTGTTTCCCTAAGTACAGCTCATGAATACCTCCACTTTATATAGAATAATCAATGCAACAGAAATATAAAGAACATTTATTCCATTCAAAGCTTTATTCTGTGCATTGTAGAATAATAAAGGAAGTAAAACATAGAGCCCTTACACTTAAGAAACTCACGATCTAGTCGAAAAGATAAGAAATAAGGATTTAAAAAACTGTAATGAAAAAGATCAGGATAAGAATACAAAAGATATCATCAAACATAACACAGATTGACTTTTTAAAAAACTATACAGACAGTAAGAATTTGAAAGAAATTTAAATCAAGAAGTGTCCCTTCAGCTGAATGTTGAAAGAAATAATAGGCATTAGAAGTTATTTTTTAAATCTACTGGACATGGTAGTGTGGTGAATTCATACTTTGAAGTACCCTCTCTCTTTCAAACACATGGCAATGATAAATAAAATATAGGCCAGGTGCAGTGGCTCACGCCTATAATCCTAGCACTTTGGGAGGCCAAGGCAGGAGGATTGCTTGAGCCCAGGAGTTTAAGACCAGTCTGGGCAACATAGTGAGACCCACCTCTACAAAAAAATTAAGAAAGACCCAAATAGCCAGGTATGGTGACATGCACCTGTAGTCCCAGCTACTTGGGAAGTTGAGGAGGGAGGATTGCTTAAACCTAGGAGTTGGAGACTGCAGTGAGCTATGATTGTACCACTGTATTCTGGCCTGTGTGACAGAGCTAGACCCTTTCTCAAAAAGTAAATAAATAAAATAAAATATAGAAATTAAAACAAAAAAAAATAGTTTCAAAAACAAAAGACAGATACCCACAGAAGAAGGAAATGAAACAGCAAGTTGAGGGAAAACACAAGCCTGCTGGAGGTGGTAGCCAGAGTTTGGTTCCTGTGAGTCAGAAGAAGCCAGACATTCTCTAAGTCACATGGCCAAGCAGGGATAGGCTTGAAATCAGAAGCTGGGATGGTGCTTTGTGCTGGAATTTAAGGGAACAGTACCAAATGCCCCCTTTAAAACAGATTTGAACAAGCTACAAAAGTAGACAAGCTCAGACACAATTTCATGTCCAAAACTTAAGTAAGCTGTCTGCTGGCCTAGGGACAAAATCTGTACTCCCCTTACTATGACTTGGGATAGGAACCCCCAAAATAACATCATAAAACCTGGTCTGGACTGGGGCCCAGAAATCTCAGGAGAGAAAACTAAAAAACCCATAGACAAAGTGAAGTAAGAACAGAGAGAAATTTAAAAAAAAAAATGTAAAACTTATCATTTAAAATGAACCTGAAAATCTAAATTTGAAAAACTATGGGGGAAAAAATCTAATACAAATAGTATAGTCATAAAATTTTTACATGGAGGTACTATAAATGTTTGCATTTCCCAAAAATTCATATGTTAAAATCCTAACCGCTAATGTGATGGTATTTGAAGATGAGGTCTTTGGGAGATGATTAGGTCATGAAGGCAGAACCCTCATGAATGGAAATGGCGCCCTTATAAGACCTCAGAGATCTCCCACCCCTTCTACCATGTAAGGTTATAGCAAGAAAACACTCTCTCTAGAGAGTCAGAAGCAGGCCTCACTGGACACTGTATCTGCTGGTGCCTTGGTCTTGGACTTCCTAGCCTCCAGAACTGTGGGAAATAAATGTTTATCATTTATCAGCTGCCAGGTAATGGTGTTCTGTTATAGCAGCCCAGACAAACTAACAGAAATTGGTACCAGGAAGTGGTACCTAAAAATATTCCAGTGGCTTTGAAACTGGGCAATGGATAGAGGCAGAGAGAGTTTGGGTGTTCATGCTAGAAAAAGCCTGCCTCACCACAGGTGATTGTGATGAGGACTCAGGAAGAAAATAAGACAGCTGTAGAAAAAGCCTCAATCTTCTCAGAGAATACCTGAGTAATCCTGAACAGAATGTTGATAGAAATATGGACACTTAAGGGCCATTCTGATGAGGCCTGGCAAGGAAGTGGGAGGAAAGATCTTTGTTATAAAGTGGCAAAAAAGGTGGCTAAATTGGTTCTTGTCCTAGTGTTTTGTGAAAGTTAGAACATGGGAGTGATGAGATTGGAGATTTGGCTTAGGAAAGTCTAGGCAAAATGTTGAAGGAACAGCCTGGTTCCTCCTGACTGCTTCTAGTAAGATGAGAAAAGAGAGAAATGGTGTAAAGGGGAATTGTTAATCAAAATAAAAAAAGAACTTAGAGGTGTGGGAAATTCTCAGCCTGCTCATATTGCAAAAAATGAGAAAATGTGTTCAGAAGAAACACTAAGGGTGTGACCACATGACCATTTGATAAGATCAGTCAGCAGCCTCAACCAGGTACTATTGTTCAAGACAATGGATGAATGCAAAGGAGGGGACTCCATTGCCTGTGGGACATTGGTGCACACTGCCCAGCACACCTAACATCACAGACTCCATTCCCCATGTTCCAGCACCCAGTTCTTCAGCCACCTCAATTGTGGCTCTGGTAGACCCAGGTGTGGCACAGGCCATGATGGTCATCCCTCTGGAGGACACAGTCAGCAAACTCTGGTAGCAAACAAAGAATGCTCAAGCCCAGGGGGCATGGATGCCTGCACCTAGATTTCAGAGGACAGGAGAACTATCCCTTGGAGTCATGGTGGTGGAGTCCAGGCAGGGTGTCACCATTAGGAAAGAGCCTCCCAAATCCAGGGGGCAGACCAACCAGGAGCACTGGGGGCTCAACTTCTTCCTAAGAAAGCTGTAGGGGCAGGATCATAGCCCCAGTGTGTCCAGAAGACAGGATCTGGAAGGTGGGACGTCCACCCCATTGAGCCTGAAAGGCAGACTATCAGGCCTAAGAAGATCAGTCTCAAGGCTTCAGGCCTAATGCAATTTGTCCTGGTAGGTTTTGGCTTAGAACCTATCACTTCTCTTTTCTCTCCATTTTGGAAGGAGAATGTCTGCCCTCTGCCTGCCCCACCATCATGTTTTGGAATCAGGTAACTTGTTTGATTCCACAGGCTTATGACTAGGGGGAAATTTGCCTCAGGATGAATTGAAGCCTGAGTCGCACCCATATCTGATTTAGATAATATTCAGATGAGATGTTGAACTTTGAACTTTTGAGTTGATGCTGGAACAAGTTGAGATTGGGGCGGGGAGGGGGGCACTGTTGGGCTGGAATAAATGTATTTTGCATGTGAGGACATGAATTTTGAGGGGCAGGAAGAAAATGCCATGGACTGAATGCTCGTGTGCCCCTAAAATTCGTGTGTTGAAACCTAACTTCCAATGTAATGATATTAGGAGATGGGGCCTTTGGGAAGTGATTAGGTCATGAGAGTGGAACCCTCATGAATGAGATTAGTGTCCGTATAAAAGAAGCCCCAGATAATTTCCTTCTGCCTCCTGCCATGTGAGGACATAGCAAGAAGCCAACCATCTATGAACCAGGAGGCCAATTCTCACCAGACACAGAATCCCCTGGCACCTTGATGTTGGACTTCTCAGCCTCCAGAGCTGTGAGAAATAAATATCTGTTGTTTATAAGCCACTTTGTCTATGGTATATTTGTTACAGCAGCCTGAATGGTCTAAGACAAGGAGGCAAATATATTCCAGGTAAAAACAAAGTGATGAAACTATATAATATAGACTTTAATGTAAGTATGTTTAGATGCTGAAAGAGAGAAATGGAATAACTTCTATTAAAAGAAAGCAAGAAATTATTGGTGGTGAGAGACATAGACAAAAGAAAAACAAAAACCAAAATAAGTTATAAAGAATCATCCAAATATCTTGAAATGACAAATATAATCTACCAAATTTTAGAAAGAAACTCAACTGGATAAATGTTAAAATGAAAACAGAAACTAAATGAGAGAATAGAGAACACTGCTGAGGAAGTCACCTAAAGTACAATACAAAGAAACAGAGTTTTTAAAAAAAAGATGAAAAATTAGTTTAAGATTTGAGAGTGGTTTTCAAGTGACATCCTCAGCCAGGGGCTGTTGGCATTTGGGGAAGAATAATTCTTTGTTGTGTTTTGGGAATGAGGCACTGTCCTATGTTTTGTAGAATGTTTAACGGCATCCCTGGCCTCAGCACACTAGAAACCAGTAGCATCCTCAAGTTGTCAGAACCAATCATGTTTCTGAACTTTGCCAAATATCCCTTGGAGGGCAAAATTGCTTCCTGCTGAGAACTGTGATTCTAATATATGTCTAAAGTGAGTTATGGCCAAATGCTGTGGCTCATGCCTGTAATCCCAGCATTTTGGGAGGCTGAGGCAGGAAGATTGCTTGAGGCCAGGAGTTCAAGACAAGCCTAGGCAACACAAGAAGACCCCAGCTCTACGAAAGTGATAATAAATAAATAGAGTTACAGAAAAGACAATGGAAGGAATGGACATATTAAAAGAGATAACTGGAAACTTTTCAGAAATGAATGCTCAAATCAAAAACGCATTTTAACTACTCAACAGGATAAAGTCAAGAAAACTTACACATAGACATATTACAGTAAACACTAATGCTAAAGAAAAAATCCAAGAATCCACTAGAGAGAAAAGACAAATCATCTATAGAGGAAAAATGATTAGACTGACATCAACAACAGATTCAAAAGACAATTATGTAAATGAGAGGAGGAAAAGCAACTCTCAATCGAGAACTTTATACCAAACAATCCCTCAAAGGTGAGAATAAAATGCAGATATTTCCAGACATTCGAAAACCAAAAGTACTGATTTTCTGAGATCTCAACTCAATGAACTCTTAAAGGATATAAGAAATTATTTTGAGCACAGTAAATGATCAAATGTTGGTTAACTTAATTTTTATTGTTTTTTAACATTTATCCAGTTGAGTTTCTTAATTAAAAAGTGATTTAGTTCTTTTTGTATTAAAAGAACACATCAAGACAAAACTCTAGATGGCAATGAAAAAAGGAGAAATAGAAAGTGGTGTTAACGGAACAGAATGTCAAGATTCATGTCATGTTTAGGAAGCAGAAAAACTAAACAACTTTAAGCCTTGTCAAAAAAAATATGATTTAGGATGTATTTTTTAATTAGATAAAAAAAATAGCAATACAATCTATAGCTTCTAAATCAGCAGACATAACATAAACAATGATTTTTTAGCAATTTTCATTTTGTGCTAGGACCTGCAAATCTTATAGCCAAACCGGGTGAGCAGAGAGGGCTAGTGGCTCGCTAACCTAAGGATGCAGTCATGGCGAAGGCACATAATTAACCAGTGGTCTATTCAGGGATTTGATGAGGAGCCCCAGAGAGGGGCTCATAAGATCTCCTGCATATTCCAAGTAGTCCCAAGCCTTGCGCGTGAGCAACACAGACCAGGGGAGGTCCAACCCACCCATATATTCCTAGATGATGGAGCCCTGCACATGCTCAGAGGAGATACAAGAGGCCTGGCATAGAATAAGGCCTGGAGTGGACTCGAAAGTGGACCAAGACTGAACGTGCTCCCTGACTCACATGTAGATCCAGCAGCACAAAGTAGAGAAGCCTTACTGACCTAAGGCATTTGAGCTCAGCCTCTGACTAATCTTTGACTGAATACCAAGACAGGCAGACACGGAAACAAACCCTAGGAAACAAGGCTTAAAAATAAAAAGAAGTTAACTGAACAGAGACATCAACATGTACACATTGTGGGGAGACAAACTTCTCAGATTTAATCCAGGCAAGTAATTAAACAACAGACAAACCTCGGGGAGAAAAGTCAGAATCTGTGGTTAAAACAATATATTATCTAAATATCCAGAATTCAACAACAACAAAACTTAGTAGACATAGAAAGAAACGAGAAAGTGTTTCTCAAGAAAAAAGAAAAAGCAGTTAACAGAAACTGTCTGAGTGTTTCCAGATGTTGGATTTAGTAGTCAAAGACTTCGCAGCAGCTATTATAAATATATCTTAAAAATTAGAGAACACCATATTTAAAGGTTCAAAGAAACTGTGACAATAATGACTCAACACATAATCTGAATACAGAAAAAATTGTTTTTAAAAAGAACCAAATGAAAATTCTGAAATTAAAAGTACAATAACTGGTATGAAATATTAATTAGGAGAATATTTGGCAGACAAAATGCAGAAAAAAGAATCAGCAAATGTAAATATAGATCAATAAAAGTTATCCAATCTGATGAACAGAGAAAAAACATTGAAAAAAAAAAAGCTATCAAAGCATTAGAGACCTGTGGAACAACATCAAGGGTACCAATACACTTGTAATGGTATTCCCAGAAGAAAAGGAAAAAGAAGCAGAAAATAGTTGAAGAAATAATGGCCTAAAATTTTCTAAACTTGATAAAAAGAGAAGATAACCTACAGATCCAAGAAGCTCAAGAAACCCCAGCAGACTAAGCACAAAGAAATCACATCACAGTCAAACTTTTGACAGTTCTTCCCAAATTGATCTATAGAGTAAATGTAATTTCTATTAAAAATCTAATCATCTTGTCTTTAGAAAATCAACAAGTTAATCCTAAAATGTGGATGAGGATGCAAAGGATCTACAGAATCGACATAATTTTGAAAAAGAAGAACAAGTTTGAAGACATACACTACCCAATTTTCAAACTTACTATCAAGCTACAATCATTAATGATTTGATGTTTGTGTAAAATAGGCAGGGATCAATAGAACACAACAGAGAATTCAGAAATAAACATTTATATTTACATTCAGTTGATTCTTGACAAATTGCCAAGATAATTCAGTGGAGAAAGGACAGTTCTTTCAACAGACAGTGCTGAGACCACTGGATGTCTATAGGCAAAAAAAAATAGAAAAAAGAAAATAACTTAGACTCTTACCTCACAACATACACAAAATAACTCAAATAGGATCCCAGAATCCTCAATTAAGAGTTCAAAGTATAAAAATTTCTGAAAGAAAATATAGGGGAATATCTTTATGATCTGGGATCAGGCAAAGAGTTTTTAGATACAACACTGAAAGCACAAGTCATTTTTTAAAATTATTAAATTGGGCTTCATTAAAGTTAAAAATGTTTTGCTTCTAAAGACACAATTAAGTAATTGGAAAGACAAGCAACAAACTATGGGTATTGCCAAATCATGTAGAATATATAAAGAACTCTTTCAACTCAAAATAAAAAGACAAAACACTCAATTTTTTAAATGGCCAAAACGGACATTTTACCAAAGAAGATACATAAATGACTAATAAGCACATGAAAAGAAGCTCAACAACATTAAACATTAGGGAAATGCACCTTAAAACCACAATGAGAATATCACTATACATCTACTAGAATGACAATATTCAAAAAGACAGACAATGCCAAGTGTTGGTAAGAATATGGAGAAATTGAAACCCTCATTCATTGCTGATGAGAATGTAAAATAGCATAGACATTTTGGAAAACTGCTGGGCAGTTTCTTAAAAAGTGAAATAGAAAATTACCATACAACTCAGCAATTCTACTCTTAGAAACATACCCAAAAGAAATGGAAATATATTATCACACAAAGACTTGTATAATGTTCATAGCAGCATTAGTCATAATAGCTAAAGACTGGAAACAACGGTGAATAGATATACAAAATATTGTATATCTATACAACAGAATATTAGTCAGCAGTAAAAAAGAACAAGATACCAATACATGGTATAATATGGATGAACCTCAAAAACATTTTGCAAAATGAAACATGCGAGACCCCCAAAATTACATATTGTATTATTCCATTTATAGCCAATGTCCAGAAAAGGCAAATTTATTAAACACGGAAGGTAGATCAGTGGTTGCTTAGGGCTTGTGGGAGGAAGAATGGGAGCAAAGACTGAAAACAGGCTCAAGAGAAATTTTGGGAATAATGGAAAAGTTCCAGAGCTAAATTGTACTGACAATTGCACAACTCTATAAATCTGCTAATGCTCATTTAATTATATACTTAACTATCATGAACTTTATGTTATGTAAATTACAACTCAATAATACAATAAAAATTTTGTATGAATAAACAGAACCGAAAAAAAAGACCACAGACAAATCTGGAGAACATTGAAGGAAATAATAAAGATCCATATAGAAATCAATTAAAAAGACAACAAAAAATCAATGAAAAGAAACAACACAAGCAAAAGTAGGTTCTTAGGGGAAAAAATTCAAAATGAATAAACTATTGGCAAAACTGATCAGGCAAAAGAGAAATTAAACAACACTAGGAATAACAAAATGCATGCAGACCAAGGAAGAGTATGAGCAAAATTATACCAGAGTGTTCATTGTACAGCAAGGAAATCCATTTGACTCCTCTAGGAAGAACAGTGAGAAATAATGCTATGAACATCAGTAAGAAATTTATACTCGAAGCGTATCAAATTAAAGTCAATACGGGCCGGGCACAGTAGCTCACTCCTGTAATCCCAGTACTTTGGGAGGCCGAGGTGAGCGGATCACCTGAGGTCAGGAGTTCAAAGCCAGCCTGGCCTATCTCTACTAAAAAGTACATACAAAAATTAGCCGGACGTGGTGGCGCATGATTCTCCATGATAATCCCAGCTACTTGGAGGCTGAAGCAGGAGAATCACTTGAACCCAGGAGGTGGAGGTTGCAGTGAGCCAAGATCATGCTACTGCACCCCAGTCTGGGTCACAGAGCAAGACTCCTTCTCAAAAATATAAATAAATAAATAAAAAGTCACTAGAAAAAAATACAAAAGCTAAAATATATTTTAAAATATAGTAAATATAATGTCTTCAGTCTACGTATATCCCACCCATAAAATACTTTCTGTAAGCAGACCAGGCTCAATCATTAAATCCTAGGAAATTTCATGAGGTATTTGCCACCAACGAGTTCTGTGAATGGAAAGCGATGCTCAATCAGAACAACAATATGAAGCAGTATATGGAAATTACATCCAAATTCAGGGCCCATCATGAAGTGTGACTATAGAAACTCCACACTGCATATCCAACTGGATCAAGGTTTTCCAAACAAGCCATTGCTTTTGAAAGAAAACCAATTCTAGTTTGTTATGCTCACTGGATGTTAACATTCATCTATCAAAACCACCAAGTACAAGAAGAATGTCATATCAGCACTTCATTCATTATCAGCACTTCATTCATTACCATTACTCAGCAACAAGCTGAGCCACCTAAACTGGAAATCCACTCACCCCTGAGAAGCAGGATCACCTTTCAACAGCTCCACAGCTCAGTCACATCCATGTTCACTTGTCTGGTGTAGAGGTTACGGCTTCAAATTGCATGGCACAGACAGCATATCCAAAACCTTTACAGACAGGGTAAATTTTCATCATTAGTAGCTAAATGGTTCCATTTCTACAATTCAGCTAATATTTGTTGAGGGAGTCCTCTGTACAATGCACTTTGGCCTCTGTATTGGGGAACGAATGACCCACGATTGAGACACAGTTCTACTCTTTTAGGTTGCAGGGTACAACAAAATCTGGTACATAAATAAATGCTCAGATGCCAGGTAAATGGTGAGATGTCCGGCAGCTAACAAAGTTGGGTTGTGTTGAGGTGACCTGAGAAGGTTCCTGGGGAGGAGGGGAGAATTGCAATTCAAGAAATGGATCGGACAGGTGACAAAACAGAAATGATGGTATTCAAAGAATAGAAGACCATTTGAACAGACGTTCAGAGGAAAGGAAGCGGGATTAGTAGATTAGGCTCAGGATTCAGAGGTGAAGAGGGAATTAAGGGGAAGGCGTGGAATATGAGAGATCTAGACACCAAGCTCAGATGGACATTGGTCTCTAAGGAATGAAGAATCACTCAAAGGTTTCCAAGAGGAGTAGGGGAGCAGTGCGATCAGATGGCATTTTTGGCAGATCTCTCTGCTGGCTTGGTGAGTGGGAAGGATGGGCGGAGAGGCGGGGGCTTCAGCAGGAACCCAGGCAGGAGGGAACACAAGCCAGGGCTAGGACAGTGAAGACAGACACAGAGTGTTACCGGGACACACTTCAGCAGCAGGAACTCCTCTCCCGAGGCCCATCTCAGTCACTGTTTTCCAAAAAGTGATTCCCAAACAGTAATTTTGTCTGTTTATATCAAAATCACAACTTTGTAAGGTCTTTATTTCTTTCTGGACATACATAAAGTAACACCATCAAATTTTCTCTCTCTTGTGCAGAGAATTCTCTCAACCCAGATGTGCATATCATCCCAAAGTTAGGAGGCATCACTTGCTTTGAACAAACCCCACACTGAACAAATGAATACAGATATTTTACATGAAAGTCTTCAACAACACAATTCAAGTGCAAGACTAGAAACCCATTCTCCAAAGTTCAAAAATTGAGTTTGAACATAAGCTCCTAGGTTTCTAAAGGTAGAAAGCGGCAGGCATAAAATCTCAAAGCTCACATTTCTGATAAATTCCAAAAGCTAATGAGTGTTGAGTCCCTTACCTCTGTTTCCTCGGGTCAGTTTTCTAGAATCCTAGCATGCAGAAAGTGCTTGGGGAGCTCCCAACTTTGTCATAAATGTGCTCATGGCGGGAACAGTAATGCAATATAATTATAATTCAGACTTACTGGTGTGCAAAATTTATTTAAAGATTTTTATCAAAGAGCCTCACAGCTCATTGAATATCTTTGGAGCACTTCTCAATATTAGATATTTTACAATTCTTTCTGTAGATCACTCTTACAGTGAAAGACCTGGTGGAAAGAGGTCTGTTACTGCATTCCCATTTCATAAATAAGAACAGGTCTCATATCATATAATAAGGCAGATAGCAGCACTCTGCTGGAAGATTTGAGAGTAATCATCACCCTTAAACAAACACAAACTTTATATCTCTATATCATTATGGAATGAACTGTGTCCCCGCAAAATTCACATGTTGAAGTCCTAACCCCGGTACCTCAAAATGTGGCTGTATTTGGAGACAGAGCTTTTAAAGAGGCAATTATGTTAAAATGAGATGATTAGGGTGGGCTCTATTCCAATATGACTGGTTTCTTAGAGGAAGAAATTTGGGGCAGGGCATGGTGGCTCATGCCTGTAATCACAAAGCTTTGTGAGGCTGAGGCAGGAGGATCATTTGAACCCAGGAGTTCGAGGCTGCGGTGAGCCACAATTGCTACACTGGACTCCAGCCTAGGCAACAGCATGAGACCCTATCTCTAAAAAAAAAGAAGAAGAAGAAGAAGAAATTTAAACACAAACAAGTGGAGACACACGGAGAACACAGCCATTTGGAAGCCAAAGGGGGAGGACTTAGAAGAAACCAACCCTGCAGATACCTTGATTTCAGATTTCCAGCCTCCAGGACTGTGAGAAAATAAATTTCTGTTGTTTGAGGCATCCAGTCTGTGGGATTTTGCTATAGCAGTCCTAGTAATTTTTTTTTTTTTTTTTTTTTTGAGATGGGGTTTCGCTCTGTGGCCCGGGCTGGAGTGCCCTGGCGCTATCTCGGCTCACTGCAAGCTCCGCCTCCCAGGTTCACGCCATTCTCATGCCTCAGCCTCCCGAGTAGCTGGGACCACAGGCGCCCGCCACCACGCCCGGCCAATTTTTTATGTATCTATAGTAGAGACGGGGTTTCACCGTGTTAGCCAGGATGGTCTCAATTTCCTGACCTCGTGATCCGCCCGCCTTGGCCTCCCAAAGTGCTGGGATTACAGGCGTGAGCCACGGCGCCTGGCCGCAAACTTTTATAATATGCGCAATATATATAAAATAAATTATTAAAATTATAATATATAATTATATATTGTATATAATATATAACAATTATATATACAATTGTATATATTACATATAATATATTAATATACATATACTACATATATTATAATACATAATTATATATAATATATAATTGTACATTGTAATTATATATAATTGTATATTGCTTTTTAAATTATATATTAGCAAACTATGTATATATTTTGTATTAGCAAAGTCATATATAATACTCACATATACATAACTGATTATATTATATATAACTAATCATATTATATATTATACATAATTATATATATTATATATTATATATACACATATATAATATATATTATATATAATTGTGTGTGTGTGTGTTTATATATATATAATTTTATTGTGTATTTCAATAGACCATACAGATACAGTTTGGCAAAATGAAAACAAAGAGCAAGAATAAGTGGTTTAATTTTTTGCCTGCTCTATTGTGGAAGGGCTTGGAATCGGAAGACCTTGGTCTGTCACCAGCCAGACATAAAATCCTAGGAAAATCACTTAATCTAAGTTTCCATTTTCTTATAGGTTGACTAAGGCACTGTGAAACTAGATAAATATTTTTCAAACTGTGTGGAGCAGAATTCCAGGGTTTCTGGAAGGTGCCCCAGGAACTGCCTGAAACAGCAAGAGGAGTTGCACCTCTCCCTCTTTCTTCTTTAGGGCTTTGCGTTAAAACATACGAATTTATCTTTAATGAGAGAGCTTGAGAAAGAAAGACATTGCTAGCTGACCTTGAAGGCTACTCTGGTCCTAATGTTCTGTATACTTCTATCAGGGAGCAGACGCATCTCTACTTGTTAGTTCTGTGTTTGTGTAATATCCAAGTAATCATAACAAAAGTGCAAGTTAGCCAACTGACTAGGCTTAGAAATATTTATCATACTGTTACCCAGGGTTTCTCAACCTCATCACCGTTGAAATTCTGGTCTAGTTAACTTTTTGGTGTGGGAATTATCTTACGTGTTATAGAACATTTAGTAGCAACCTGCCTCTACCTACTACATCCCAGTAACACTATCACCAGCATCCAAGTTGTGACACCTGAGCACATCTCCCCAATTACTCTTGCCATGTTTCCCTGCCTCCAATCCCATCCTTCAACCCATTCCCCATGTCAGAAATGTGTCTTCCACAAGGTGACTGAACCTCTCTGCTGCATGAAATCTTTTCGTAACTCTTGATCCCATTTAGGGGAAGTATTACTTTTATTGCATATAAACCCTATTGGGATCTGGTCCTGGCCACATTTCTAACCTCAAATTTCACCACCCCTCAACACAGACCTTCCTGTACTAAAACCCTTCATATAAAATCCTGGAAGTTCTCTGGAATGCATCATATTCTCTCAAGCCTCTCTGTTCCTTCCCCATGTTATTTCCTTTGCCTAGAAGCTCTTTCTTCTGCTAATGCCCATTTATCCTTCAAGACTGAGTTAAAACATTATCTTCTCCAACAAATTTCTTTTTTTCTTCTTCTTCTTTTTTTTTTTTTTTTTTTTTTGAAATGGAGTCTGGCTGTGTCTCCCAGGCTGGAGTGCAGTGGTGTGACCTCTACTCACTGCAACCTCTTCCTCCTGGGTTCAAACAATTCTCCTGCCTCAGCCTCCCGAGTAGCTGGGATTACAGGCACCCACCAACACACCCAGCTCATTTTTGTATTTTTAGTAGAGATAGGGTTTCGCATGTTGGCCAGGCTTGTCTCGAACTCCTGACCTCACGTGATCCACCCGCCTTGGCCTCCCAAACTGCTGGGATTACAGGCGTGAGCCACCGCGTCCGGCCTCTCCCACAAATTTCGTACTGCCCCATCAAGGCTGAATCAGCTGCTCCATCTTCACTACTCACTTACGGTGCTTTCCTCGGCTGCAGCTCTCATCGCAAAGCATTTTAATGACTTGTTTACCTGTCTGTGAGTGTCCTTGGTGCAAAGGCTGTGTCCTGTACGTCCTCAATAAACACGTATTGAATGAATGAATGGTCCCATCCTCCACTGCTCAATTTTACTCTTCAGGAAATGCATTAGTATACTGCAAAAAGAATCAGGTAGAACTTAAAACACAGAATTAGGCTTATATTCGGCTCAAGAAAAGCATCCATGGCAAAGCCAGAATCAAAGGCATTTATTTAATTCCCATACACTGAAGAGAAAAAAATGCCTTTAAAAATAAGTCTTGTGAGCACTTTAATTTTCTGCCCAAGGGAGAAAATATACTCATGAACTGGGATAGCACAGAATAAAGAAAGTGTTCATCTCTAGAATCACAGTAACATCTGCATCATGTTAAAACTTGTATCACGGATTTATAGGGATGGGCTAAACTAAACTGTTGCCACTGAGATTAATGGACCATTTTCTCTAACAATGTGCTCTCAGTACTACTAAAGCCCAAGCAATAAAACCGCATGGTTGGAGCTCCACAAGGAAATTCCTACTGCAGATGGGCAGAACTGTAATCAAGTTCTGAACTGAAATAAACTTCATCATAATGTTCTGTACAATTTCTAAACAGTAGAAGGGTCATTTTGTGATTAATAATAATAGACACTGTATTTTTTACCCTGGGAATGCTCCAAATAGCTATTAATGAACCCAAAGCATTTTCCATTATTATTGAATTGACTGATGTGGGTCACAAAGCAATAGATCAATGCTGAATTAATTCTGAAAGCCAACTTTTTACTGGGGATTAAGGGAAACTGCGCAATCACTGTGCACCTTATGTCATTTTCTTAAAGAAAGACAACAAAAGCAATGGGGTTTCCTACTATTCAAGTTCACCAGCAAAATCAGACCTATTAGGGTCAGTTTGGTGTGCACTGGAATTCTCATAGGCAAATAGCTGCTTCTAGGATATGCTCATGATCAGAAGACACAGTAACATTTAACATTAGCAGTCAAGTGAGTTGCAAAATAAACTATTTCAGTTTAAGCAGCTACTTCAAATGACAATGAAATAACCCACAATGCACAATGGACATGCAATCAATTGGGAGGTGGTAAATAACAAACATGTTACTTTTTTTACATGAAACATACAAGTATCAAATATTCCTGGTAAATAATTTGAAAACTGACAAAAGCCTCTGACTCATTTCAGCTCCATTTCCAGTATGTATTTTCTTATAATTGCAAATAGAAAAATCTCAATAATAAACTGTGTTTATCATCATTGCTATAAAGGAATATCTGAGACTGGGTAATTCATAAAGAGGTTTATTTGGCCCGTGGTTCTGCCGACTGTACAAGAAGCATGCTGCTGGCACCTGCCTCTGGTGAGGCCTCAGGAAGCTTCCACTCATGGTGGAAGGTGAAGGGGGGACAGGCACATCATATGGTTAAAGGGAACAGGAGAGAGACACAATTGTTCAGAGAAAGAAAAGAAGAAAGAGCAACTGCCCTGTAACTCTTCCTTAAGGGAAAGAAAGCCTTTCCCAGAGATCTCCCAGTGGACTTACTTCTAAGTGTCATTTTCCACATTGGTTCAAGACCTTCATTAAACCAGGCCTTAGAAAAATTAATCAGATTAGCTCAGATTTCTTTTCTGAGGCTACACTGAGTGGTGAGGGGTCAGCCTCAATGACAACAGCAGACAAAACGTGGCTTCCCCCTTCCAGCATCTCAATGAAGAGAGCTTGAACCCCTAGGACAGGACAGATCCACAGACGGAAGGAACTGGGTCCCTAAATCACCACGTGGTGCAAATGTCCCTGCTGGCAACAAACATCTACATTGGATCATTTTGTGAGCGAGAAACTTCTAGGGTATTAAGCTACTGAATCAACCGTAGTTATTTGTTGCAGCACCTAAGGCTAGGGTGTTTATAAGGGTTTCATTTTTTGTTTGTTTTTTTTAGAGACAGCATCTCATTCTGTTTTCCAGGCTGGAGCGCAGTGGCACGGTCATAGCTCACTGCAGCCTCAAACTCCTGAGCTCAAGTAATTCTTCTGCCTCAGCCTCCTAAGTAGCTAGGACTAAAGGTGCGCACCATCACACCCACCTAATTTTTAAATTTTATTTTTAGATACAGGGTTTCACTATGTTGTCCAGGTTGTACTCAAACTCGTGGACTCAAGCGATCCTCCCACCTTGGCCTCCCAAATTGCTGGGATTGCAGGGATGAGCCACCACATCCAGCCTTTATGAGGATTTTTGAAACAATGCAAATTTATTGAGAATAACTGGATTCATATTCAGGAATCCAGGTAACATAAAATGCACTGTATGTCAGTTATAGTCATTGTATCCCAAAGAATTCATACTGGGTGTTGACATGTGTCTCCAGTTCTCCTCGGGAAAGAGCTTGTGAAATCCCCTGAGTGTGACCAAGCACTGGTTCCATGTCCCGTGGCCATTCTGGAATATCTGACTCTCCTTTTTTTGGTTGTTTATTTTTGTTTTTTTGTTTTTGTTTTGAGACAGAGTCTCGCTTGTTGCCCAGGCTGGAGTACAGTGGGGAAATCTCGGCTCACTGCAAATTCCACCTCCTGGGTTCAGGTGGTTCTCCTGCCTCAGTCTCCCGAGTAGCTGGGATTATAGGCATGCACCATAACCACCAGCTAATTTTTGTATTTTTAGTAAAGGTGGGGTTCACCATGTTGGCCAGGCTGGTCTTGACCTCCTGACCTCAAGTGATCTGTCGGCCCCGGCCTTGGCCTCCCAAAGTGCTGGGATTACAGGTGTGAGCCACCACACCCAGCCCAGAATATGTGCCTCTTGATTCAAGGAGCTCCCTGTGTGCTTTGCTTGATGGCTGCATTTTGTGTATGGATTTCTACCAAAGTGCCTGCTCTCTCTCTCTCCTTTTTTTTTTTTTTTGGAGACAGGATCTTGCTCTGTCACTTAGGCAGGAATACAGTGGCACAATCACATAGCTCACTGCAGCCTCGACTTTGCGGGCTCAAGTGGTCCTCCCACCTTAGCCACCCAAGTAGCTGGGACTACAAGCATGTGCCACCACACCCGGCTTAGTTTTTTAATTTTTTTCTAGAGACAGGGTCTCACTATGTTGCCCAGGCTGGTCTCAAACTCCTGGACTCAAGTGATCCACCCACCTCAGCCTCCTAAAGGGCTGGGATGACAGGCGTGAGCCATAGCACCTGACCTGCTTTCCTCTAGTACCCTTGCCAAATTCTGACCAGGAGTCCACATGGCTGCAGTTACTGTCTCTCTAACAGGGTGACGTAATGTGGATGCAGGCATGATCCGTCTATCTCATCAGCGTCTGCCCTGTGGTAACTGGCGAGGGACAGAGAGGGGAGCAGAGCTGGTGGGGACCAGGGTAGGGGATGGTTAACATCATTTTATGGAGAAGATGAGCTTCTTGCTTAAAGTTGGAAACTAAAACTGCTTCTCCAATTTTTGCAGCATTGACTGTTTAACACTATCAAGCATTCTTCCTGCAGCAGTCATTTGAGATGGTTATTATTTATTCACCCAGCATTGTCTAATTTATAGTTGCATGAAAAAATGCATTTTTTAATATCCTAGGATATATGGAGATTAAAGTTTGGGTAAGGCCAAAATATGGAGTTTGGAGAACACACTTCTTGAAAATCGAATTAAAGCATTCAAGGACATTTTCCTCAGTCTTAGTGAGACAATATTCCAAAAAGAATAGGCACAGAAAGGGTTTTTAACCTTTCAAAAGCACTGGAGTAAATGAAAATTCTTCAAAGCAAAATGAATATATGACTCCCTTCTTGATTCTATTCCTGTATCAAAACCAAGGGTTGGAGGGGAGTGGAAGGGGAGAGGTTTGGAATGCACCAATTTTGATTCAATTGGTTGAGAAGGGTTTTGTGAAATAAGTGGAGTTTTCGGAGTTTAGGTAAATGACACCAGAGAAAAAATTGAGCACACCGAGGTTGAAGGCAGTGACTGGAGAGTAAGATGTCCTGACCCAGGCAAAGCTCCGAGATGAAACAGAATGAATAAATGGAAAAGTTCATCTGATCTTCTCTCATCCATTCAATCAGAAACTTGGATTCAGAGCTAGACACAAACACCTTTTTTTCTGCGTCTACAAAATCTGTCTTGTGCCAAAATCCTGACTCGCACCATGATTTGCCACAAAATGTTTATCTCTCTAGCAACAAAATATAGCAACAAGATAGATGAACAAGGCAGATTTTCTACTAAGCTGTCGTCATTCAGCTAGTTCATACTCCTCTCCTAAAGTTGACTTAGAAGATGATAGTTGCATTCATTTGTGAAAATTGAATAAGGGAAATTTAGAGGGGGGGAAAAAGGCAGAGAATTTTGTTTGCTTTGATTCCAAGAGGAACCAGGCAGAGAAAAAAAATTAATTTGTACCAAAAACATAAGTTCGCCAGAAGAACAAAATTCACTATCTAAAGCAACTCACTCCCCCAGAAGTTTCCCTCATTTGCCATAATTATCCTGCTTAAGGACTTGAAGAGTATGTCATCATGGGATGCGAGAAAGAAGCTTGCAAGGTTTCTATGTCAACCACCTTATCTTACAGATAAGGAACCAAAGGTCCAGAGAAAACCTGTGACTTTCCCAAGATTCAGTCAGGGATTCTGAAGCGCCTAAGCCAGGCTTGTAACTCAGGGTATTCCCACTGCAGGAAACTTTGCCCTCGTGGAAAGATATTCCCCAGTCACAAAAAAATAGCCTCTTGTCATCGCTAGGGCATTTCTTAAAGAATGCACTTCTAACTAGGGGAAAGAATAAGCAGGGTTATATGCATTTGAACAAGTTTTCTGAAAGATACTTGCTTTTTCTGGATAAAGCCTGGCCCTCGGTTCACTCGTTAGGAATTTAATTAGTAAATCTACCTCTGAAAACACCATTCAGCTCTCTTAAGCAAAATAAATGCAAATGTGCACCAAGTTTCATTTTTGTCTCATGAAATGAAGCATATTCTCCCAGTCTGTCAGAAGAATGTATGTGCTCTGGGAGGCTGAGGTGGGAGGATAGCTTGAGCTTTGGACGTCAAAGCTCCAGTGAGCCGGGATTGCACCACTGCTCTCCTGCTTGGGAGACAGAGCAGGATCCTGTCTCAAAAAAAAAAAAAAAGAAAAGAAAGAAAGAAAGAAAAGAAAAAGAATTTGGAAGTCTGATAAAGATGGAAATAATAAACACTGGGGATTCGAAAAGTGAAGAGGGTGGGAAGGGGAAAGGGTTGAAAAATTACCTGTTGGGTACAATATTCACTGTTTGAGAGACGAGTTCACTAGCAGCCCAGTTTTCACCATATGCAATATACCCATGTAACAAGTATGTACATGTGTTCCCAGAATCTAAATAAAATTACATTTTAAAAGCTAGATTAAAAAGAAAGAATTTGTGGCCAGGCGTGGTGGCTGACATCTGTAATCCCAGCACTTTGGGAGGCCAAGGCGGATGGATCACTTGAGGTCAGGCGTTCAAGACCAGCCTGGCCAACATAGTGAAACCCCATCTCTACTAAAACTACAAAAATTAGCTGGGCGTGGTGGCACACACCTGTAATCCCAGCCACTTGCGTGGCTGAGGCACGAGAATTGCTTGAACCCAGGAGGCGGAGGTTGCAGTGAGCTAAGATCACGCCACTGCACTCCAGCCTGGGTGGCATAGAGAGACTCAAGAAATAAAGAAAGAAAGAAGGAAGGAAGGGAGGAAGGGAGGCAGGAGGGAAGGAAGGAAAGAAGGAAGGAAGGAAGGAAGGAAGAGAATTTGTGAAATCTGAACCACTCCCTTCAGAGATCATTGAGATGTCATAAATGGGACCTATCCATTAATTCCATTGTGTCTCTAATGCCATTGGTAATGTTATATGCACAAAAGTTATGGTCCATGGCATAAAACTGCCTTTCATTTTCTACTTCTACATAGTTATTAAACGTGTAGCCTAACAACATGCAAATTAGCAATGGTGAGTGCAGGGAGGGGAAACATGGTTAGAAATTCTGCAAAACTCATGGAGAAGGAAAAAAAAGAAAAGGCTTATTTTAATAGTGTTTACATATTGGAATTTGCTGTATCTACTGAACAAATATTTATGAAAACATAATCAAGACTTTCAAACTTCCTGCTTCGTCTTTAACATTCACTTCCAATATTTTCATAAAGTTTAGCACTACACTCACTTTTCTACCTTGGCTCTTATTTTTAAACCATCTGAATTTACATAAAGCAAAATCAGATTAATATTGGCAAATTTTTATATTTGTGAGTTAAAATAACAAAAATCACTATTTCAATAAAAGCTGCAAAAGGCAGGTATTGTGTGGACTTCATTATGGAAATATTCTAAAGCAAGGCAAAGATTTACAAAAGATAATATTAGCAACAGAATGCATCTGCCATCTCTTTCTACTCCAGAAAGATTAATAATAGACCTGTGATCATAGAGAGACTTTAGGGTTTTGTTTTAAACACTATAATTCCTTCCCAACTGCTGTCAAAAATATACTGTTCTCTTCCTATATTCACTTCTCTACTCTACTGCTTGTCTTTTTCTCTGCACCAGCAAAAGAATATTATTATTAATAAGGGAAGAAGAAATTAATGGAAATTGAGAATGAAAGAGGGAAAGAAGGAAGAAGAGGGGAAACCCTAAAACTAAAGGACTCTGTATAATTAGCCTTCAACCTTCCATTTAATTTGCTCATCTTTTGTGACAGTGAGTGGCCCATCATCCTATGCAGTCACCCTAAAACAATCATTTTGTGATTGCTGCGTTAATAGGTGATCTTGACTGACCATGTAAATTGGCCCTAGAAACACATCTACTGAGCTAAAAAGAGTTCTGGGCTTATGTACGTATGAGTCCATAAGGAATACTCAGTTCCACTTGGCAACATTAAATGGAAAAACAAAATTATTAAAAAGGTCAGCAATCAGGCAAATAAACATCAGGAATTTTGACTTTTCTAGCCAACCACTTAACTTATTCCCTCCCTTCATAAATACAGAAATTTCATGTAAAATAAGCAGTCAGCTTGGCCCTTGGAGACATTGTTTCTTGAGGAGTACTTTGGTACCAACTACATATGAAATATTTTTGCAGTCAGAAGGTTAACAAACTGTACCTCAGGATCCTCCTTTTTCTCTAGATTTAATGTTCTGCATGTTTAATTTTTACATTAATCCCATTTATTGAGTACTCAGGTCCAGCCTTTACTCCTTCTCTCTGGGGATTATTTTTAGCCTTCTCCTCTCACTACCTATACCAGTGTTCTCGATCAGAGTAGTTTTGCACCCCAGGAGACATTTGGCAATGTCTGGAGACATTTTTGATTGTCACAACTGTGGGGGAGGGTGCTGCTGAGATCTAAGGGATAGAGACCAGGAATGCTGCTCTACAGCCTATAATACATCCTATCCTATCCTATCCTATCCTATGTCTTGTAATACACCCTATCCTATCACATATCACATCCTATAGTATACCTTATAATATCATACCACATCCTATAATATATCCTATAATGTCATATTATATCATATCGATCCTATAATACATCCCATTCTATCATATCTTTTTACATCCTATAACACATCCTATTCTATCATGTCTTATAGTATCATATTGTATCCTATATTTTATATCATATGATATCGTATCACATCCTATAATACATTCTATAATATCATGCCGTATCATCTCCTATAATATATCCCCTAATACATGACAGCTCCACAACAGAGAATTATCTGGCCCAAAATGTCAATAGCACCAATGCTGAGACACCTGACTCATATGGCATTGTTTATCCAGTGTTTGAGACAGGTAAATGGGATGGGAAATCCTACCTTGGCTTTCCCAGCAGCCACTCAAATGCAGACTAGATGTGTATCTTCCTTTTCATCAGCTTATAGAGGGAACTTAAACCCATGAGACTGGATGACTTCTCCTGGAACACGAGTATAGATCATATTTTTAAAATTGTTTAAGAGGTCCAAGGACTGTGACCTGAGTTCTTCCAACATGTAGGGGCTGAAGAGGGGAGGCAGAACCAGCAAAGGTGTTAAGAAGGGGAGGCCAGACGGGCGGGAGGAGAACCAGGGCCAGGGTGTCCTAGAAGCCAGTGTTTCAGCAGAGTCAACGAAACCAATGCCCAGTAAGTCAGCAAGGCAGGGCTGGATTGGCAGCCAGTGGAGCCCACGGTGACTTTGGTAAGAGCTGTTCTGTGAGGCAGCAGTAACAGAAGCCTGGTTGGAAAATATTCAAGAGAGAACCAAGGAGAGAACTGGAAGGCACATAGACAACTCTGTCAAAAAGAATGCCCCTAGGTGCCTCCAGCTTCTATTCCCCAAGTTCTCTTTGCTTCCCCTTTGTGATATTAGAAGACGCTTTCTCTCCATTGGGTATTTCAGGTGTATCTCCCATAGACAGCATCTTTGAATTGGCCTGACACTTTAAGCAGCTCTTCCCTATTGCTGCAAAGAAAAAGGTATTTTTTTAAGTCCTGCTATGACCTCATACTTTGGAAAATCGCTCCAGATTCTCTATCAACCTTCATGCTAAATCCCCTTGCACTGGTCAAGTGACCTCAATATCTATCCCGTGGACACATATCTGTACTCTGCCTCTCTGTCTTGGAGCCACACTTCGTGTGGACTCCCTGCCTACATTTCTGTTTTCATTTTTTATCCTAAATTTTTGTCTCTTGGATTGACCCCCAACTCCTGATTCTACAACCTGTGGGCGAATCCGACCCCATCCCTGTGCCCAGCACAGGCTTCAAGACACCCCAGCCCAAGGCAGCATTTCAAGTTCCTCTACTTCTCATTTTAGATTAATTGTAACTGTTTTTCTCTTAGTTATATCATCTTGCTTTATATTTACTTTTACAGTGTTTGCATTTGTGTGTATGTGTGTTTATAGACTAGATAGTTTGCTTTCCTTCCACAATGGTCCAGAAGGTGGTTGTTCTTTTAATTCTTATGATGGTGACATGGTTTTTCTATGTCCCCACTCAAATCTCAACCTGAATTGTATCTCCAGAACTCCCATGCATTGCGGAGGTAATAGAATTCTATTACCCTCCCCTCGCAGAGGGAGGTAATAGAATCATGGAGGCCTGTCTTTCCTGTGCTATTCTCATGATAGTGAATAAGGCTCACGAGATCTGATGGGTTTATCAGGGGTTTCTGCTTTTGCTTCTCTCATTTTCCTCTTGCTGCCACTATGTAAGAATTGCCTTTCATCTCCTGCCATGGTTCTGCGGCCTCTCCAGCCATGTGGAACTGTAAGTCCAATTAAATCTCTTTTTGTTCCCAGTTTCAGGTATGTCATTATCAGCAACATGAAAACGAACTAATACAGATGGCAAACAAGTTTTCCAAGGTCCTAAACATGTGTTTAATTATCAACAGCAATGACAAAGCAATATTTTTTTCTCTTTATAGAAGATAAGAAACTTGGAACTTTTGACTCACTCATCATCCATCACAACTTTTATCAATGTCATTTGGGTGTATAAAGGCCATATTTTATGAAATGTAGACCATCTCTTTATAATATCTTTGTATGTAAAACTCTTATCAGGAATTAGCTATAACAGTTCACCTTACAATCCTTTCCAAATCAAGTTCTTAATTTTCTTTTATTTCTCATTGCTCTAGAAAATGTTTTTGACCAGTGCACCTAAGAAAGGTTGTGGATATTTCCTGATTCCTGGAGCTTTTTCATTGAAATTTTTACTGAGATAACTGTAGAGTCACATGCAGTTTTAAGAAATAATACAAGCCGGGTGCAGTGGCTCATGCCTGTAATCCTAGCGCTTTGGGAGGCTGAGGCAGGTGGATGACCTGAGGTCAAGAGTTCAAGACCAGCCTGGCCAACACGGCAAAATCCCATCTCTACTAAAAATACAAAAATTAGCCAGGCCTGGTGGTGGGTGCCTATAATCCCAGCTACTCAGGAGGCTGAGGCAGGAGAATCACTTGAACCCAGGAGGCAGAGGTTGCAGTGAGCCAAGATCATGCCACTACACTCCAGCGTGGGCAACGGAGCAAAAACTCTGTCTCAAAGAGAAAAAGAAAAGAAAGAAATAATACAAAGTAATCCTGTATTATCTGTTTCCCCCAGTGGCAAGATTTTGCAAAAATTATACCACAATATCACCACCACGATAATTATGTTGATACAATCCACCAGTTTTATTCAAATTTTCTTAGTTTTCCTTGCACCCCTGTGTTGGGGGGATGTAAGCACATGCACACTCTATACAATTTTATCAGATGTTTAGATTTGTGTAGCCCCCACCACGATCAAAATATTGAAAAGCTCAATCACTGCAAGAATAATTTGTGTCACCTTTTTATAATCACCAAAAGAGAAAGGTATTTGTGGTTTTAATTTGCATTTTCCTGATGGCTAATCTCCCTCCACACCCTGTGTGGTAGTTAATTTGATGTGTCAGCTTGACTGGATGGCAGGCTGCTCAGCTGTCTGGTTAAACATTATTTCTGGGTGTGTCTGTGAGGGTGTTTCCAGAAGAGATGAGCATTTGAAGTAGACTAAGTAAAGCTGATTGACCTCCCCAATGTAGGTGGACATCATCCAATAGGCTGAGGGCCTGAATAGCACAAAAATGTGGAGAAAGAGTATTCCCTTGCCCTTTGCCTGAACTGGGATGGGACACTGACCTCCTACCTGTGGTGCTTCTGGTCCTCAGGCCTTTAGACCCAGACTGGAATCTATGCCATCGGCTCTCAGAAGCTCAGACTTTTAGGCTGGGCCCTATGGCTCATGCCTGTAATCCCAGCACTTTGGGAAGCCAAGGTGGGTGCATCACTTGAGGTCAGGAGTTTGAGACCAGCCTGGTCAACATGGCGAAACCCCTGTCTCTACAAAAATACAAAAAAATTAGCCTGGCATGCTGGCACATGCCTGTGGTCCCAGCTACTCAAAAGGCTGAGGCAGTAGAATTGATTGAACCCGGGAGGTGGAGGTTGCACAGAGCCAAGATGGTGCCACTGCACTCCAGCCTGGGCAACAGAGAGACTCCGTCTCAAAAAAAAGAAAAAAAAAATGAAGCTTGGAATTTTTTTTTTTTTTGAGACGGAGTCTCGCTCTGTCGCCCAGGCTGGAGTGCAGTGGCGCGATCTTGGCTTACAGCAAGCTCCACCTCCCGTGTTCACGTCATTCTCCTGCCTCAGCCTCACGAGCAGCTGGGACTACAGGCGCCCGCCACCACGCCCAGCTAATTTTTTGTATTTTTAGTAGAGACAGGGTTTCACCCATTAGCCAGGATGGTCTCGATCTCCTGACCTCGTGATCCGCCTGCCTTGGCCTCCCAAAGTGCTGGGATTACAGGCATAAGCCACCACCCCCAGCCAAAGCTAGGACTTTTAACGTACACCAACAGCTTTCTTGGGTTTTCAGCTTGCAGAGAGTAGGGACTAATCAAGTGAGCTATTACCTTATAATAAATTTCTCTCTCTCTCTCTCTTTACCTCTGTGTGTGTGTGTGTGTGTGTGTGCGTGTGTGTGTCTGTCTATCTGTCTGTCTGTCTCTGTATCTCCGGGGATCTCCCCTCTCTTTCTCTCCAACATTCTCTCTCTTTCTCTCTCTCTCTCTCTCTGTGTCTCTGTGTCTCTCTATCCCTCTGTCTCTGTATCTCTGGGGCTCTCCCCTCTCTTTCTCTGTAGCATTCTCTCCCTCCCTCTCTCTGTGTGTGTATGTGTGTGTGTGTGTGTGTGTGTATCTGTGTGTCTGTGTGTTTATTCTGTTTCTTTGGTGAACCCTGACTAATACACTTCGCTCCTAACCCCTGGCATCCACTAATATCTCCATTTCTTAATGTATACATTTTGAAAATGTTATATAAATGGAATCTTAGAATCTTTGGGGATTGGCTTTTTTCACTCAGCATAATTCCCTGAAGACTCATCCACGTTACTGAGTGCATAAATAATGTGCTCCTTTTTATTGCTGAGTAGTATTCCACCATATGGATATAGTACAATTTGTTTAACGATTCATTTGTTGAAGGACATCAGGGCTTTTTCCAGCTTTGGGCTATTACAAATAATGCTGCTATGAACGTTGGTGTACAAGTTTTTATGTGAATATAAGTTTTCATTTCTGGGAGATAAATGCCCAAGAGTGCAATTGCTAGGTCACAGGTAATTACATCTTTAAGATTTTTTTTAAGAAACTGTCAAGCTGTTTTCCAAAATGACAGTAGCATTTTACATTCCCACCAACAATGTATGAGTAACCCAGTTTTCCCACATCTTTGCCAACATTTGACATTGTCACTATTTTTTATTTTAGCCATTCTAATAAATGTGTAGTGATACATCATTGTGGTCTTAATTTGCATTTCCCTGATGGCTAACAGTGTTGGTCATCTTTTTATGGGATTATTTTCCAGCTGTGTATTGATTTTGGTGCAATGTATTTTGCCCATTTTCTAATTGGATTGTCTTGGGTTTTTTACTACTGAGCTTTGAGGGTTCTTTATGTATTCTAGATACTATTCCTTTGTCAGACATGTGGTTTGCAAATATCTTCTGTCAGCCTCCAGTTTGTCTTTTCACCCTCTTCACGTAGACTTTCACAGAGTAAACATTTTTAATTTTGATGCAGCACAACATCAATTTTCCCTTGTATGGATTGTGCTTTTGTTGTGGTATCTATAGGCTCTTTGCCTAGCCCTGGGTTCCAAAGATTGCCTTTGTTGTTCTCTAAAACTCTTAGAGTTTTACCTTTTACATTTAAGTGTGTGATCCATTTTGAGTTAATTTTTGCATAAGGTGTAAGGTTTAGGTCAAGATTTATAATTTGCCTATGATGTCCAATTGCTACTAAACCATGTGTTGGGCTATTGGGTTGCTCCATTTTACAGAAAAGTCTTTCTTTGACATCATTCATGATTCACAAGTTGTTTGTATGCACAAGGCATGCATATTTCAGTTACAGCACAGGTTACAATGCTGTAACAAGGTATTATGTGTTCAGACAAGGCAGAAGTCTATTTCTCTTATATACAAAAGTCCAGAAGAAGCAATCAAGACTTGCTAGGAAACTCGGCAGCACAGAGTGACCCAGGGACCCATGGCCCTTTAGTGTTCAGCCCCACCATCTCCTTGGGTACTAATCTCCTAACTGCCTAGGCTGACATCCAACACCTCACCCACATTCCAATCTGAGGGAACAAACGGAGCACCCACCTGAGCAGCTTCATCTTGAAGAGAATGACTTGAAGTTGCACACATCATTTCTCTCCCATTCCACTAGACTGCACTCAGTCATATGGCCACACCCAAGTCCCAGCAAGCCTGTGAAATGCAGTCTTCAGCTGGGAGGCCATGTACCCAGATAAAAGTTTCTGTCACTGAAAGGAAGAAGGGTAGAATGAATACTGAGAGACAGTTAGCAGTCTCTGCCCCACCAGGTCTCCATATTCCCCTTCAAAGTTCTCTGCAGAGGGTGAAGTATTCTTCTGGTATTTACTGTTTTAATGTTTTCTTATTATTGATGTTAAATTTGTTCTGTTTTACCAGTAAGTCTATCACCCATACATTGACTGCACCCCTGATAACTGCCCTCTGCAACTAATATTTTCTCCCTTATATTTTCGTCCTTTGACTTTGTTCCTTTTTGTTCTCCTAACATTCTTCAGGTTTGCTTTCTGTGTCACTGGTTTGATTTTCCTCTGTTACCAATCTATTTGCTGCCTCCATTGAATTTCTTGTTTCTTCTTTTTCTCAGAGAAATACAGCCACTTCGAACATTCATTTTTTAAAAAGTATAGGTGGATGCTTATTCGATGTTACTTTCATTTATAGGGAGATACCAATTACTGAGTACTTGCTCTAGAAAATGCTGATAGTGATATGAACTATCATTTGATGTCAAGCTCTAATAGAAGTCAAGCTTGATGGTGTCTCAAACTCACAAAGCAACCCTTAGTCCAAAGTCGAAGAAAAAAATAAAGAAAATTAAGTCACTACAAACTGATTTTGCTAGGGGAAAGGAGGCTTTGTTCTTGTCTTTCTTATTTTCTACTATAACTTGGAAGGTAGTTGCTCTGCTGTGAATCCCAGCAGAATGGCCACCTTACAGAGAATGGTTCAGCAGACTCCCTGCTGGAAGCCTTATCTCTTTATGAAACAGATAGATCCCCAAAGGAAGGCCTCCCTGCCGTCCAGGTCTCTGATTTATGTGGCAATCATATTAGAATCAAGCAAGGAGGTCTAATACATAGTTGAAAGCTAGCAAGGTGACACACACCTGTAGTCTCAGCTACTTGGGAAGCTGAGACAGGAGGATCACTTGAGCCCAGGAGTTTGAGACCAGCCTGGGCAGCATAGCAAGACGAAATCTCTACCAAAACAAAAATTGTTTTTAATTAGCCAGGCATGGTGGCACGTGCCTATATTCCCAGCTACTCAAGAGGCTGATGCAAGAGGATCACTTGGACCCAGGAGGTTGAGGCTGCACTGAGCCGTGATCAAGCCACTGCACTCTAGCCTGGGTGTCAGAGCAAGACACTGTCTCTAAATAAATAAGTAAATAAATAATAAAACAAAACAGTTGGGATTCTAAGGCTACTGGTTCACAGAGTTCAAGAAAAGCTGAAGAATTGGACATCCTGAAGTCCACTCAGCTGATTTCCTTGTACTGCTTGGGCCTGGATGAGGACACTTGTACCTTTCCATGGCAGGAGTTATCAGCCAGCCTCGGTGAGCGCCCCTCCTCCTCTTACTTTACAGAAAGCCACAGCTGTCTCTGGAGTAGTGTCATTATTGTGTCTGGTTTTTGTTTGGTTTCGTTTTGTTTTGTTCTTTGCATTCTAAGCCCATTGGTAGATGTTTAGCAGAAATTTCTTTAGGTTTCTGTTAGTGTACATATCAGAGACACAGAGAGAGATAAAGAGAGAGAGAGGCTGGGAGGGATGGAGGAAGAGACAGGAGAACTGGTTATTTTAAAAGGTATTCACAAGTGGGGGAGTTATAGCTAGTTTCTAGGCTGCCCATTTACCCAAATGCCCTGCCCTGCTACTTAAAATGTTTAAGTGTCCCCAAACTGCAGTAAATCAATAGTCACCTATAGTAGAATCAGGAGATGATCTGTTTCCATTGCACTTCCTTCCCAGTCCCCAGGTTTTGCAGTTTCCAGCCCCATTGCTGACTCCAAAACATGCAGGACGCATGCCCTGGGGGCAGCACATCCTGTGTGGCTCACCCATCGGCCAGCATTGTTCCCGGGTTCCGGACTCTAGGCTTAAGGTGGGCGGCAGGCATCCCCTCAGACCCAGGCTGCAATGAAATTCTTCATCTGGCTCTTTACTTAGCCAATGTGGTGTATTTCTCCCCCATAATGTTAAAACCAGGCTCAAGAATGATCCAAAATAAGCAATTTGCTGTCATTAGATATTTCCCTTATGCCACAAAAAGAATTCACACACCATACCTATACCGTCAGGAATCCAGAGACATCTCACATTCAACCCAAACAGCCGGTTGCTGCCCATAAGGGCCGTTCAGCACCTTCGGGTCACTCATGAATTTCTTTAGTTATTCAGGAATTGAGCCGCTTTGAGACCTTTGGGTCTCTGTTATGGCACCGAGCCAAGTATTACGTTACAAGTGTGAAAATTCATCATAGCAATTAGGCAGGGAAGAGAGGTGTCAGGTTCAGGGTTCCTGGAGCAGCGTTGGGTTACCACACATGGATTACACAGAATATTGTAGTCAGCTTAGTGAAGGCCGGATTGGGACCTCCAATGCCTACATTTTAATTTCCGTAGTGGCTTTTAAACCCAAAACTGCCATTCTCTAAACAACAATGACCAAAATCAATACAGTTTTAATACACACTGGAGTCACCTAGACATTCTCTCTGTTGCATTTTATTGAAGGGAATCTGATAGTGGTCATTTTCAATCATGCAAAACATATTCTCAGCTCAAAACACACCAGTCCGAAACGTTTTTAATCCCTTTACAACACAGACAATGCATCTACCTAAGCACATTCTCTTCTTTCACTTCTAGGAAGGCACACGCTGTGGGACCAGGTGCTAAACCATTCAGGAAGGGCAACAGAAGTTCAGCGAAGGAAGAAGTCTCCGGGGCACAATAGTGGAAAAGCTTTCGGAGGAACTCAGGCCTTGAGTGGGACTCTGAGAGATAAGTGGGCTGTGGAGAGGTGGCTGGGAAGGAGAAGACACAGTGGTTGGAGGAATGGCATGGGAATCAATAATTCCATAAACTAGATGGAGGGTGCTGCTCTAGGTTCTATGGGATAAAGAAAGAGAATAGCATCTGTCCTTAAGGAGTATGAAACCTGGTTGGAAAATATATAGAGTGAGTTAAGGATGCATTCCAGAATGAGAGGTGGCTATACAAAGCACTTCAACAAGGGGGTTGCCAGGAGCAGAGATGGGATATGAGGATGGCTGAGGACTGAGAGATCTGCACAAGGGAGCTTAGTGAGAAACAGAGCAGGAGGGAGGCAGGGCTCAGGACAGACAGCCTCAAAGCCAGGTCGGGCTTGAGTGTAACAAGGAAGAAGGAATCTGTGCGCATTCATGATCTAAGAGTCAATGAAACAGAGGCAGAGCTTGCTTACCACAGAAGAACACCTTAACATTAACGCAATTACTTCAATCCCATTGTTTCATCTGGTCCTCACAGCTACAGTGTAAGGAAGGTAGAGCAAATATTAAACCAGTTTAAAGGTAAAGAAGTCAAGTCTCAGATTTATCTGGAACACAACCGCTAGGATCCTTGATTTCCAGTCATATTCTTGAAGGCCAGTGTTCTTTCTACTCTTGCTTATCTCAGTGAGGCAGATTTGGATTTACTTAGCTTTTATAAAGAACCTCCTGTCTGTGTGACCTGTTCGCATGGACAGACAGAAAATGCCCAACTTATGATGGATGGTTCAACTTACGATTTTTTACTTTATGATGGATTTATTGGAATATTAAATGTGTTCTCAGCTGACAGTGGGTCTATTGGGAAGGAACCACATCATAAGTCAAGGAGCCTTTGCATGATCACCGAGCTCTGATATGGTTTGGCTGTGTCCCCACCCAAGTCTCATCTTGAATTGTAGCTTCCATAATTCCTACATGTTGTGGGAGGGACCCTGTGAGAGGTAATTGAATCACAGGGGCGGTTTCCCTTATACCATTCTCATGGTAGTGAATAAGTCTCATGAGATCTGATGGTTTTATAAAAGGTTTCCCTTTTCATTTGGCTCTTACTCTCTCTTGCCTGCTGCCATGTAAGACGTCACTTTCATCTTCAGCCATGATTGTGAGGCCTCCCCAGCCACGTGAAATTGTGAGTTCATTAAACCTCTTGTTTTTTATAAATTACCCAGTCTCAGGTATGTCTTTATTAGCAGCCTAAAAATGGGCTAATACAGGCTCCAATAGCACTTAGTAGGTGTCATTCAGAAGTAATGCAATAGGGACTGGATTAAGTTGATCACAATGAGAAGAATGAAGAGGAAAGGGATAAATGTAAGAGAATAATCATTAAGGTATAAAGACTGATTAGTCATTGAGGGTTAGGCACTTTTGCCCTTTCATGGGCCCCTTCCTCCACAAACAGAAAGAAAGAAAAAAATGAATATTGTATGTATATTTTATTATTATTAAGATGAATATATTAATATTACATATCAGGAAAAAAACCTAAATTTTTAAATTTATATTTTAAAAGACATTAAAACATTTTTATGGGCCTCTAAAACTATCCCCAGCTCTAGGCACTATGCTTACTATGAATAAATCAGTCCTACAATTGCAAAGATATGGAACCAACCTAAGTGCCCATTGACCAATGACTGGGTAAAGAAAATGTGGCATATATACACCATGGAATACCACTTATCCACAAAAAGGAATGAAATAATGTCTTTTGCAACAACTTGGATAGAGCTGGAGGCTATTATTCTAAGTGAAGTAACTCAGGAATAGAAAACCAAATGCTGTATGTTCTCAGGGTGGGAGGGGGTGAGGGATGAAAGACTACATATTGGGTAAAGTGTACACTGCTTGAGTGACAGGTGCACTAAAATCTCAAAATTCACCACAATAGAATTAATCCATGTAACCAAAAACCACATGTACCCCAAAAGCTTTTGAAATAAAAATAAATAAATAAATATAGGGAAGATTAGAGTTTTGAATGACTGCAAATTTCTAACAAGGGAACCTGGAAGAATGATAACACCTCTAAAAGAAGCGAAGAAGTAAAGAAGTGCCAAACTATTCAGGAAGTGCTGCAGAAGTTCAGCAAAGGAAGACGTCCCGGGGCACAGTAGCGGAAAAGAAGATAAATTAATTTGAAGATGAAGTTAACAATTTTGATGTTGGATTTATGGAACTGGAAGTGACTAAAGAAATCCAGATGAAGAGGGCCAGTAGGTAATTTGAAATGCAGCCTCTAGGTTAGGCATGTTTGGAAGTCAATAGTGTAAAGTGAAACCATGAATGTGAATGATCTCCCCAACCCAGTGGATTATAGCAGGAGACCCTGGAAAGTAAGACCCAGGCTTATGAGATGTCACATGGCTAAAAAGATGGAAGAGGAAAAGGAAGCAGCAGCATCTGGAGAAATGGAGCTCCCTGTGTCCCAAGGGTTTGGTGGTGGTGTGACTGGGATTGTGGCTAGACTTTATTTGCAAAATGGAATTCGTTGTTGTCATTGTTGTTGTTGTTGTTGTTGTTGTTGTTGAGATGGAGTCTCACTTTGTCGCCCAGGCTGCAGTACAGTGGTGCTATCTTGGCTCACTGCAACCTCCCCTTCCCGGGCTGAAGCATGTCTCCTGCCTCAGTCTCCTGAGTAGCTGGGATTACAGGCACCCGCCACCATACCTAGCTAATTTTTTTGTTTTAATTTTTAGTAGAGATGGGGTTTCACCATGTTGACCAAGCTGGTCTCGAACTCCTGACCTCAAGTGATCCAACTGCCTCAGCCTCCCAAAGTGCTGGGATCACAGGCATGAGCCGCTGCACCTAGCCTTAAAATGGAATTCTAATCAGAAGTGGCATAATCATGAAATTGAAATGGAAATAGCAGCCATATCTCATTCATCCCTTCTTCCTGTGTACTTACTGTCCCTAAATACCTAAACACACACACACACCTCCAACCAAAAACATTTGCTGAATGAAGATACACAGACTGGAGATTGAAGGAAACAATCTGGTTACTCAGCAACCTGAGGCAAGCAGAGCAAACTTGGTAAAGCAAAAATTACAAAAGCACATTTATGGTCAAGGCATGAACAGATGAAAAATGTGAAGTGATTTCATTCACTTTGAGAAAAATGTCTCTTGTTGGGTAAACTACTAGTTCCACTTGTGCAGTCCAAATCATAATCTTCATCGTTGCTGGTTTGGTTGAGGTGGGTATAGATGATGGTAGTCATACTTACAATTTGTTGTGAGGAGCTTGTTTTCTGTACTAACATTTCCTTACAGAAAATTACCACTGATGAAGATTGCAACACATTTCCCCCGAGACTACAGATGCTAGGTATTTTGGTGCAATTGCAGTAACCCACTCAGAAACAGATGGATTTGTGAATGATTGATGGATGAACAGGGAGGTGGTTGTTTAAGGTCAGTCATCTGAATCATGTCCTTAGAGAGTTCCCATGGAGTTACATAGGATGAAAATCTGGGCCAGAATTCACATGCCTGATTATTGAAGTAAGAACAGCTGCATTTATTTCAACATTCTCAGCCTCACACATACATACATGCCAGTGAAGCTCAGAGGTTAAACTGTAAGAAGAAAAACATAAGTAAGATACTAAGACAATAGAACTGAAAAAATATCCTGGAAAATTAAGCCCATGCTTCAGCTAAGCTGGAAGATAAATCTAAATGAATTACTCAAATCTAAATAAATTATAAATAAATCTAAATAAATTATAGCCCAGAGGAGAAGAAGGAAAAATACAAGAGATTATGAGACATGAGGGAAAAAACGTGAAACCCTAACACACATCTAATTAGAATTTTAGCAAGAGAGAGTAGATGTGTAGAGTACAAAAAATACTTAAGGATGTAATAGCTAAAATTTTTCCAGAATGAGTTAAAGCCATAAATCGACAAATAAAATAAACTGAAAGAATAATAAGTATAATAAGCAAGTAAACACAAAGAAAACAATATTTATAGTGAAATTGAGGAACAGTTTCTTAAGAGAGAGGGAGAAAAGATCTTAAAGGCACCCAAACAGAAAACATAGATCACCACGATCAACAACAAATCAATTAGACAGACAGCAGACTTCGCAGTGGCAATAATAGAAGACAAACAAGAGTGGAATATCTTCAAAAAGGTGAGATATTTTCCATTAATACAGAGTGATGTATTGAGCAAACCTCTCCTTCAAGAACAAAATAATAACTACAACACCTTCAGATTTTAAAAAACTTGAAAAACTGCTAATAGAGCAGCTTTCAGAAGAAGAAAAATGATTCCAAAAGGAAAGTCTAGGATATAAGAAAGGGTGAGCACAATAGCAAAGATATGGAATCAACCCAAATAGCCATCAATGGTAGGCTGGATAAAGAAAATGTGGTACATATACACCATGGAGTACTATGTAGCTGTAAAAAAGAATGATATCACATTCTTTGCAGGAACATGGATGAAGCTGGAGGCCATTATACTTAGCAAACTAACACAGGAACAGTAAACCAAATACTGCATGTTCTCACTTATAAGTGAGAGACAAATAATGAGTATAGATGGACACATTGATGGAAACAACAGACATGAGGGCCTACAGGAGGTGGAGGGTGGAAGGAGGGAGAGGATCAGGAAAAATAGCTAATGGATATGAGGTTTAATACCTGGATGGTGAAATAATCTGTACCACAAACCCCCATGACGTGAGTTTACATATATAATGAACCTGCACATGTACCTCTGAACTTAAAATAAAAGTTAATAAGAAATGGTGAGCAAAGAAACTGGTAAATGTGGAGAAAACTGCACATAAGAAATACAAACAATCAAACACGATATTGATAAGATCTCATTTGTGAGGTTCGCAAAATAGAGGTTGAATCTAAAAGACGGCAACAATAGCAAATGGGCATGAAGAGTGATAGGAGCTCAGTTATAAGTTCTTGTATTTTTCTAGAAGAGCATGAAAGTTATTGTTTTTTTCTACATTTAATACGTATAACTTCAAAAGAGACCAGAAAAGAATAGAAATAAAATTGAATCTCTCTATAGTCTGAGATGAAATGAAATAGTTGTGGAGAATACAAAAGACAGCAAGAAACAAGGGGGTAAAGCACAGTGAATTCAGGACAAGCCACGATTAAATAAAATAGTAGGTGTAAATTCAAAGGTGTACAAAACTCACCAGCCAAGAGACATGGGATGATGACAGTCTCTTAGAACAGATGAAACCCAGTCATGGGAAATATAGAAAGCAAGATCCAGAGAGCGAATAAGCTGTTACTGGAAATTAAAATGTACATGTCTAACGTAGATGCTACAACTATGCAGAGGAGAGAGCCCAGAGGGCAGTGACACAGTGATGCAGCAATGCAGACAGGACACAGTTGGAAGCCTCAATCTCAGCCCTGTGTGATCTTGGGCAAATATTTAACCTGAACTTCATTCTCTAAAGCAATAGAGTTGAGATAATAATAGCATCTACTTTATGGAGTTCTCTTAAGGATCCTATGAGATGTTACAGGTAAGCACTTAGTAAGGTGCCTGGCACTAGGATGCACACAGAGAAGCTATTGTTAGTGTGGCCTGGGGGAACGGGGGTCGGTCTTATATTGTGGAAACCCTTGGATCTGAGGAGGTAATAGCTAATAGTAGAATTAGGGGAGGTAAAACAGTAAGAAGGACAGAAAATAGAAAACCATGAGCAAAGCCTGAGACAAACTGTGAAGATGAGATATGACTGGCCCAGGGCAGCACACAGGTGGGCGGACTGGGGAACGAGGCCTGTTTCCTTTGCGTCCCATTTCCTCTTCACCTCCATTGTCCTCCAGGATGTCTTGCTGGAAGTCAACGATTACCCTGAGAAAACATCTGCATCTGAAAACAGCTGGACGTGGATTCATCTCACCAAAAGTGTTTTTTCAGAGTTCGAACATGAATGCAGTGTGTCACCAGCAATGTCATGAGAAATCCAGAGAGAAAAATGTGGTCTGTGCAATGAGAAGACCCCAGGCAAGAAAGCTTCTGTGTCAGATGGTGTCAAAACATTGCAAGATCCAGGGAGGAAGAGCCCATTGCCAGAGCAGATGCCTAAACTCACATTGCTGCTGGCTTCACAACACACACACACACACACACACACACACACACAAAAGCACACACACGCATGCACAGACAGGCACAGTGCATGTATACATATGCACAAACATGCACACATACACACATGCACACACCACAAATACATACATACACATGCCATACACACAGACACTACACATGGACAGAGACACCTATTAGCAAAATAAATTATCTGAGCATAGCAATTAACAACAACCAAATATCCTTATACTTAGCTTCATTTTAATTCTATATTTATATTCTTTGCACGCTTCCTAATTTTTCAGTCATGAAAACAAGCCCTATCAATGTTAAATTTATTTTAGGAATAATTAAATATATTCTTAAGGGCTTACATTATTCAAATAGTATTCTATGCTTGAATGTGTCCTGAGTAATGAATTCATTTATGTGCCTTGAGAATACAGTGATTGTAATTTAATAACTATAAAATTCTCTCTCTCTAAGCAGACAGAGACAGAGAAATGCTCTATTACATTATTGTATTAAGCTCATGGTCAAATTATAGCTATATAATAAAAAACATATTTCTGTGTAGACCATTGAATACTATTAAATTTGAATAGGAAATTTTTGGCACAAAAAAACCAATACCTGTAGAACACAGCACAATAGCTTTCTGAACTATTTGCTTATCTTTATGCCAATATACAGCAATTCCCTGTCTGTTCCAGTATTTTCCCATTCAGTTATAGGTCTAAAATTCTTGAACTTTTCACCACTTCCTCTGGTAGCATAGTAGAAAGCAGAGCAATATATAGATTTTGCTGTAATTTACTCTGGATTTTGTAGGGGAAAACTTGCTCAAAAATTTGTGTGCGTGTGTGTGTGTGTAATTACAACATGTGCGGGGGTGGGTGTGTATTAGTGTGTATGTTTTGGTGTGTGTGTCTATTGCTCTGGCGGTGTTGGTGTGTGTGTGTTGGTGGGCACGTGTACTGTGTGTGTGTTAGGGTTGTGTTGGAGGGGTGTGTGTACATGCGAATGTATGTTTGGTGTGTGCATGGGTACACGTGTATGTTGGTGAGTATGTGTGTTGGGGTATGTGCATTGGTCTGTGCGTGTGTTGGAGGTGTGTTGGTGTGTCTGTTGATACATGTGTATGTGTGTGCGTATGTGTGTTGGCATGTACATGTGTGTGTTGGAGGGTGTTGGTGTGTGTGTGTTGGGATGTGCATATTGGGGTGTATGTGTGTTGACATGTTTGTGTTGGGTGTGTGTGTGCAAGTGTGATGGGAAATGGATAATCCACCAGGTGCTAGCTCAAGAAAGTATATAGTCTTGGCAACTTGCATGTAGGTTTCCAGACTAATAATGTAATTTATAAAGTGCATATGAGATTACATCTTTGACAAAAGCCTCTCTAAGAAAGGTTTTGTTTCTAGGAAAGGTATTGTTTCAATACATTTTAAATGTTACACAAAAACAAAAATGGCTCCACAAAATCAGAATGAAGTCCAAGAGTTTAATGTAAGTCATCATATTTTGAGGGTAAAAAAAAGCGTTCAGGAAAGCCCCCTTTTACGCGGGGCAAGCCCTAAGGAGTGACCCTGTTCACACACTGAACAGGGGCCAATGCCCTCGCTGGAAAGTGAGCATGAAGATGGGAAGGAACTGTCACAGATGAGATGCAAAAGCTGGAAAACGGGCCCAGAGCTCTAACTGGCTGTGGTTGATTGACTATCAAAGACATCATGTCTAATTTTTGCCTCCCTATTTTGAAAGGGAAGATACAAAGGAAGATATGGAGAAGGCTAACTAATCTGACCACAGATGCAGAAAACACGCCCTAAGGAAAGAAAACACAAAACTGTTAGACAGAGGAATAAGTTCTAGTGTTTGATAATACAGTAGGCAAATTGTAGTTAGCAATAATTTATTATATATTTCAAAAGAGCTACAAGAGGAGATTGGAATGTTCCCACCACAAAGATAAGATAAATGTTAAGTGATGCACTTCCCTACTACCCTGATTTTATCATTACACATTGTATACAGGCATCAAAATATCACATGTACCCTATAAGTATGTACAACAATGATATACCAATTAAAACAAGAAAAGAAGGAAGAAAATGCAGATGGCATTGCTTCACCTGGATGTAGATCTGGTTTCTCCTAAAGTCTAAGAGAATCTGATTTCTCCTAAAGTCTAGAGAAGGCAGTGATGCTGTGAGCCTGCCTTACAGTGGGGGAGAGATTGAGAGGACAGACACAGATTTGCACACTGATGGAGGTGTTGTCTAGGGGTTCAGTGTAGAAGGGGCAGGGACATCCTGTTAGAGAGCTTCCAACCAGATCAGGATCCCCACAGAAAGCCTTAAACTCAGGTGTTAGTTTTCTGATAAGAATGGGTTTACATGAAATACTATGTACCCATGAAAAACAGTGAAATCACGCCCTTTGTAGAAACATGAATAAAGCTGAAGGCCATTATCCTAAATGAACTAACTAGAAAACAGAAAATCAAATACTTCATGTTCTCACTTATAGGTGCGGGCTAAACAATGGGTACACATGGACGTAAAAGATGGAAATAATAGGCCGGGAGCAGTAGCTCATGCCTGTAATCCCGGCACTTTGGGAGGCTGAGGAAGGAGGATGGTTTGAACCCAGGAGTTCAAGACCACCCTGGACAACATAGTGAGACCCCACCTCTTTAAAATTAGCCAGGCAGGGTGGTGCACATCTCTGTTCCCAGCTACTCAGGAGACTGAAGTAGGAGGATCGCTTGAGCCCAGGAGATCAAGACTGCAGTGAGATATGATCGTGCCACTAAACTCCAGCCTGGATGGCAGAGCAAGACCCTATCTTGGAAAAAAAAAAAGTAAAGACGTAAATAATAGACACTGGGGACTCTAGAAGGGGGAGGGTTGAAAAATTACCTGTTGGGTGCAATGTTCACTACTTGGGTAATGGATATACTTGAAGCCCAATCCTCACCAGTATGCAATATACCCATGTAACAGACATGCATGTGTACCCCCTAAATCTAAAATAAAATACAGAATGGGTTAAGTGAGGCATCAAGACGTGGTGCTGCAGAAGTCAGCGCTACACTGATCTACAGCAAGCAATGGCCTGGGGGCTCTGAGGTTTTAAAGACAGATAGCTGGGACTGCACCTCAGCTCTGCTGCTCACTAACTGAGGAAATTCAGACAAGGGGTTTCCCCGCTCTGTGGATCCATTCCCTTATCTGTAATATGAGGATAAGGATCACTCACACCTCCTGGGATGGCTGTGAAAATAAACGAGTCCGTGTCTAGAAAACACTCACCCAGGACATGGCACCTGGTGGGGCCACAGTCAGGTAGGGTATGATTTTGCTCTACAGTCAACTGCGGATGGGTGGCAAAATACCAAAATAAGATTCAGGGGATTTCCAGGAACATTCTATATAGTTGATTTGCCAACAATGCAAGTGATGAATAAGGACAATTCTCCACCAGCAGTGGTGGCATGACATGAGCCCTGCATTGGAAGTCAGAAGAGCTGCATTCAGGTTCTGGGGCCATCCCATGTCACGGAGGCAGTGAGCAAGGCACTCCATCTCTCTGAGCCTGGGTTTCCACATCTCTGCTCTATTTATCTCAGGGTTGTTGTGAGAATCAAATAAAAATCTGTCTTCATCATCCACCTGGTGCCAATTACCGCACCACGGCCTGGGGCTGCTCCGGAGGGGGCAGGCAGTGGGGATCAGCAGAGGCCCCTGGGTACAGGGCAGCATCCGAAGTCAGCGCCAGGTGCTACAGTGACAAAGGAAGCTGCAAGGCACTGTGCAAACGTCAGCTGCTGATGTGCATGTCGCCATTTCTAGGGCATGACTGCAAGGTAATCGGCAAGAAAGAAACTTTGAAAAGTGCTTTCAGGTTCAAAGTATGATCTATCTAAGGTAAACAGGCTGAGTGCTTAGCAGACGTGCTCAAATTCACCTGTGAAACCAACCAGACCAGGAAGACTTCCTCGGGGATACACAGATGTGGATTAATGGAGGCACTGGGACTCTTACAACCCCTGGTAAATTTAAGGCTTAGTACTGATGGTATTGATGCGGCTCCGATGAGTGCAGGAACACCAGGGCTCTTGTCTTGCACGATTTAGGTAAAACGACATGGACACACGTGGAGTGATTTTAAGGAGCAGGGAGTTTAATAGGCAGGAAAGAGGGGAGAACAAAGAAAGAAGCAGCTCACCTATACAGAGACAGAGGGAGAGGGGCTCCAAAGCCAAGAGAGGAGACCCCGCGTGCGGGGGATACCAGATAGTTATATAAGGAGGCTAGAGGAGGCGGTGTCTGGTTTGCATAGGGCTCAGGGGATTGGTTTGACCTGGCATGTCATTCACTTAGCCCGCGAAAAAACTGGCCCTCCCACCCTAGTCTTTTAGTATGCAAATACAGGGCTGCCATGATGTTCTACACACGTGGGGTTATGTGGGGACAACCATGCTGCTAGGCACTTGTAGGCGCAAGGTCAAGAGGACAACGGTGGAAATCGCCATGTTGGGTGTACCCAGTTTCTAATGGCTGGTATTTGCATATTAAAGGTTGCCGCCCTGGCTCTAAGAGCCAAGGCTTTCCTGCTAGACAAGAAACTTTTCTGGAGCGGCTTTAAAAGAGATGAAAATTTTCCAAGGAGCCCTTTTCCTCTCTATCTGCCTAAAATTATTTCTTAATAACTTCTATTATAGTATAGATTTCTCCACTAGCTAACCTGATGTTTTTCTTCTAACTTTCTTTCGGTGCAGCTTCAGTTATTCCTTCCAGTTTTGTCCTCTCCCTCCACATGACTGGCTAGCCAGGTCACACTGGATGAATAGTTCACTCTCGCTCAATACCTCCTGTTTGACATATATGAACTAGAGGTGGCTCATACCTGTCCCAAACATATATAGAATATATTTGACATCCTTGAGACGGCAAAATGTTTCTCCCTAGGAAGAGAATTCATGTAGCATTAAGAAAGAAACTCTACAGTGTCCTGGAAAATTTATCAACCTAAACAGTGAGACCCACCAGATGGAGCAAATAGAATCATTCCCTGGAGGCTTTCAGAAGCAAAGGAAATTGCTACCCTTGAGAAACGCCCTTGCCGCTGCTATAATATTTATTTCAGTCTTGCTCAAAAAGTATTTAGGTCATTTGCTGCAATCAATAGAATTCTCCATTAGTGTGAGGAAAGTTGCATTCTAAGATTCAGGGAAATCTAAAATACCCTCAAGGAATATTAAGCAGCTCACACAGGTCTACTCCTGGAAACTTATTTACTGTGACAGTGTATAAATGTTTTAAAACACTTGGCTGCCAAATATTAGTCCGCATTATGGACAACTTAAACAAAGAAAGTCACCCCGGCTAGGTTCCACCAGTTTCTATGCTCTGACCTGGGGAGAATGGAAAGGTTGGGGGAAGTGGAATCAGACCATTCTAGCTCAAAAGAGGAGCTCATTCTAGCTCAAAAAGCCTTCCTGCTTCTGGTGACTGGCTGCCTTCCCAATTATTAATGAAGAAAGACTCCTTTTTTCCATTTCCTAATGATGTCCACAGTTGAAGTGCAAACTGACTACAGCTGAGTATTTAAGTGGAATATTTCAAGGACATTTATCATAAGTGGATACAGAGACCAGGCTCCTGTTTCAGCTTCAAGTTTTAAATGTCAAACACCTGGAGACATAATTACTCAACGTTAAAATCATTCTATGAGTTCATTGCTCTGGTTCAGGGAAAGTCAAACTAGTAAGTTACATTCAAGACACCATTAGGGTGAGGAAGGAGGGGTTGAGGGCTGTTGGAGGGCAAGGCAGGAGGAGTCCACACTACGTCTTTAACCAGAGAGCCCTCTTGCCCCTTTACACATAGTGAATGTGTAATGCCCCATTAGTATATATCTCAGATGAGAAGAATGAAGGATTTCCTATGTATTCAAGGAATCAGAGGTACAAGCGACTGAAAATTTACTGACAGTAATGTCATATATAATTTGGACATGAAAAATTTTCTAGTGGGACAGGGATTTTAATATTAAGACAGCAGCTTCTGGCCAGGTGCTGTGGCTCACGCTTGTAATCCTAGCACTTTGGGAGCCAAGGCGAGAGTATCACCTGATGTCAGGAGTTCAAGACCAGCCTGGCCAACATGGTGAAACCGTGCCTCTACTAAAAATACAAAAGGTAGGAGGCAGTGGTGGCACATGCCTGTAATCCCAGCTACTCAGGAGGCTGAGGCAGGAGAATCGCTTGAACCCACAAGGTGGAGGTTTCAGTGACCCGAGATCGCGCCACTGCACTCCAGCCTGGGCAACAGAGCAAAACTCTTGTCAAAAAAAAAAAGCAGCTTCTCTGATTCAAATGTAAGTCAACTAGTATTTCTAACCTCTTAGACATAATTGCTTAGACCAAAAGGACCATTCACTAGCATCCACAGATATCCAGAACAGAACAGACATCTGTCCTTCATTTCAAATGCACATGAAAGGTAAGTAGATTCTCCTAGTTTCTTTACCCTCTGTGCCTAATTTCCCCATTCATCCACCATGTTCTTTTAGTCAAAGTCTGAATACAAGTGAAAAAGCAAAATAACGTGCAAAATAAGGATGGTCCAGTCAGTTCCACATACTTTCAGAAACCCTTGATTTAAAGATGTTTCAGGGCCAGGCACAGTAATCCCAGCACTTTGGGAGGCCAAGGCAGGCAGATCACCTGAGGTCAGGAGTTCAAGACCAACCTGGACAACATGGTGAAACCCCATCTCTACTAAAAATACAAAGATTAATTGGGCCTGGTGGTGCTTGCTTGTAATCCCAGCTACTCAGGAGGCTGAGGCAAAAGAAGCATTTGAATCCGGGAGGCGGAGGTTGCAGTGAGCGGAGACTGCACCACTGCACTCCAGCCTGGGTGACAGAGCCAGACTCCATTTCAAAAAGAAAAAAAAAAAAGTTTCAGAATTCCAAAGGGCAGGACTGACTTAACTGACCAAATTTCCTAGTATCTTTTTTTTCAGTTGGAGAGCCCATACTGTTTATTAACTGGCCAGATTAGAAAAATAATCATGGTAGACACCTTAGTTCGTTCTTCTGATAAGACTGTTAATCTGGTCCTCGCTGTTGCCAGCATCTCCACCTTCTACAAAACGGGTGGTCTTTTTCTACTTTCTACCTCGTGGAGAAGATAATTTGAAGGGCACGGGAAGTCACTTGCTTCTTTGAAGCACTTTCCAACAGTATAGATCTCATGAATCAGATCCTCCATGCAGATGATGCCATATTTATTAAGAGACACAGCAATCAAAGTGTTATCTGTCAAAGTAATTCCCTTCTTATTGATTTTGCCATAACCACGCTTGTAGATTACTTCATTTACTGACTTCAGATTTGGGTACTCCCATGCAATATGTGGTTCTACAATCCTCAGCATGTTAATTGAAGCCTTGTTGAGCTTCACAAAGGTTCCATTGAAGATTTGATGAGAGCAAAGAAGCTGCAACACCTTTCAGACCTTTGGGCTCACACCATTGATATCTCTGATCCTGATGACAAACGCCAATTTGGGTTCTGCAGGTACATAGATGTTGCCAGCTTTTCTTGCCAGCCTCGCCATTCGAATTTCAGTTCTGTACATCTGCCTACATTCCTTGTGATAGTGGTTTGCTTTTTGATAGATAAGTTTCCTCCTTGCCTTTCGAAGCATCTTTTGGGCAGACTTCTTTCTCAGGCGCTTGATCTTCAGCTCTGCGAAATTCCTTCCCTTTTTCTTAAGGTTTCTGGCACAGCAGGAACCTTCTTTTTCTTCTCTTCAACACCCTCCATGGTTCTAGCCAGAAAAGAGGACCCTAGTATCTTAATGCTCATGAAATACAGTATTCTGCTTCTACTGGGCACATGCAAGGGATTCCTGCTGTACTTGTGCAAAAATCCTAGCTAGAAAACAGCCTCTTGGCTGCCCCCAGCAATTCACAGCAGCCAGAAACTATCCTCTCCCCCTAGATGGCTACAAACACTCACTATCTTGTCATGCCTTGGCACATGACATGAAACTGACAAGGGTGGCTAAATAAAGAAGAAGAAAAAAGTCAAAATCTGAAGCTAGGTCACAAGGAAATGGTAAGTGAAAAGTCAAACTGAAAGCATTCCTAAGCCATGATTTTGCCTAAGACCATGAAAATCCTGAATACTGGTATATTATTATATGTATTCAAAATACTTGTTTTTCCTATTGCTTATACACTCATGCACGCATGTGCACATACACACACACACACACACACAGACACAACTAGCCAAGCATACTTTCTTTTCTGGAACAGCCAGTGGAAGCCCAGCTTGTGATTATTCCAAGGATAAAAGAAGAGAACTTTGCGGATTCAGTTACTCTAACTGAACACGAAACAAAGCATAACAATGCAAAGTAATTTTTAGCCTAATACAATCTCCATATTTATTTTATGAATTTACTCAATGCCACATTCCCAGTTAACAAGGATTACAAAGAAGAATGTGAGCAGACAGGAAATGCAAATTGCAGCTGTGTTAGAAAGCAAGTCACTCCCGTGTCATTCCCATTTCTTAAGTTAAAGACCCAGTTAGAAGCTAATATCAGTTTGTCTACAATACAAGGTAGACCTTAGGATAATCTCTCCACTCGTTAAAGTGTTGGCTTATACAACTTTTTCTCTTTTAGATCAATCTTCCTCCTCCTGACCAATTGCTGAAGAACATAAACTCTGTTTCCACCTATTTTCACCAAAACTGCATCTGATCACTTCAACTAGATTAATGAGCATCCTGGGGCTAGATGTGACATCTAAGTAAGAACTCATCGATGTTAACCAAGCCTAACTGCAAAACTCATCGAGTGATTTCACATAAGAGGATGTTTAAGAGTCAGAAAATTAGCTAAAATTTATCCTAGTTAAAGTCGGTGGTCAATTAACCAAAGCAGGAAATTTCTGCAAAATACTTGTTTCGCCTCCCAAAAGTAAAAGCTCCTACACAGAGATTCAAGGAAAATAAACGTCATTTAATTCCTACCCGTAGTCACTCACAAACGACTGGCCCTAAACCTTTCTGCATGATCGTTCATCCAAAAAGACAATGTCCAGAGGCAGGGTGCGGTGGTTCACGCCTATAATCCCAACACTTTGTGAGGCCGAGGTGGGTGGATCACATGAGGCTAGGAGTTCGAGACCAGCCTGGCCGAGGTAGCGAAACCCTGTCTCTACTAAAAATACAAAAATTAGCTGGCATGGTGGCGCATGTCTCTAATCCCAGCTAGTCGGGACGCTGAGGCACGAGAATCACTTGAACTCTGGAGGCAGCAGTTGCAATGAGCCGAGATTGTGCCACTGCACTCCAGCCTGGGTGACAAAACAAGACTCTGTCTCAAAAAAAAAAAAAAAAAAAAAAAAGGCAGAGTCCAAAGGTATTTTGCTAGGTGCCAGAAATACAAGGATAATTGGATATGACCTCTTACATCAAAAAGTCTACTATCTGATAGCCGGGCGCGGTGGCTCATGCCTGTAATTCCAACACTTTGGGAGGCTGAGGCAGGCGGATCACGAGGTCAGGAGATCGAGACCATCCTAGCTAACATGGTGAAACCCAATCTCTACTAAAAATACAAAAAATTAGCTGGGCATGGTGGCGGGCACCTGTAGTCCCAGCTACTCGGGAGGCTGAGGCAGGAGAATGGCATGAACCTGGGAGGCAGAGCTTGCAGTCAGCTGAGATTGCGCCACTGCACTCCAGCCTGGGCAACAGAGTGAGACTCCGTCTCAAAAACAAAAACAAACAAAAAAAATCTATCTGAGAAAAAAAACAAATAAATAGAACTAATTTTTGGACAATGTGTTATAAACTGGTATGAACAAAAGGTTACATAAGCACTGCAGAAAAAAACATTTAGAAGCTCAGAGAATCCCCTAGTCAAAATGACTTACAGTAGGAACCCAGTGACTATCTGCTGGATGAATGAATGAATGGATTTCGCAGGTGAGAAAGCGAGTCTCAGAGGGGCAAAGCAATTTTCCCAGAGTCACACAGCTCGACAGCAACAAAGAAGGACAGGAACCTGTATCCTCTAATTTGTAACCACTTTTCCACCTCACTACTCTCCAGAGGCGTGCCCTGCGAAATCCTGCAGCCACAGAGAGAATGGCCGTTTAATCTCTCACACAGAACCCCTGCCTCCTGGAAGCACAAAGATGCCTGACTTTGGATGAGTGTTCAAATCCTTGCTCAAGAGCTTCCAACATCTGGAAAAGCAAAAGACAAAGACCCAGAGCCAAAGACAGAACCCAAAAACGAATAAAGTCCTCTAAAAAGGACAATGTTTATAAAATTGGCTTTGAAATAAATGTTAAACATAACTGATACCAAATGGAATTAGCAGTAGCTTTAAAATATGACACAGTTCCTGGCCTTGAGAAATTTAACTGTACAGGCAAGAAATACACATGCAAGGTAAATGCCAATAGTAGGCAATGCAGGCTGATTCCTGACCAAGTGATCAGAATGAGGCAAGACAGCGTTCAGATAAGCATTTTACCGCAGCTTCCAGTGATCAGGGAAGTGTCTGCGAGGAAGGGAAACTAGGACAGAGCTTTAGGGAATGGATAGATTTAGATGAGAGAAGGAAGAAGGCCAGGGGCTTTGTGGAGTCAGAATGTGCAAAATCGGTATGAAAACAGCATGTCTAGCCAGAACATATTTATACATAGGAACCACTAGGATCAAACAATGGTGAATTCTGCACATTAAGTGAAGGAGTTTGGGCTTTGGATGTCAAGCCAGGGGTCCACCGGATATTTTTAAGCCAGTGAATTACATGATACAAAGTAGTTAATTGATGCATATACTTACGGTGTGCAGAATGAACAAGAAAAGCAATAGGGAAACCAGTTTCCTAACAACAGAAAAATTACTGAGGAGGCTTGGAAGCTTGAGTAGCCCGGTGACAATAGGATGAAAAACAACAAAGAGATATCCTTCGGAAAATAATACTGGATATGACTTAGAAACTGGTTGAAATCAGAGGCAACCATGATAATCCAGAGATTTGCAGGCTCCGTGGCTGATATTTTATTATTTTATTTTATTTATTTTATTTTATTTTATTTTATTATTTTATTTTATTTTATTTTATTTTATTTTATTTTTGAGACAGAGTCCCAGTCTGTCACTCAGGCTGGAGTGCAGTGGTGCGATCTCCGCTCACTGCATCCTCTGCCTCCTGGGATCAAACAATTCTTCTACTTCAGCTTCTCCAGTAGCTGGGCCTACAGGCGAGTGTCACCATGCCTGACTAATTTTTGTATTTTTAGTAGAGATGGGGTTTCACCATGTTGCCCAGGCTGGTCTCGAACTCCTGGCCTCAAGTAATTCACCTGTCTCAGCCTCCCAAGGTGCTGGGATTACAGGCATGAGCCACTGCACCCACCCCGTGTCTGACAAAATGTTGGTTTCATGAACAGAAAGCAGAAATTGGAGGCAGAAAATCCATTTTGTTTTAGAGAAATCTGTAGATGTTTGAGAGAAAAAGGAAAGGATCTTTTCTTCTTTGTCTACTAGATGAAAGTAGACAACAAGGAGCTGGAAATATGAGACGGATATGGCCGCCAAGTGATGATGCCAAACAACCCCTGTGCCCAAAAAGGGAACTACTGAGGGCCCCAGAACTGGAGGACAGTTCCCCTAAGAGGAAGGGGTAAAGGCACAAGGACAGAAACTGAGAAGAACTTTAAAGGGATGAGAGAAGAGCCAGGAAAAAAATGGAGTCACAGAAACCCAGGAGCAGACAATTTGCTGGAGGAAAAGTACCTGCCCAAGAGTGGTGCCCCAAAGACGCCAAGGGCGAGACCCGACATCACACCTCAAGAATAAGGCCAGCCTTGCTCTGCTCCACTCCTCTCAGGAAGCCAGGTTAGTGTGTGGAAATCTGGTACCCACCAGCAGCCTGAATTCGATTTCAGTTCTGTTCATATAATCATTTATTGTGCACACACAGGGATGCAGTTCTGATAAACGATCCTCTCTTTTTTTGAGTCAGGGTCTCACTCTGTCACCCAGGCTGTAGTGTAGTGGCACAATCATGGCTCACTGCAGCCTTAACCTCCCAGGCTCAAGAGATCCTCCCACTTCAGCCTCCCAAGTAGCTAGAACCACAGGCACGCACCACCATGCGTGGCTAAGTGTTTTATTTTTTATAGAGATGGGTTCTTGTCATATTGCCTATGCTGGTCTGAAACTCCTGGGCTCAAGTGATCCTCCCACCTCAGCATCCCAAAGTGCTGGGATTACAGGCGTCTGAGCCACTGCACCAGACCTAGGGAATCCTCTTTAAAGTATATCATAGTATTCTCAGCTTCTCCAACCATCCTAAGAATTACTAGAATATTCATGTTCATTAAAATTATTTTCCTATATTGTAAGCTGTAGGAGTTTAAAAAATAGGTTTCAGAGTCAGGGAGAAAGAAGCCTACTGTGTGTATAAATTTTACGTGCTGCTTAAAACTGTCTAAAGGACTGTAAAAGGGATACCACTGTGTTTCTTCTGAGCAGCCTAATTGCAAGCCTGCAAACACAAACAGGCTTCCAAGTCAGACCCACCTTATAAGGCCAAGACAACAGAAATAAACTCAATATGCATCAGTAGAACTTAAGAAAATTTTCCCTCTCACTTCTAGTTCAATATTTTTATCTATTCCTTTCCAAAGAAGGTAAAGGAAAAAAAAAGTTCCCAGAGTTTAAAATGTCGGCATTTGATTGATTAGAGTAGCTTTCCTGGCTTAACCAGTAAGTTGATTTGAACGGTTCATCCGTTAATACAGTAAAACACATGTTAAAGATTACAAATTGTTTAACAAGTTTTGACAAACAAGTCCCCTGGTGGTCTTGAAATTTCTGAGAAGCGGATGGAAGGGGTACAATTTTATAGATTCCCCTTCCTATCTGCACAAAGCCGCTGAGTTCTAAAGTAGGTATTAGTGCATATAAGGGACATTGTCAGACAATAAAGAGACACAATTGCCTCTGTTAGCACAACAATTAATTTTGTTTGCAGAGTACCAGTCAGTCCATTTGTTACCAGGAATGTGCTAATTATTCTTGCTAATTACGTGCAAAACATTCATTATCACCTATAAGTGGAGCCGGACCCCTCAGGTTTCAGTGACAAATTAATTACTGTGTTTTCCTTCTGAATGTATTTCCAGTCCGTTCTTCGTATTATCTGAAAAATAAATTGTTTAGCAGCCTGCTCGTCCTTCAGAGCCACTCATTAAAATGAAAAGTAGGCCTGCAGAGATAGATCAGTTTTCCTTCCCTGTTCTATTAGGGCAGCGGTTCCTGGAAGGCTTCAACTCCAATCATGGGCTTACAAATCCTAAAGCCCCATGAAACTCGTGCAGCTGAGTTTCATTAGGGACTGGGTACCTATGTGCAGCAGTAGCTACTCACTGAATCTCGGGGAAGAGGCAAACTGTGTCAATACCCAAGGAGGGAAGAACCGACACCCGATACACACACCTGCACCCTTCAGCCTTGCCTTGCAAAAGGTTTGGGTGACATTTTGTCATCTGGTTCAAATTTGGGGTATTTGAGTTTTATCTCTCCCCTCTACCCCCAATTTGGAATCTAGTCAATAAAAGGGAAAAAAAAAAGTCTGAATTGCCAACTTACTACTATGGCCTTTCCAGCTTGGGAAGAAACCCTACGGTGTAGATGCATGTATGTTTATTCTAAATGTGGACTGCAGCGGAAAGACTGGGATCTGGACATAGATCATTTTGCCTTGACTCCAGATTGCCTGGAGTTATTCTCTACTGTCTGCCTGTTCCTAACCGGAAAGAAATTAGTCTTCCTCTTCCTCTGTCTCCTCATCTTACCTTTGCTCTCCATTGTGGCAACCAACTAAAAGCCTTATGGAAAGAAAAGATGGATCGGCAGGGCTTTAGCCCCATTCTAACACGCATCCTCAATCAGTCATTCAGGGTTGGTCTTTACTCACTCCTCTTCACACCATTTAGTCTCACTTCCTGGAAGGTCTAAATAGAAAGCCTTTCAGGTGAAAAGTTTGCACCTGAAAGAAAGATGGGAGAAGAAGGCGGTGGAACCACGATTTCCAGTTCCCCAGAAACCCATCTAGCTGTGTGCATGGCTCCCCGGAAAGCCAGTGTCTCCTTTAACTCATAGTGGGTCCAGATTGGATTAGAGCCTGCACCATGCACAGAAGAACCCAGCTCCATTTCCATCCATCAGGCTCATTAACCTTCTACGCACCCAGCTGTAGTGGCTCATCTTGCAAAGAACAGGTTCACATGGTCCCGTGTGTCTGTATCCTTTGTTCTTTCCAACAGTTCTACCTTGTTGGTTCCTTCCTGTTTGTTTTGGCTCTTGTCAGGGTGCATGTGCCTTTTGTCTGTCAACATTTGGTCAATTTCTACAGTAGCTACATAATACAAATGCAAACAGTAGTTCTTGATCGTAAATGAAATAGGAAAGACGTTTCCAGTGTCATATAATTTACGCTTCTCACCATTTTCAATTCAAAAGAGTATTTGGAAACAGGAAATACAGGAAGCGAAATAACCCCTTGCTTAAGGTGCACATAAATTTCACACTGGCTGAATAACCCATTGTAGTGGATTTTTACCAGAATTTGGGTTTACAGGCTTATGGCTTTCGTGTTTTACATATGAAGGAAGATTGAATTTTTGGTTTTGATATCACATGTATTCCTTTCCTTAATTTCCTGAGGTTTATCATCATCTTGGCTGAAATGTGTAAGTTTAAACCGCTGAAACAAAACCTGTGTGTCCTAAAACCCTGGAACCAGAAAGCTCCTGCAACGGTCAAATCGTGGGCATAAATTCTGCCTGATTTCTACTATGATGAAAGAGAGAAAACTGCTACAACCAGGGCTCAGGGCTGAACTTCACCTCTGTGGCAGGCCACATCTGTCTCAGCCTCCTTTCTTCACAACCCTGCCCCTCTCTCATGTCCTGTGTCCCATCGGCTACCACCACATCCACCCTGTTCCTGCCTCCCCCAACTTCACCCCTCCCATCCCTTATTTTTGCTCGTTGAACACTGTTTGACTGTTTACTATACACCAGGCACTGTTAAATATTTTATATGTGTTACAAATACCATGTCTTGTCTCATATTATTTCAAAGTTTTGCTAATATTATCAAATCATTCAGTCTACAGTTTTCATGTGTTATTTCAGCCAGTCTCCTGCCACTTGTAGGTCGTCAAGGCATTTCTAGAGATCATTTTATTAACCCAAAGGAATGGGTTTCTAATGGTGGAAATGGCTGAGAGCACGGCAGCCTGATGATGGAATTATTTTGGAAGCAGCAGGGGGCCCTTGGCAGTCCATACCAAATCATACGAAGCATGTGACCACTTGGCCAACTGAAGCGTAAGTCCCTCCCATGCTTTCTATTCTTTGAGATGTTCAGGGATAAAGACCTGCCTCAGGAACACTTTGAAGGAATTCTACTCTCTCAGGTCCTTCAACCAAAGTCTAACGAACCTTCAATTCCTTAAGATTGCAGTTTTGTTTTTTTGTTTTGTTTTTTTGTTTGTTTGTGTTGTTTTGTTTTCTTTTTTGAGATGGAGTCTTGCTCTGTTGCCCAGGCTGGAGTGCAATGGCGTGACCTCTGCTCACTGCAACCTCCACCTCCCGGGTTCAAATGATTCTCCCGCCTCAGCCTCCCGAGTAGCTGGGATTACAGGCACCCACCATCATGCCTGACTAATTTTGCTTTTGTTTTTGTTTTCTTTTTGAAATAGAGTCTTGCTCTTGTTGCCCAGGCTCTAGTATAGTGGCACAATCTCGGCTTACTGCAACCTCTGCCTCCAGGGTTCAAGAAATTCTCCTGCCTCAGCTTCCCCAGTAGCTGGGATTACAGGCGCCCCCCACCACACCTGGCTAATTTTTGTATTTTTGGTAGAGGCGGGGTTTCATCATGTTGGCCAGGCTGGTCTCTAACTCCTGACCTCAGGTGATCCACCCACCTCTGCCTCACAAAGTGCTGGGATTACAGGCATGAGCCATGGCGCCCAGCCTAATTTTTGTATTTTTGTAGAGACAGGGTTTCACCATCTTGGCCAGGCTGGTCGTGAACTCCCAACCTCAGGTGATCCGCCCGTCTCGGCCTGCCAAAGTGCTGGGATTACAGGCGTGAGCCACTGCACCTGGCCAAGATTGTAGTTCTTTTAAAATAGTAGGTAACCCCTGCATTATCCTGAGGATAATTATCCGGCATGGAACCTGGAATGTCAGGCTGAAGAATGTCCGAGATCCTGGACCAGCCCTTTGGCAGGGACGGTGCAGAGCATGCACCTTTGAGCTAGGGCCAGGCTCTACCACTTACTAACTCCGTGACAAGTCTTGGCTTCTACGTGCATTAAATATGAGAATGTCACACAGGATGGTGAGGGTTAAAGGAGAAAAATTACCTAACTTTTAACCACCCTCTTGGCCAAGTAACTCCAGATATAATTAAATAACATCCTCATATTATGGGCAATACATATTGTTGCCTCACCCAACTCCTTGGAATTAAAGTAATTTGAATAATCTAAAAACAAACTTTCTCTTATTCAGCTTACCCTTTCAAAACAAAAAGATCCCTTGCACAAGTAATTAAACAAAAGGCAGTTTTACCAGAGTGGTGGCTCACAACTGTAATCCTAGTGCTCTTGGAGGCTGAGGCAGAAGGATTTCTTGAGGCCAGGGGTTTGAGACCAGCCTGGGTAACATAGTGAGATCTTGTGCTGACCAAAAAAATTAAAAAAAAATTAGCCAGGCATGGTGGCGTGCATCTGTAGTCCCAGCTTCTTGGAAGGCTCAGGCAGGAGGATTGCTTGACCCCAGGAGGTTGAGGGTGCAGTGAGCCAAAATTGCACCACTGCACTCCAGCCTGAGTGACAAAGAGAGACCCTGTCCCAAAATAAATAAATAAATAAATATAAAAATAAAAATTGGGAGAGTTTGCATAAAATCTACATTTCCAACTTATTATTATTTTTTTTAAATCAGAAGCTCTAACCATATCAGGTTACATTCCCGTATGGCGATAATTGGCTGGAGGGAGTGCAGGCTGCTGTCTTTAGCAGAGGCCTGTCCTTTGGAGGGCTCCACCCCCCACCCCCTCACCAACCCCGGCTTCCCATCTCCTCAACGCTATACCCCCCACCCCCGCCCCGCCACCACTTTCTGTGATTTTCTCTCGGGCTCACCCAACTCCTACGTTATCTGCCTAGCCTATGTTGGCCTGAGAGTTTCTGACCCTGTGCCGTGAATAAGTCATGAATGTATTGTTAATTTACTGATTCTTCTGTATTCTCTGAAGATTACATTTATGCTGGAGAAAATCTTGGCAGGAAAGAAAAGAAGGAAAGACTTTTGCCCAGTGCAATCTGATGAGAAGACAGAATTTCTAAAATGGGAAGGGTGGTTAAAGGTAAAGTCTTAGGGAAAGGGGTTGGGTCACAAAAGACAGAGAAACCAACAGGATGGATTGGACCTTGAGGGCTGAGCAGTATCGGAAATTCCAGCCAGGTCGGGGTATGGATGGGCCTCCTAAGTGGCCGATATATATGTGAATAACTTTTCCTTGGGAGTATGAGGCTGAAGGGAAGCAGAACCATTCCTGATGAGAAAAGTAACATGTTTGTGGTTTCTTCATTTTTTTCTTCTCTCTTCAAGGCAGAGTCTTGTTCTGGCAGGCGAGAGTGCAGTGGCACCATCATGGCTCACTGCCACCTCAACCTCCCTGGCTCAAGTGATCCTCCTACCTCAGCCTCCTGAGTAGCTGAAACTACAGGCACACACCACCTCTCCCAACGAATTTTTTTTTTTTTTTGGAAGAGACAGGGTCTCACTATGTTCCTCAGGCTGGTCTTGAACTCCTGGCCTCAAGCAATCCTTCCCTCCTTGGCCTCCCAAAGCACTGGAATTACAGGCATAAGCCACCATACCCAGCCACCGTGTTTATGGTTTCTGAGATGTATTCCAGAGCAGATTACTTTATAAAGCAATGTGCAACCATAAAACCCAACTGTATCACTTTACAGAAGTACAGAAGATTTTGAAGTCCGTTTGTTGCTGAGATTTATGATACACAACATGAAACCCTAGACCAGTAGAGACCACTCACAGATGAAAGCAGGCAGACAGCATGCTGCCCGAAAGACCAAGGTAATTACAAGCTCCTGAAACATGAAGGAGTGTTATTCACTAGGAAACAAGGGAGCTATTTAGCAATCAGGCAAATCAAAACAAGGAGAAAAAAACTGATTACAGAGAAAATCCTTTTACAACAAATTTAATGCTGGTAGTAACCTCTAATGATTCCATAGCCCGCATCAGCAGCAGCAAACTGGAACCATGGTTTACCATGGATAGTTTGTGACATAAATCCTATGTTTAAATAATACTCGGAACAGTTTCACTGTTGGCTGAAAAGAGTCGCAAAAGAGCACAGTTAAAAGGAGACTTGAAGATTACTTTGACTAAAAATCCTTATTTTACAGATGAGGAAACTGAGGTGCAAAGGTTAATTCCTTTGTCTCTCCAAAGCTAGTTGGTGCAGAATTAAACCGCCTTCCCTATCCCCACCAGTCTCCCAATTTCTGAAACAATGCATGGCATGTCATTGAAGGAAATGAGAAACTTCATGATGTTTTGAATTAAAAATTAACACTTCTTGGCTGGGTGCAGTGGCTCATACCTATAATCCCAGCACTTTGGGAGGCCGAGGCAGGCAGATCACCTAAGGTCAGGAGTTTGAGAACAGCCTGGCCAACATGGCGAATCCCTGTTTCTATTAAAAATACAAAAATTAGCCAGGTGTGATGGTGCACGCCTGTAATCCCAGCTACTCAGGAGGCTGAGGCAGAAGGATTGCTTGAACCCGGGAGGGGTAGGTTGCAATGAGCCAAGATTGCGCCATTGCACTCCAGCCTGGACAACAGAGTGAGGCTCCATTTCAAAAATAAATAAATAAATAAATAAATAAATAAATAAATAAATAAATAAAACACTTCTTTACAGAAGAAAATCAAAATAAGCAAAAAAAGAGGTTGAGTGGGTTTACTGTTCCTAATTAATTGATAAGAAGGGTATATCATTTGTAACTCTCATCGTCCACTAGGCTATTCTTATCTCCAAGTAAAAAATGTTTCAAATATTTAAAAAATGAAGCTAATTATTCAAAACAGCTGAAGCTCTAACATAATGCCTAAGAGAATTCATTTTTTGAACATTTCTTTGTTTCCAATGTGAATCCCAAGAAGATAAGACCGCAGACAGGTTTGGAGAAAGAAAAAACCCTACCTTTGTTTTCAGACCTGCACTTGACTCAGGAAATAAGTTAATAATTAAACTGGTTTCACTTTTGAAAAGCAAATGTAATCATTCCTTCTTCATTCCAAATGTATGCTTTACTTAGGAGTAGCGATGTCATGCTATTTGAAGAACTGTTTGCTCAAGCTCAGAATTACCCCAGGGCAATGTATTATTGATAAATCCATTTTCTTGTATAATCATCGCTTCACATTTACAACATTTCACAGGATTCTATCTGTAAACTTCACATGGTTTTTCTAGGCAAGGGCAGTACAGTCCATGTTACCCAGAAAAAGGGACCTTATTCCTTGGGGTTAACTTCTGTATTCAAATTTCCAAAGTAATGTGACAAGATTTTCTCACAGAAAACACACAATTGAGGTTACTTGTAGCTATAAGGCCTGCAACATTTTAAAACTCATATGCTTATCTGCATACATTTACATGTATTTAAAGCACCTCCATTCAAAAGCATAAAGGTCCACTTTCTAGAGATGGATACGGAGGGGATGATTGAGAACACAAAAGCTTATTTCAACGTTATTGGTCTCCACATTCATTTATTTTCTGATGACAGAGGGGTCAGCTCAGGACTTCCATGTTTAATACACTCCAGTAAAGCAGTATTGTGCTTTTCTTCTTCTTTATTTTTATTGTGGAGGTCGGTTCGTTTGTTTTTGGCTTGTTTTTGCTTTTTTGTTATGTGTGTATTGGGGGTTTATTTGCACAATGGAGGGAAGAAGCCGAGGCCAGCTAACGCAAGGAGAGAAAAAGGCTTGGGGTACTCTCGCGGAATACTCAGGAATCTCTCAAGTGTTTGAATAAACACATACCACACCAATTAAAAAAAAAAGCCGGTTTAGCAAAAAGACAAACATAGTCTTCTGAGCCTGTCCAACAGTCAGGCATGTTCGAATACATTCCTGGAGCCCGGAACAGCCCTCACACTTCCTTTTAGCCTAATGGGCCCTGAGCCCCATCTTTTGTCTGCTGATTAACTGCTCTGTTCATTGACCAAACCACTAATTGCATGTTCCTTATAGTTACCCTACATTACTGTAAGAATTAATGAGACACAATTACAGCTTCCAGAAATCTCAGGCCTGGCCAACTGCATGGTACTCCAAGTGAATTAGAACTCTTGAAGAGAAAAGAGGGGGGAAAGCTAGGCAATTGCTCACAGGAAGCAGAATTTTTTTTTGTTTAAAAATTTTTGTATTTATTTGAAGTTGTTTCATAATTAGGCCCAGGGGGAAGGTAAGGGGAAAGAGACAGGGAATGAACAAAGGACTGGGAACGCAGCTTTCACGGAGAAATCATGGTGGATGCAAAGAAACATGTATACTACAGAGTACCCAAAACTTAGGAAACAGGATGAACACGAAATCAATGCTATGAATAGGACATAAAGCCAATAACAAATTGGCAGTTTGAATACAGCATGTGTTACACATGGAAACACACTAGAAGAGTAATCTTTTAGTCTCATCCTCACACACAGATGCTATTTTGCCCAACTGAAGCAAAATGCCTATTTCTGATATTCCTCAACTCATGGAATTTGATGTTCCTTAGAACCCATGTCTCATTTGCCAAGGTTTGTATTAGAATTACAAAAGAATGAAGAGGGGGCATCTCTTTGTATAGCAAGGGGAAAAGGTGTAATTTTCCCTCTGCCAAATCGCTTCAAATGGAAAAAAAAAATGATTTTGAGTGTGGAAATAATTCCAGGGCACCTTACATTGCAATTATTCTAAAACTTTGTGTTGGGTTTACTGGCCTTGGTTTCCTTTGTAGATAGCGACTTGTTCTTGTGCCATTTCTGTTAAGATTACTTTATCAACAGCCTGATCAAAAAGTATTACTTTAACCCATTTTTTCCCAAATATAAAGGTATATTTTAAAATATTTACATACACAAATATGCAAGGATAGAGGATAGATACAGGGGCGGTAGATAGGGTTGGCAGGAAGAGAGAGAAAGAGATGACCAGTAAGTGATGGCCAGATAGAAAGATACAAAAACAGAAAGAGGGAAAAAGGTGGTAGATAGAGAGATGATAGTGGGAAAGGGAGATTGAAAGAGAGACCAGGAGAGAGAGAGTGGGAGAAAAAGAGGATAACTAGCTAGACAGGCAGATAAATAGAAGCTAGGATCCAGTTCCCAGTCCAACAGACTGAATCTTTAAACTTCAACTGTACTTTGGATATTAATTTGGCACTGAGGGAGCAGTGAAAAGAATGTCATCTCTTCAAGTTCAAGTTGGAAGACATCATATAAATGAAACATTTTCAGGGGTGTGAGAGGGTAAGCAGGACCATGAAAAGCCTATGGGGCCCTTATCAGGGCAGATAAGCACCCCCCCATGGAGGTGATAGGAAATTTGTCGAGGCTTAAGCAACTTCTCAGGGCCATGGAAAAGCATATATATATATATATATATATATATATATATATATATATATACACACACACACACACACATATACATATGTGCGTGTATATATACACACATATATATACATATATACACACATATATATACACACATACACACATGTTCAGTTTCTTAACATTTTTCAGAAGGCAGAAGAGAAAGTCTTTGTGTTTCAATCAGAAATCTTGCTATAAAGACATAGATTCAACCCAGGTGCCCATCAACAGTGTATTGGATAAAGAAAATGTGGTACCTATACACCATGGAATACTATGCAGCCATAAAAAAGAATGAGATTGTGTCCTTTGCAGCAACATGGATGCAGCCAGAAACCATTATCCTAAGCAAATCAGTGCAGGAACAGAAAACCAAATACCACAGGTTCTCACTTCTAAGTGGGAGCTAGAAGTTGGGTACACATGGTCATAAAAGTGGGAACAATGGACAATGGGGGATACAAGAGTGAGGCGGGTGGGAGTGGGATAAGGGTTGAAAAAAACTACCTGTTGGGTTCTATGATCACTACCTGGGTGAAGGTTTCATTCGTACACCAAACCTCGGCATCTACGTGTATCCTCTGATTCTAATATAGAAGTTGAAAAAAAAGAACGAGAAAAAAGTACTTACTATAAAGTCTGTGGGCTTCATGAGATTTCTGAAGAAAAGAGAAAGAGTATACTGAAAGGAAGAAGATATTTACGCAAACACAGAACCTATTTTTCATTCAACTGATATATTCTTTGATGAAAAAGAAGTTTGCTAAAACCTCTTTCTCTATCTTTATCACAATATATAATTTTTAGTGTTATTTTATTTATGCAAAATGATAATGTCATTTTATGAACAAATGTACATTGCCTTTGCACTCATTTCAAAATACAACCTACATGATCAAAAATATATATATTGCTATAGGAAGTGAAAGGAGAGTGAAAATGAATGATGCCCTGGTGCTCCTCAAACCAACAATTGCCAGGGCTCATGGAGGAACGGCCTCTCCACACAGCTTGTCCATTCCATCCAGGCTGTGTCACCTGCCATATCTCCTTCCTCCCTGGTGGAATCCTCTCACCCGCTCCTGCCTCTCAAATCTTATCCATGCTGTAAGGCCAGTGCCTTTACACATCAACCTCCAAACCCCATCCTCCCATCTAAGGAAATTTTTCTCTCTTCTGACATCCTAAGGCTTATATTGCTTGTACCAACTTGTACCAAACATTTGTCACTTAATCATATGTAGTCTCAACTTCTCTGTGAATAAATGCCTGGGCCTCTGTCTAGACTGCAAATTCCTCAAGGGAAGATGAGATAACTTCTTTCCCTCCCTCCACAAATGCCCTCCACCTCAGGGCTCTCAGCAGGGCCTTATGTACCTAGTGGGAGCTTAATATATATCCTAGGAATAAGTGGATCCAAGAACAAATTACTTAATATAGAGAAAGGCCATCTGAGTGAAAATGTGGGGAAGAAGTGGGAATAATTTGTCATGCCCTGTGGTTTGTGAAGAGACATGGAGAGGTTGAAGATAGGAGACAGGACCCAATGTCTTCTTTGGGTCTCCCTTATGGGATGGGAGAGTCTTTTGAAAGACTGTAAGGGGAGAGAAGGAGAGAGGGCTCTTTCTGGAGCTCTAGAAGTACAAGAACCATTACAAGGAAGAAATCACCCAATGTATGGGTTCGCTGGACAATCAGAACAGAGGAGAGGTGAGATGTAAGAACTAAGGTAGAGATTTAGAGCAAACGATTTGAGTATTGATATGGAAGTGCAGAAAATGGCCAATGCAAGCATCTAAGGAGAATGTTCATCTTAGTTTCTAAGTTAGGAATAGACCAGCAGGCAATGAAGAGAAGACAATGAAGGAAAGTGAGACTGAAGCAGGTAGGTTCCCTCTGCCTGAAATGCACAGAGCCTGGAGGAAGACGGTACCGTGATTATAGAGAAGCAGACACTGTTGCTGGTGAACTTGAAACAGGGCACAGAAGGGAAGATAGAACAAGCTCGCGTAGTTCTTTTCGGCAGGGGAAGACAGACCCCCACATGCACGGGACTTTTACCAGATTCAATTAGTTTTCAAACAACTGCAGATGTCATCAATGCCAGAACAAAGTTCAAGAACTAAAGTATAGTCCAGCTAAGAGGACAGCCTGCCTCAATGTTGTCTCAAAACTCTAATATGTAAATAATTATTCAATCTGGTCAGGAAGTAGTCATCTCAAATCTGAAATCTAAAGGAGTTTCAAGGAAGAAAGGGAAAGACAAACTCTATATAGTTGTTCCTCCATGGGGGACAACTCCATGCCGCATCCATGGGGGAATAGTTCCAGGACTCCCACAGACACCAAAACCCACAGGTATCCAAGTCCCTGATATAAATTGGCCTCGTGTTTGCATATAAGCTACGCACATCCTCTTGTATACATCATCTCTAGGTTACTTACAATACCTAACACAACGTAAGTGCTAGGTAAGTAGTTGTTATGCTGTACTGCTCAGGAAATCATGACAAGAGAAAAGGCTGTAAATATTTGGTACAGACACAAATTTTTTTTGACTGTTGTCTAGCCTCAATGGGTTAAATCCAGAGACACAGAACCTGTGAATGCAAAGGGCCACCTGTGCACTCCTTCCTGTCGGCCACATTGGAAAGTGCAGCAATTAGAGACGAATAGATGCAGAGAGGAGACAATTATTTTTAAGAGAGAAGTGACAAAACTACTTAAAGCCAAACATCTAGGTTTGTTTTTTGGTAGTGTATAGATTGTCAAAATAAATTTTCACTTCTCATCCAGATGTTTAGCATATTGTCAACACCATCAGAATTATCGATGTTATACCTTTGTGGATGTCATGTTGGGTGTTGGTAAATTATGATGATTTAGTTATGATTTACAGCTAGGCTCACTACCTACAGGCATTTACAAAATATTGTCAACCAAAACCCAGAACGAAACTAAATACATCATTTTATCTGGTTAATTTTTGTTTGTTTGTTTCATTTAATATTTTTTATTATTAATATTATACTTTAAGTTTTAGGGTACATGTGCATAATATGCAGGTTTGTTACATATGTATACATGTGCCATGTTGGTGTACTGCACCCATTAACTCGTCATTTAGCATTAGGTATATCTCCTAATGCTATCCCTCCCCACTCCCCCCACCCCACAATAGTCCCCAGAGTGTGATGTTCCCCTTCCTGTGTCCATGTGTTCTCGTTGTTCAATTCCCACCTATGAGTGAGAATATGCGGTGTTTGGTTTTTTGTCCTTGCAATAGTTTGCTGAGAATGATGATTTCCAGTTTCATCCATGTCCCTACAAAGGACATGAACTCATCATTTTTTATGACTGCATAGTATTCCATGGTGTATATTTGCCACATTTCCTTAATCCAGTCTATCGTTGTTGGACATTTGGGTTGGTTCCAAGTCTTTGCTATTGTGAATAGTGCCGCAATAAACATACGTGTGCATGTGTCTTTATAGCAGCATGATTTATAGTCCTTTGGGTACATACCCAGTAATGGGATGGCTGGGTCAAATGGTATTTCTAGTTCTAGATCCCTGAGGAATCGCCACACTGACTTCCACAATGGTTGAACTAGTTTACAGTCCCACCAACAGTGTAAAAGTGTTCCTATTTCTCCACATCCTCTCTAGCACCTGCTGTTTCCTGACTTTTTTTTTTTTTTTTTTTTGAGATGGAGTCTCGCTCTGTTGCCCAGGCCGGACTGCGGACTGCAGTGGCGCAATCTCGGCTCACTGCAAGCTCCGCCTCCCGGGTTCACGCCATTCTCCTGCCTCAGCCTCCCGAGTAGCTGGGACTACAGGCGCCCGCCACCGCGCCCGGCTAATTTTTTGTATTTTTAGTAGAGACGGGGTTTCACCCTGTTAGCCAGGATGGTCTCGATCTCCTGACCTCATGATCCACCCGCCTCGGCCTCCCAAAGTGCTGGGATTACAGGCGTGAGCCACCGCGCCCGGCCGTTTCCTGACTTTTTAATGATTGCCATTCTAACTGGTGTGAGATGGTATCTCATTGTGGTTTTGATTTGCATTTCTCTGATGGCCAGTGATGATGAGCATTTTTTCATGTGTTTTTTGGCTGCATAAATGTCTTCTTTTGAGAAGTGTCTGTTCATATCCTTCACCCACTTTTTGATGGAGTTGTTTGTTTTTTTCTTGTAAATTTGTTTGAGTTCATTGTAGATTCTGGATATTAGCCCTTTGTCAGATGAGTAGGTTGCGAAAATTTTCTCCCATCTCTCACCACTCTTATTCAATATAGTGTTGGAAGTTCTGGCCAGGGCAATTAGGCAGGAGAAGGAAATAAAGGGTATTCAATTAGGAAAAGAGGAAGTAAAATTGTCCCTGTTTGCAGATGACATGATTGTATATGTAGAAAACCCCATTGTCTCAGCCCAAAATCTCCTTAAGCTGATAAGCAACTTCAGCAAAGTCTCAGGATACAAAATCAATGTACAAAAATCACAAGCATTCTTATACACCAATAACAGACAAACAGAGAGCCAAATCATGAGTGAACTCCCATTCATAATTGCTTCAAAGAGAATAAAATACCTAGGAATCCAACTTACAAGGGATGTGAAGGACCTCTTCAAGGAGAACTACAAACCACTGCTCAATGAAATAAAAGAGGATACAAACAAATGGAAGAACATTCCATGCTAATGGGTTGGAAGAATCAATATTGTGAAAATGGCCATACTGCCCAAGGTAATTTATAGATTCAATGCCATCCCCATCAAGCTACCAATGACTTTCTTCACAGAATTGGAAAAAACTACTTTAAAGTTCATACGGAACCAAAAAAGAGCCCGCATCGCCAAGTCAATCCTAAGCCAAAAGAACAAAGCTGGAGGCATCATGCTACCTGACTTCAAACTATACTACCAGTCTACAGTAAACAAAACAGCATGGTACTGGTACCAAAACAGAGATATAGATCAATGGAACAGAACAGAGCCCTCAGAAATAATGCCGCATATCTACAACTATCTGATCTTTGACAAACCTGACAAAAACAAGCAATGGGGAAAGGATTCCCTATTTAATAAATGGTGCTGGGAAAACTGGCTAGCCATATGTAGAAAGCTGAAACTGGATCCCTTCCTTACACCTTATACAAAAATCAATTCAAGATGGATTAAAGACTTAAACATTAGACCTAAAACCATAAAAACCCTAGAAGAAAACCTAGGCAATACCATTCAGGACATAGGCATGGGCAAGGACTTCATGTCTAAAACACCAAAAGCAATGGCAACAAAAGCCAAAATTGACAAATGGGATCTAATTAAACTAAAGAGCTTCTGCACAGCAAAATAAACTACCATCAGAGTGAACAGGCAACCTACAAAATGGGAGAAAATTATCTAGTTAATTTTAAAGGTCAATTAACTTATTTAAACTTTTATTAAGGAAAAAATGGGTTAACTATAAAATTATGTTTAAACTATCAAGACAGTAAAGGACTTTAACTAGAAATTGCATTCATTTAAATATTGTGTTTTAATGAAAACAAGCATCTCAAAAAATCCTTAACCTCATTAATGTTATATTATGTATATATATTGTTATAATTCTAATATATAAAGCTTAAAAATAAGATTTTTTTAACTCATCGAATTGGTTCACAAAGATAGACAATAACTAGAGTTGGCCCACAAATAGGTAAGGAGAAGTTTAAATTGGTTCAAGCCTTTCAGAGAGTAATTTCTCACTAGTTATTACAATTGAAAACATGCATATTCTTTAAATCAGCTATTCTGCTTACAAAATTTTTCCTAAGGAAACATTCTCTGAGTGCACAAATATATTCTTTTCAGCATTGTTTCTAACAGTGAAAAAAATTAGAAACAACACATATTAAACCGTAAGCAATTGGTAACATAATCTATGGTAAATTGGTAAAATAAACAATGAAATAATAGGCAGTATATTTTAAATGAGCTTATTATCTATATAGACTAACCCAAAAAAGTACAAGCCATCATAAGTTAAAAAGTTAGAGCCAGAATAATATTCATGATGTACTAATATGCATCAGTAATAATTATAACTATTACAGCATACATGAGAAAATCTGGAAGAATATACATAAGTTAAAGATAGCTGTCATGAAGGAATGGCAGAAGTCAGAAAAGGATACATGAACCTATTAATTTCTATGCTACACATTTCTGTGTCCTTTTGAATTTTTTTAATAACAAGCATATATATATATATAAAGAGTATGGTTTAACGGTTTTTTTTTTTTTTGAGACAGAGTCTTGCTCTGTCACCCAGGCTGAAGTGCAATGGCATGATCTTGGCTCACTGCAACCGCCTCCTCCCAGGTTCAAGCAATTCTCCTGCCTCAGCCTCCCAAGTAGCTGGGATTACAGGTGTGTGCCACCATGCCCAGCTAATTTTTGTATTTTTAGTAGAGGCAGGGTTTCACCATGTTGGTCAGGCTGGTCTTGAACTCCTGACCTCAGGTGATCCGCCCTCCTTGGCCTCCCAAAGTGCTGGGATTACAGGCATGAGCCACTGCGCCCAGCCACTTTAACTCTTTAATTCCTTCCCAGCCAACATCAGCCATTCTACTGCTTGAGAATATACAAATTTTTTTGTTCCTGAGCAACAAAGCAAATACCATTACAGACATACCCACATGAACCAGTCAGGTACCTGCTCAAACTCTCCAGGTTTTAATCAGTTAATTTTCACATCTATCATTAGCTAATTCCATCATATTTCATGTTCAAAAAATGTTCAGGAAAAGACTTATAACCATACCCAAAGAAGATGGAAATAATTTCAGAATTTCTAAATTAACATTAATTACTCTTAAAGTAGTAAGATTCTTTGTAGGTAACATACTCATCAGATTTTAAAGTATTTCAGCAGCACATGTGTTTTTATATTTTCAAAAGTCTATAGTGAGCCCATTTTATATTTGAAATAAATTTCAAAGGTCATGTAAATATCAATACATGGACATGTCACTCACCAAAGCTCTTTCAGCTACAAATATATAAAATCAGGATGCTTATGTCATATATAAGCAAATCTATACTTAGTTTAATGCCCCACAATGGAATCAAATGTCAGTTTTAAGGGCTGTTGTCACATGGTTTTGAAAGAATCACTTGGCTTTCTCCCCACCTCAGCACAATGTGTATTTTCATGCAGGGTTATATTTTGTACATTTGTTCTTATATAAGGCTATGTTCACAATGTGAGTTGGCTGCTTTTTAAAATAAACTCTGCAAGAATGAAATCATAGGGGAGTCTTCCCACTTCTGGTCTGGCAATGGAAGAAGCTGAGAAGTCTCCACTCTGCTCTAACAACAAGGAAAAAGCTGAGGAAACTGAAAATCAACCTTTCTTAGGTTCTCGGCAAAGGGAAGTCATAGGGCAAAATATAGCCCCCAGAACTGGAGGGTCAGAAAGGCAGATAAAGAGAATTCCATCACCAGCGGAGAAACCCATGAGCACAAACTTCCATGGGAACAAGTGTGAGGGTAGGAAAACCTCAACTGTGATTGATGAATTGCTGAAGACTCAATTTGGACAAGACTGAAAAATAAAAACTCCAGGGAGGCTGGATGCGCTGTTTCACGCCTGTAATCCCAGCACCTTGGGAGGCCAAGGAGGGTGGATCACTTGAGGCCAGGAGTTCAAGACCAGCCTAGCAACATAGTAAGACCTCATCTCAGCTAAAATTTTTTTTAAATAATTAGCTGGGCATGATACTGTGCACCTGTAGTCTCAGCTACTCAGGAGGCTGAGGCAGGAGGATTGCTTGAGCACAGGAGATTGAGGCGGCTGCAATAAGCCATGATTGCACCCCTGTAGTCCAGCCTTAAGACCTTGTCTCTTAAAAAAACACAAAAACAAAACAAAAACTCTAGGGGGACCCAATTGTATGGAGAATCTCCTATGAGTTTTACCTCCAGAACCTCTACCACATCCTCACAGTAAATACCAGGAAAAAAAAATCTTCTGTTTCCAGCAAGGAGAGGGGAACAGGAATAATTTCAAAATATGCCAGAGCTTTCTGTTATCCTGGAAAAGGCTTGCTCTGCCCTCAGGAGAAACTATTTTACCAACACCTAACTTGCTAGAGTATTATCAGAGCCAAACCTAACTTGGAAAAAAGAAACACCCAACTCCAGCAGCCTCTTGCCATCCTGTCCCTGCTAAGGGAGCTGTTGAAAACCACTGGTGAAGATTACAGCATAGTGGTACAGGTTGACCAAAACTGAAACCTGTAGAACTATAGAAGACTTCCCCTTGACCCACACCTTACCATCACATTACTTATCTGTTTACCATAGTCCCTTTTAGCCAGTAAATAATGTCTGCCTTTCAACAAAAATTTACAAGGCATACAAAAAGACAAGATACATAGTTTGAAGAGATTTTAAAAACCATCTCTACCTGAGTCAGATAGGGACAATGGAATTATCAGAGCAGGAAATTTGTTAAACTCTAATATAATAAAGGCTTCCAAAAACAGACAACATGCAAGAGTAGATGGGTAATGGGAGCAGAGAGATAGAAATTCTAAGAATCAAAAAGAAGTGCTAGAGATCAAAAACACTACAACAGAAATGAAGAATGCCTTTGATGGGCTGTAGATTAAACACAGATGAGAAAAGAATCTCTCAGCATGAGGATATGATACTAGAAACATCCAAAACAGAAAAACACAGAGGAAAAAAAGTTGGGGGAAAAAACCCAGGACACTGTATCCAAAAACTCTGGAATAACTACAAAAGGTATAACATACACACACAAGGGCATCCCAGAAGGAGAAAAAACAGAGATAGAACTGGAAACAATATTTTCAGCAACAGTGACTGAGAATTCCCCCCAAATTAATGTCAAACACCAAACCACAAAGCCAAGAAACTCCAAGAACACTGAGCAGTATAAATGAAGGGAAAAAAAGCTACAGCTAGGCATATTAAATCCAAACTTCTGAAAATGCAAGCTGTTCTCTTTTTAACGAAACTGCTACTTTTTAAAAAAATGGCTGGTTGTGTTTAGAAACTTCTTGAATAGCAACATTCTTCTCATATTTTTTTCTACGAAAAGTTTTCAAGAAGAAGTTAAAACCTTGATTTAGAAATCATGACTCTTGTTCATTAAGCCAAGTATGAGACTGTTAAAGACAAGCTATCTCTCATTTCTACTGAAGAGTAACTGGCTAAGTGTGAGACAAAAATATGAGTTTGGAATGAATCTTTACTTGTTCTATTTCATCAGGGGGAGTTCAAGCCTCTCTCCATGGCTCCTGTACTCCAGAAAATGTCTGTTTACATTTCTGCCGATTGAAAAAAAAAGCATTGAGATTAAAGGGACTGTCACTGTAAATTTTTATATATGTAAATCATTACATTTGAAGATAGTCTATGTTCACACTAAAAACATTTTCTGAGCACTATCTCTTTGCATGTAAAAAGTGAAGATGATATTTAACAGAACTGAATAATGCCAGGAAAAACAAAAGAAGGAAAAAGCTGTTTTGTATTGTTATTATTTGCCAGGCACATGCCCATAGTCCCTACATTATTTAATGCCCTTTACAAATTGGTATGATTTGTAGTCCCATTTTGTAGTAAGTGAGTAATTGAGGCAGAGACAAAGTACTGAATAAGCCCTACATCATACAGCGAGGAAAGACTGGAGCTGGTTTCAAACCCTGGTCTTCTTAGTCAAACTCTAGTGATCAGCCTATTCTATCTGTTACTCATCTATTTCTAATTAGATTATAAAATCTTTCTACCTGAAATACCCACATTATTGCTTTACATCTCAACTTCCATTTTACAAGTAATAGGAAATCTGCAATCACTGGTAGAGTAATCAACTCTGGCACAATCTTTCCATGAAAGAAGATAGAGAGACTATTAAAATAATGTATATTGTGAGCTCAAGGACAGTCTCTTATATGCCTAGACTTATCACAATACTTGATAAGTGTTGATAAACTTTTTCTTAGAGGCAGGATCTTGCTATGTTGCCCAGGCTGTAGTGCAGTGGTATAATTATAGTTCACTGAAGCCTCAAATTCCTGGGCTCAAGAGATCCTCCCACCTCAGCTTCCTGAGTAGTTGGGAATACAGGCATGTGCCACCATGCCTGGCTATTTTTGTAATTTTTTATAGAAACGGGGTCTCACTATGTTGCCCAGGCTGTTCTCAAACTCCCGCCCTCAAGTGATCCTCCTACCTTAGCCCCCTGAGGGGCTTGGAGACCAGAGCCACTGCACCCAGCTGATAAACTTTAAATTAAAAGGATCTCAGAAAATAATTGTAGTTCTCAGTCAGATATTTTTCTCTAAGCAAATCTTAGCCTCTCCACCTCCACTCCATACCTCTGAGCCTGTCTCTCTTGAGAGCACAGCAGTGATGGGCACAAGTAGCTGGGATCCTAATGGTCCATGGGGAGAATTCTCCCAAAGTCCCTAGAAGAGGTTCCCCATGCTGTGTTACTGAAAGGCTAAGCAAAGACTGCAATTGGTCTCTGACATGCTGAAACCTCACTCTGTTTTTGTTTTGTTTGTTTTGAGACGGAGTCTCACTCTTGTTGCCCGGGCTGGAGTGCAGAGGCACAATCTCAGCTCACTGCAGCCTTCACCTCCTGGGTTCAAGCGATTCTCCTGTCTCAGCCTCCCAAGTAGCTGGGATTACAGGCGTGTGCCACCACACCTGGCTAATATTTTGTGTTTTTAGTAGAGATGGGGTTTCACCATTTGGCCAGGCTGGTCTCAAACTCCTGACCTCAGGTGATCCACCTGCCTCGGCCTCCCAAAGTGCTGGGATTACAGGTGTGAGTCACTGTGCCCAGCCCCTGAAACTTCACTCTGTACAGGTGCCTTCCTTCCTGGGCCCTCACTCCAACCCTGATCTCCATCCTTGCCACTTGCCAAAAGCAAGAAATTCTAGTCAGCTGTCTTCTCACATATTGTTATCCCCAAACTACATTCCTTCCACCTGTCCCTACCTCCAACTTCTGCTGACCCTCCTCCCAGCTACTTCCACAGTGTTCTCTGGACGCTTCATTGCATTTTAAATACATTATCTTAATCCTCAGCCTCTCATACCTTGGTCCCTTTCTCCTATGAGTTTATAGATTCTGGCTACATCACACCGTTTCTTTTCTTTATAGTCATCTACTAAATCCAACTATCAAAACCATCACAGCCTACACCCCCTACTCCATCCACCCCCCGCCCCCACATACACACAAACACTCATTTATTTATTATTACTTTGGCAGTGGTTTAAGTTTTTATTTCCATCCCATCTTCTACCATAGTGGCTGCATGGCACCAATGTCCACATAAAGGAGTGCCACTTTCAGGGAAGGTGGAGAGGGTCATGAAACACCTTCATTGCTATTATAACAGAAGACACCAAATATAGTACAAGTGTGTACTCGTGATCAGTGGCTCCAAAGTCCCCTAACTGGGCTAAATTTGAGAGAGAAGCAAGCCCTTCATAGACAAGCAAAGCTCAGCAGCCATAAACATAGTTCTAGGCCCAGCACAGTGGCTCATGCCTGTAATCCCAGCACTCTGGCAGGCCAAGGCAGGAGGATTGCTTGAGGCCAGGAGTTTGAGACCAGCCTGGGCAACATAGCAAGATCCCATCCCTACTTTTTTTTTGAGACGGAGTCTCAACCTGTGGCCAGGCTGGAGTGCAGTGGCACAATCTCGACTAACTGCAATCTCCACCTCCTGGGTTCAAGCGATTCTCCTGCTTCAGCCTCCTGAGTAGCTGAGATTACAGGCATGTGCCACCACTCCTGGCTAATTTTTGTATTTTTAGTAGAAACAGCGTTTCACCATGTTGGCCAGGATGGTCTTGATCTCTTGACCTCATGACCTGCCCGCCTCAGCCTCCCCAGAAAAAAAAAAAAAAAGTTTTAATTAGCTAGGCATGGTGGTGTGTCCCTGCAGTGCCAACTATTCAGGAGGCCAAGGTGGGAGGATCACTTGAGCCCAGGAGGTCAAGGCTGCAGTGAGCTATCATTGCACCACTGCACTCCAGCCTGGGCAACAGAGCAAGATTCCGTCTCAAAAAAGAAAAGAAAAACCATTAGAACAGTAACATTTGAATCTCTTGGGCCCAGTCTAGAAGCTTCCCTGTGTCCAAGGTCAGATGCTGTGTGCTCCAAATGCCAAAAGAATAGGATCACTGGAAGATATCTTTAAGGAAAACATCTCTGAAGTTCTGAATGGAATGCAAAAGTCACATCTGTGAGCCCACTCCTTGCCCCTCTTCTGATAGTTCCCCATTACATGTTGTATAGATGGTTGGGGGTGGTAACCTGGGAACAGGTGATTAAACATGAGCAAGGGCATAATTGGTATAAAAATGTGTGAAATGTTTTATAGGTGCAAAGCTGGGGCCCCACAGCACCTGTGCCCAGGGCAAGGGCCCCTTAGGGCAGTAGCAGACCAATCCATTCTCCTAAGACTGAGCCAACCAGACTGGTCTGACTCACTGTGCCCACCCCATTGGGAGGCCCCAATTACTACCATTTCTTCTGCCCAAGCCCTGCTCTCCATTCCTTCCAAAGGCATCTTGACTCAGGGCTGTGTCTCTCCCCTTGCGTCCCTACCTCTGCTCCCACTCTCAATTAGCTGCTTTGCTGGTGTGGTCACCACCCTCTTACCCAATGTCTTCAGTGGCCCCAATTCCCTGTGTGCTAAAATCCCAGTCTCATCAGCATCCACCACCTCCTTTGGTATTGTGACCAAGCACCAAGGCACTTCTTGCCTCTGGGCTTTGTGTACACTGTCCCCATGCCTGCCCCCCTGGATTGCCCTACTCCCCATCCCTGCCAATATCTAGTTTTAAGCCAAGACCCAACAGTCACCTTCTCTAGGGAGCCCTTCCTGAATTACTCCCCCTCCCACTCTCTACTCCCCAGCAAAATGAGCCCCTCCTCCTTGCTCCTGGCACAGTACCTGCAGGACTGCTTTGCTCTTGCTTATTGCCTGGGGGTCTCCCTACAACCAGGCAGTGCCCTAAGATCAGGGGCCGTGTCTGGCTTCCATTGTAACCTGAGTATCAGGTGCAGTGCCTGCCATAAAAGAATCCACTGCGCGGATGAATTCTTAGAACTGTCACTGTACCTAGATGCATAGATACAAGGAAATTTTTAAATAAACTGCTTTGTGCAAGTGATTCATGCCTGTAATCCTAGCTACTCCAGAGGCTGAGGCGGGAGGATTGCTTGAGGCCAGGAGTTCAAGCCTGGGCAACATAGCAGGACCCCGTCTCTATTTAAAAAAATGCAAATAAACTAATTAACAGCCCCTCCTTAATCAAAAGATTTACATTGGAATCAATCAGCAGATTCAACATAACAATTTCCTAAAATAAACAGCAACCCCCAAAAAGGATATTACTCACCACAAGTATAATAGCGTCAACATCATGGTTAATTTAATTAAACCAAGTCAAGACATCCACAGCAAGATCCCTGCTGATAACCAAATCTATAAAGCATCTAAGTGTGTTCTCAGAGGCTAGAAAAATAATTATATTTTCTGCAGGCATTATTAAACATCCATAAATTCTAGATATTCCAAAAGAGAGAAGTAAACACACGACCACCAAATTCTGTTCTGTATTTTTTTAAAAGCTCATTCTTATTGAAAACTGTGGTTCTCTGGAATGTAAGTGCGTGAGACCTCCTGCTAGTTTCAAATCTGAAACTGTGGCAACCCTTGTGAGCCTGGATGTCCCTGAAAGCAGAGCTAGGGACAAAGGCTAGTGTGCAGGTAGTTTAATTGGGAGGTGATCCCAGGGTGCAGAAGGGGAGGATGAGGGAGGATGAAACAGGCCAGGGGACAGCTGCAGTAGGGATGTGTCATTGAATTGGTCACTGCTGCAGGCAACCGGTGCTGGATCCTGCCACGACCCTCTCAGGGGTCTTATTGAGTTGCATTTGTTATTGAGATGCAAGTCAGAGCTGTCTGCCTGGAGGAGGGAAAGGAAAAACATGCATTCATTGACTTTCACTCCTATTGGTCAAGGGGGACCCCTCAGGCAACAACTCCCACAGAAACTTCCCCCTACACACACGCACGCACACGCACACACATGCACACATGCACCCACATGCACATGCATACACGCACATACACATGCATACACACACATTCCCCCTACACACATGCACACACACGCACATACACACATGCATACGCATATATGCACATGCACGTATGCGTGCACACACATGCATATGCACACTTGCAGGCATGCACCCACGTACACATGCATGCACACGCATACACACATGCAGGCATGCACATGTATACACACATGCACACACATATATACATGCAGGCACACACTTCCTGGTTGCTTATGCCTGAGTGTTGAGCCAGTCCCCATGGTTAGGTATCCCACCCAGAGAAGCTTCAAGCCAGGAAGGGACAGGAACTTGTCATGCTGAGGTGATGCCACTGTCAGATTACACAACTGGAATAAAATGGGACTGAGATGCTGGTGCACATCTGGGCCTGATATGCGCAGGAGCTCTGCCCCAGCCCACCCCCAGTTCTCAGAACGTACTCAGTATGTAATTGAATAGACAATGCATTATAATGCACATGTGTGTAATTTAACAAATTTTTGAATATGATAACCTATCAAGATATTCAGAAACCTACTATAAGATTTTCGATTATTTCATTTTATCCGCAAACTGTAATCCTCGTTTTATTAACCTAATGGTGCCTAACCCACACAAGAAATGTAATGGACCAGTCATTCCCTTATTCGTTCAACCAATCCATATTGTGCATCAAATATGTGCCTCTCAACGTGACACCTGCTAGAAATAAGAAAGATGGGCAAGGCAAGATTCCTACCTTCACAATCCAGAGGCGAAGCTCTGCGCTGCAATGGAGCAGGGAAAGTGCTGTACCAGAGGATGAATGGAATCACAGCGGCAAAACATAGAGGCGGCCCTGCTCACCCATGCGTGGGGGAGAAATGGGACTCGGGAAACAATTCCAAAAGGAGATGATGCAGGAGTTTATGTTTGGAAAATAAATTTAAATTAGCCGGATCAGAGAGATAAGGAAATGAATTCCAGACAGGAGGCACATTGTGAGCAAAGGCACAGAACCAGGAGAGAGATCAACCGATCTGTTCTGGAAACTGTAAGTAGGTGTGTGTCACTGAAGCCAGGGGCATAGGGGTTGCCAGCATGAGATGAGCATGAGGGGCAAGTTATCAGGGCTTTGTGTTTCAGACCAGGCCTCGATGCACGGGAAAAGGGACTGGACTGAAAAAGAAATATTGCTGCAATCAGGTTTGTAGGCCTATGGAGAATGGTTGGGGTGAAGGGAGACAAACTGGAGAACAGGAACATCACTGAGGAGGGAATTGAAATAGCTGAAGTCCACACGTTCAGCAAATATTCGTTAAGTGTCTAGTATGTGCCAAGTATGGTGGTGACATTTGTGATGATAGTGCCAGGAAGTCATGATGATGGTGCAGTGGTGATGGTAGCGGCAGTGCTAGTGATGATGGTGGTGATGATGGTGGGGGTGGTAGTGATGGTGGTGGTGATGGTGATGGTGGTGGTGATGATGATGGGGGTGGTAGTGATGGTGGTGTGATGGTGATGGTGGTGGTGATGGTGGGGGGTGGTAGTGATGGTGGTGGTGATGGTGATGGTGGTGATGATGGTGGGGGGTGGTAGTGATGGTGATGATGATGGTAGTGGTGATGGTGGTGATGATGGTGGTGATGGTGGTGATGGTGGTGGTGGTGATGATGGTGATAGTGGTGATGATGATGGTAGTGGTAGTGATGGTGGTGATGATGGTGGTGGTGGTGATGGTGATGGTGGTGATGGTGGGGGATGGTAGTGATGGTGATGATGATGGTGGTAGTGGTGATGGTGGTGATGATGGTGGTGGTGGTGGTGATGGTGGTGATGATGGTGGTGGTGGTGATGATGGTGGTGGCGGTGGTGAAGATGGTGGTGGTGGTGATGGTGGTGATGATGGTGGTGGTGGTGGTGATGGTGGTGGTGGTGGTGATAGGGTTGGTGATGGTGGTGATGATGGTGGGGATGGTAGTGATGGTGATGGTGGTGGTGATGGCAGTGATGATGGTAGTGATGTTCATGATTGTGGTGTTCGTGGAGATAATTTTTATAGCATATGTATATAGCATTGTCTCTGTCCCAGACAATTTCTAAGTACTCAGCATATATTTGATTCATTTGATGTTTACAACAACCCTATGAGGCAGACACTCTATTATCGCCCATTTTACATATGAGGAAACTGACAACCAATTGATAAAGATTAAAACAGGGTAAATCTATAGGCAGTTCAGCCAGGCAAGGCCTTTCTGAGAAGGTCACTTTTATGCTAAGAGCTGAATGACAGGAAGGTGCCAACACACGAAGTTCAGGGCTAGGAGGGAGGGCTCTTTAGAGGAGGGGGACACATCCAGGTGGAGAGAAGCAGAGCAGAGGCCCTCCACAGTGCGTTGCCCTGGCTAGGCTGCAGACTCTGGAGAAGGCCAGGGAGGCTTTAGTCACCAGAGCTCTTCAATTGATTACAAGCTGAGGTGGTGACAATGTCCTGGGTCAAGTGTCAAACACACAGAGCAGTGGACATGGGTGGGAAAAGAGCAGGGAGCTAAGAGATTTGGGAAGTGAAATGGACAGGGCTCGATTGGTACTGGATCAGGAAAGTGAGTGACACCGGACAACCCTTGTAGACCACATGTGGCAAAGCACTGGCCACGCTGCAGCCTCTGTCCCCGCCGTTCCTTATGCAAATAATGTCTCACTGCATCCTCCAAACTGCCTTTCACTTAGGTACCATATGCCCATTTTTCTCATGAGGATATTGAAATTTGAAGAAAATAAATAACAACTACAATCATACAGATAGTAAGTATAATAGTAATCAGGAAAAAAAATCCAGGGACTTAAGCCATTACTACATGTGGCTCTTACAGAGCGCCTGGCCTCCTAACTGCTTCCACTTCTACCACTGATTCATCAGTTTCTGGGGTCAAACAGATTTTCCGGCAATCGCTCTAAATAATTGAATAATTTGTATTTTTAAACAGATCTAAAATATGTTTAAAATAACAAAAATAGTCAGAAATCAAAGTTGTATTGGAAGTATCTTTATTACAGTGCCATAAACACTAATCCATAATGAGATATATACACACTTCTTTAAAACACGTTATCACAACCAGTTTAAATCAGACTAAGCAAATAATCACAGATGTGCCTAAGGATATAACACATAGAGATTTCGCTGCAGCATTGTTTACAATGACTAACAAAAAGAGAACAAACCAAATGCCTAACAATATGGTCCTGGTTCAATAAATTATGGGGGATTTTTCAAAAATAAAATTATTGCCATTATATGGAAGAATATATAATAATGTGGGAAGATACTCACCATATATTAATTGGATATACCAGGTTATAAAAAAAAATAGGTGCTGTGTAATCTAGTCTTCATTAATGGGTGGTTAGATTCATGCACATGTACAGATGTGCACGGATGGATGGCTAAGTGGCTGGGAGTCCAACATAAATGGAATAGAGGTTATCTCTGAGTGGCTGGATTATGAACGATTGTGGGGGGGGTGTGTGTGTGTGTAAATAAATATATATATATTTATTGAAATTGTATAATGTTATATATGAATGCTTATAAATATTCTATAAAGAATAGATATTTTAGTCTATAAGAATAAATAAAAATAAATGTTCTTTTAAAAATACAACATGGGTTTACCCCAGATTACATATAAAGAAACAAAGGTCTTCAGAAGCTCAAAGCCTGAGAGTTTGAGGCTGCAGTGAGCCATGATCATGCCACTGCACTCCAGCCTGGGTGAAAGAGTGAGACCCTGCCTGGAAAAAAAAATGCACAAAGTTACATAGCAACATGAACAAAAGATGTCAGGATCGAAACCTTTGGTATCAAAATCTCTAGTCAGGCCCTTAACCACAAATTCAAAATGCCACACTCCTTAACTCCCTAGAAAATTAAAAATTGGTTGAGTCTGTCTAAACAGGCTTGAGCTGCATCTTTAGTGAAGACTCTTTCCCTCCCTCGTATATAGTTAAAAACAACTTCAATTCACATGAAACAGAGAAAATGTTAAAAGCTTTTCTTACTGAGTAACATAAATGTAAACAATGTAAAGAGCTCTCAGTTGGTTTAATCTAAACAAACAAAAAAAAATATTAAGCATTCCGCCTTGTTGTACTTCTTCTCCAGAAGATAGACTCTTCATTAAACTTTTCACCTTTCTAATTTACTAACTCTGCATCCTGCACGGTGGGTGGTTTTCTTTCCAGACATTGTGACGTGGATCAATGTAGAACGCAGGAGTCCCTGAATGGAATTTACAGCTGAATTTCACCAGGCATATTTTAATAAGATTAGCATATCTTTGTCTTTCAACACTAAGTACCTTACAATTAACTGAATTTAGACAGCATATTGTTTCATCAGAAGTGAGATTTGAAGTCTTCATTTCCATATTTATTGATGTGCTGTGTGGAAGGAAGTCTAAGTAAAAATTCCTGCATCTGCCATGGAGAGATTCCAACAACGAGGATGTGTTCACCTGTGCAGGAAGCTCATGTAGACACAAAATCTCGCCTCCTCCACACTTACTTCTAGACAAAGTCACCATGGCTTCTGCTGGGGGGAGAAAGAATTGGCTAGGAATGCCTCTGTGCTACAACTATGGGTACTCCTTCTAGATGGCAGGAAACTCAAAGGGCTTGGGTGATAACATCACTTAGGTGCTGCTAAAACCAATCCCTCCAGAAATGCCCATGAAAGACCATTTTCACAACCTGTGGTCTTCCTTGTTCCAATCAGGTGACCAGATGAACACTCTCAAAGCTAAACAAATCAAGACATCTTCTTTTGGATGAATTCGAAATTAGCCAAAGATCTTAAAAAACATTTCCATGATGTAACCACAAGAACATGATTTTTAAAAATCAGTCCCAAGGGGTAGGAAAGAGGACCCTTTTTCATCTTCAACTTTGTCCATCTTGGAAAGCATGTTTTAAAGAAGCCATCCAGTTAAGAGTGTGTCTACACAGGCATTACCCACTGAGAGCTACCTTGAAGGGAAGAAAATTAATTTGGCAAATTGCTCAATTCCTTACTGGAAGCTGTGAACTTGGCAGTTGGTCACGGAAGGGGCAGGCTCTGTTTACTGGACGTAATAAGCAGAAGAGGAAGCTCTTCCCAGATATGAGGACCATCTTTTCGTGAGGCTGCAACCAAGGGGATGTAGAGAAATCTCCTTCCCCACTCCCCAAAGCTAATTAACAGCCGGGCTGCATGTAAATCAACCCAGGAGGATGTAAATAGAAGTGAGGGGAATTAGGGAAGCTGGAAGTCATCACACACAAGTAGCAGTGTGTCAATAATACAGTATATACGATAATGAAAGGAGTTCCAAGAAGAAAGGCAGAATCAATATTCCCTACATGTATGAGTCTATACTCTTAACACCATATTATTGGATAAAACAGGCTTCTAAGTATAAAACCTGTTATCTACCAAAATCAAGCAGATAATCATCTTTGCTGAATGAAAAACTGTGCCCTTTTGGAATAAATATTCTCTCAGAAACTAACATGTCACTATTAATTGAAACTTTGAGAGACAGAGTTGACATAAACCTTAAACTGTATTCATTTATTTGGATTTAAAATGTGGCTTTGGAATAATCTCATTCACTTTTAGGAAAATTGGGTGAACCCAAAGCTAAATATTTATAGAAGTCTCACTAGAACATCCAAATATTTAAAAATAAATGAATTTGTTGATAAGGAAAGTTTTATGTATATATTAATGTTTCACTGACATATGGGAAACATTCTGACAAATTATACTATCCTGATTTTACTTGTCCAGAATGGTTTCTGTCAGACCAGTTGCTTTGCTTTCAGCTTCTGCCATAAGTAATAGTCATCTTGTAATTAATTTGTGAAATGCTTTAATAGTTTCTCTGACTTATAACCAGTTATTTTACCTGGTGTACTCCATTGGCCACAAGGATGAAAGGCTTAAATGTTAACCAAAAAATATTTTACACCTGCATTGGTTGCAATATTATTTCACCCAGTTAGTACACCAACACTCATGAAGGACATAAGATGTTCTAAAAATTATAATCTAAATAAGAACTCTTCCCGCCACACACGTCCCTGAATCAAGAAACGTTATGAAGATCACTCATGTGCCTGCAGCCACATTTTATGTAGTCCTATGGCAAGACTTAGTGATCTCAAAATTCATAGATAAACCCATATCCAATTACTACCATTGGTTCCATGATGTCAAACTAAAAAACTAAGAGGCAAACATTTCCTCAGAGATGGGTAGTCCCTCCAAATAAATGTAAGATTATGATACGAGTGTAAAAGCACAGTGCACACCTGTTTTATCCTTGTGGGAAAGTGGTCCTCCCCCTTAGGGATTTGATTAATAATGGGGTGTGTGTGTGTGTGTGTGTGTGTGTGCTTTCTAAAGTAAAACTATACATATATTACACATGGTAAAAGAAAAACAGAGCAGACAAGGAAAAGAGCAAAAAAAATTCTAAAGCCTGCAAGCTGACAAACTTTCATGAAAAAACTACATTTTCGTAAGTTTCAAAAGTTTTATTTATTTATTTATTTATTTATTTATTTATTTACTTATTTATTCATTTATTTCTTTTTTGAGACAGGCTCTTGCTCTGTTGCCCAGGCTACAGTGTAGTGGTGCTATCCTGGCTCACTGCAGCCTCAACCTCCCGGGCTCCAGGGATCCTCCTGCCTCGGTCTCCTGAGTAGCTGGGACCACAGGAATACACCACCACACCCAGCTAATTTGTTTTTTTAATTATTTTTTTGTATAGACAGGGTCTCACTATGTTGCCCAGGCAGGTCTCAAATTCCTGGGCTTAACTGATCCTCCTGCCTCAGCTTCCCAAAGTGCTGGGACTGCAGGCATGAGCCACCACACCCAGCCAGGTGTAAAAAGTTAAAACTTATTTTATCATGGTAGTTTTAAATTTTCCCTCCAAAACAACAAATCAACATTTTATTCAAGCATATCATTAGGCACAACTATAAAGAACCAATAAGAGAAAATAATATCACATAATTATCACTAATATTCAGTGGTTTCTTAAATAAGTAGTTTACAAGTTGTTATCCTTATTTCTGTTTGTTTCTATTCTCATTGGTCAATAAAAAGAAGCATGTCTTGCTCTGTTTTCTGTAAGTTATATGGGCATGCCAAAGAGGTAACTTCGGTATTTGGTCTGGCATCATTCCTTTCCCACAGAACCACAAAACATTGGTATAGACAGAGAGATAACAATTAAGTGGTCAGTCAGTCCCTGCAGACAGTGGACTAGCTTATATACTACATTGTAGAAACATCCAAAATTTTAAAAGATAAAGATACTGACTAGAATGAACAGGAAATAGCAAAAATTTAATCTGTATTTGTGTCAGCCTCCAAATTACAATTCACTAGATTCTGAATGTCTCACAAGAGTAATTACCAACTAACTTTAGACTATGTTGAAATTATTTAGGAAAAATGATACCATAACATTTTGCATGGCATTTGCAGAGAGGACCTTGAAACTACACAAACAGGAATTATGCCAGTTGGCTCTTTGGGCACCATAATGACTAGGATAAGTGTTGTATTTTTATGAGGGTGAATTTCAGAAGTTTATCCTTACTCGGATCTAGTTTACTAGGCTTGAAACACTCCAACTAAGCAGCACATGTGACTGTGAGGAAGAAGCAGAGGAGAGACGGTCTCAATGCATAAATCCAATGCCACAAACACAGTGAGTCAGAGGCAAGGAACCAAGTGCATGAGAATCATACCAAATTCTTCCTTTTTGTAAGTTTAAAATTAAATGTCATTCATTTTGAAATAAACAATTTATAAATGCACTCATTTTTATAAAAAATACAAATGATATCCCAAAAATTGAAACAAAATTTCCTATTAACCATCACTTAGTCTCACCCTTTCTACAAAGGTAACTATTGTTATCAATCTGGTGTGTATATTTCTGAACATTTTGTTTTGCATATGCATGACATAATTTACACGTATCTGTAGGAATTTAGTTTTCCCATGTGTATTGGGAGGTATAAGGTGTGTGCAGTTCAGCAATTGGTGCTTTTTTTGTTTAAAATGTGTCTTTTTGGGACCATATACATGAATCTTCAGTCTCTTTAACTGCCTTGTAGTATTCAATAGCACACTATTTTTTTGTTACCTCTATCCAATTAATGTACATCACATAGTGTCTTAGTTCATTTTTACCCTGTGATAAAGAACTACCTGAGACTGGGTAATTTATGAAGAAAAGAAGTCTAATTGGCTCACAGTTCCATAGGCTTTACAGGAAGCATGACTGTGAGGCTTCAGGAAACTTACAATCATGGCAGAAAGGGGAAGCAAGCACGTCTTCACAAGGCAGCAGGAGAGACAGAGAGAGCGACAGGGGAACTGCCACACCATCAGACCCTGTGAGAACTCACTCACTGTCATAAGAACAGCTTTTAAACCATCAGACCCTTTTATCACTTTCATCACTTTTAAACCATCAGACCCTCTGAGAACTCGCTCACTATCACGAGAACACCATGAGGGAAATCCCCCATGATCCAATCACCTCCCACCAGCCCACTCTCCCGACATGTGGGGATTACAATTTGAGATGACATTTGGATGGGGACACAGAGCCAAACCATATCACATAGTTTCCAATTTTCTTGTATTGTAAAACAAATGAACAAACAAAAACACTGAAATAAACATTCTTGTATATATCTAATATACAATGTCACATCTGCAAGAGACCCTCTAACACAGACATTAAAAAACAAAACAAAACAAAACAAAAAAAACAGAATATGAGAGATGACAATGGCTTCTGTGTGCAGAAGCCTGGGCTGGCCTACTGGATGGTGAGAACCCACATGGAGCAGAGCCAAGGTGTCCCAGCTGAGACCCACCCAAACCAACCGGCCTGCCAATGCTCCCAGACAGGTGAATGAAGCCATCCTATATGACCTAGCTTCAGTTACGCTAGCAAAGACCAGAAGAACTGCCCAGCCAACTCCCAAAAGTGTAGGAAATAATAAGAATTTATTGTCTCTAAACTACTAGGTTTTGGAGTGGCCTTTTACACAACAGAAGCCAACTGATTAAGACAGATAGAGTCAAATTGGCTATACCATTTTATACTCATACCAGCAGGCTGTGAGAGTTATTTCCTCAGTATCACAGTATAAAAAAATTATCAGGTAATTCCCTCTAATGTGAAAAGAAAAAGAAATGCAACCAGCCAATAAGCATGCAAAAAGATGTTCTCTCTTCTTTCTACAGAATGACTGACTATCTGCTCTTCCCCACCACCTTTTCTTCTCTAGCTTTCTGAATCCACAAATGAGCAGCTTGGAGAAGTGCATTGGCAGGCATATCAGCTACCCTAGGGGGTGACCACCCAGTGCCTACCATGCAGGTAACATCTGATACCTCAGGTATGGATCCGCCAAAGGCTGGCAAACCTCACCAGGAGACTGCCATCTAGAGTTTGCTCCATTCACTCTAGGTCTAAGGTCTCATGCTGAGCAGTCACTTAACTATGGATATCAAAGCCATACAATAAAACAGTGGCTAAAAAACCATATTTTGCAGAAAGCCAAGGTTTCATGAAACCAGAAAATGGAAAAAAATAAACACAGAAATTTCACTTTTTGGCCAGGTGCTGTGGCTCATGCCTGTAATCCCAGCACTTTGGGAGGCCAAGGCAGGTGGATCACCTGAGATCAGGACTTCAAGACCAGCCTGGCCAACATGGTGAAACCTCGTCTCTACTAAAAATACAAAAATTAGCCAGGCGTAGTGGTGCACACCAGTAATCCCAACTACTGGGGAGGCTGAGCCAGGAGAGCTACTTGAACCCGGAAGGCAGAGGTTGCAGTGAGCTGAAATCGCGACACTGCACTCCAGCCTGGGTGACAGAGTGAGACTCTGTCTCAAAAAAAGAAAAAAAAAATCACTTCTTAAGGTAGTCTTAACTGTTTTAAATATAAATTGAGAAAAGCAAAATAAATGCAGTGTTCTTAGAGGGTCCCATAGAGACAGACTGGGCTGATAATGCAGAAACATTCCTGCCCCAAAACACCTAAAAATACAAGATAAAAATTTAATGCAAACCTGAACTCAGAAGATGGAAAGAGAAATCCCCAACAGCAAGCAAGAAAGAGGGGCCTAAAGGCAGAGGGTTGAACAGTGATGGAAGGCAAGGAAGTGGGCCCATTACACTTGTCAAGTGGGACTGACATGTGGAATTAAGCAGAACCATGGAAAGGCTTCGATCTCAGTGAACAGAGAATGAGAAAATCCCTGCCTCCTAACCTGATCAGGGGACAACAATAATGAGCTTATTTTAAAACCAAGGACATGGGAAGGTTTAGAACCTGATCTATGCTACACACCTAGTATCAGAAACCATGTAGCCTCCCCCGGCTCCCCTCCTGCAAGAATTCTATATCCATTGAAGCTATCATTTAAGAGTGAGGGCATCGTACAGACATTTTCAGGCTAAAAGATGAATCTCAGGAAGAAGGAAAGTGAACTCAGAAGAATGAAGTGAAATATACAAAGTAAACTTAAGAAAGAACATTATTAGACATATGGGTAAATCTGAGTAAGTACTGATCATAAAAAAATCAGAACAATAATAATAATGATGACCAGCTTGGATGATTAAAAACAAGTTGAAACTATGATATCAGGAAACAAAAATATATAAGATGAGAAGGGAGTAGAGTCAAAGCAATCAATTTGGTGAATTATTAAAGAGGCCAATAGAGATATTGATTAGACTTGCCAAGTCAAATATGGATGTTAAAAATTTAAAGGTCACTGAAAAAAGAATAAAAATAAAATGAGTAACTTCCGGTCCAGTAAAGGAGACTAAAGAAAACTGATCAATCTACTGAAAGGCAGGAAAGGAAAGAGAAATAGTACAGAAAAAAGGTCTGTCCAAGGGAGAGCAGAAGAAAGCATAAAAATACCTTTTATATTTTTATATGTAAAGTATCACAATATTTCATCAATTCTGAGGTGTACATTTGTTCACATTTTAACATTTCTGAAATCGGAATGTATATTTCAATTGATGGCATATCAAAATTGCTGTTAGCCACGCAGCGCTTGTGGCATGGATGTCAGGGACAATGTACACACGAACATCAAAAGCACCAGCATCAGCACCTGTATAACGGGTGTTGGCATCTCAGAAGAAAATCCTGGAAACAATAGCTAAGCAGTATTTTAATTCTTAAGCACCAAGCAGTAGTGGGGAAGGAGGGAGAAAGCAATGAATCAAACAGGTTTAACAACATTCCCAAAGCTGAACTCAAAAAGAGGGTTGTTCTACATAATTTCAAAGCCAGCTTAAGAGTCAATTCTAATGGCTTTCAATTCTTTTGAGAAATGCTGCCTTCCCAATTATTGATAGTACAGAAAGTGCGAGAGCCTGGAAAAGCACAAGCATTGGTGACCTTGAGTCAAAAACAAATTCAGAAGAGTTAGACTCCAAATTTAACAGTTCTTAGTAATTACTTTGTTAATTTATTTCACTTATGTGTATGCATAAGACCACCATATGATTTTTAAAAGTTTCTAATTAATTCTAAAAGATCCTTTTTAAAAAGTTCAAAGTAAGTGTTATGTCACTGTTTAATTACACATTATGTTCATTCTTAGTGATACCTAAAATGATGCTGCATCTTAAAATCAATGATATCTTAGATTTGATGAAATACAATATAAGGTAATCATAATCAATGTAAAGAAACTAGACTTCCCCAATAAAATACAGATACTTACAAATTATATTTTGAAAATAAAGCTTCGGTGCATGCCTGTAGTCCCAGCTCTTTGGGAGGCTGAGGAGAGATGATTGCTAGAGCCCAAGAGTTTGAGGCTGTAGTGAGCTATGGTCATGATCACTGCACTCTAGCCTGTGTACCAAAGCAAGACCCCATCTCTAAAAACAAAACAAAACAAGAACAACAAAAATTAAAAGTAAAAAAGTGGGGGAAATATCTGAAAAATATTAACAATCACAACAGCAAAACTTAATATAAACATATAACTACCAAAAAAAATCATTTTAAGTGGTAAAAGGGAGGAATTATTAGGGATAAAAAGGGTTATTGCTTTATAATGAAAAGGACAATTCACCAGGAAGATAGAACAATTTTGAACCTTTATGCACCTAGCAACATAGCCTCAAAACAACAACAACAAAGGGTAGATTTACTGGAAAGAACCTAGAAGTCCACAATTTTAGTAAGGAATTTTAACTTATGTTTCTCAATAATTGATTCAATGGCCACATATAGAACAAACAGTAGTTAGAAAAGTCACATTTTTTTCAATCACACATAGAACATTTACAAAATTCATAATGGACTAAGCCACCAAAAAAGTCTCAAAAAACATCTACATCATATAGAACATGTTCTCTGACCAAAATGTGACCAAAAAAATTAGGATTTAAAAATACTTCTAAATAATTCATGGTTCAAAAAAGAAATTATAAAAATTGCAAAGATTCAATAAAACCAAAAACATATTTCTTGAAAAGAATAATAAAATGGACAAACTTCCAGCAAGATAACTTAAGAGAAATACTCAAATAGTACAAATGAGGAATAATGAGGAAACAAAACCATACATACAAGAGGGATGGCACAGACCTTGTGACAAAGTGGTCCTGAAATTTCTGGAGGGGAAATGAATAAGAATAACCGAGATAGTTATGCTTGGAGGAAGAGGAAGATCAAGGTGTCCTAACCTACCAGAAACTAAGACTTATGAAACCTTAGCATTAAAATATGTAGTATTAGTTCAGAAATAGTAAATAAATCAATGTAACTGAATGGAACCTGGGAACAAATATAGCTACATGTAAGATCTGGGTATATGCTGGAGGTGACATAACAAATGAAGAGAAACAATGGACTATTCAAAGCTGTGTTGCTATCTTTATTGGCAACAAATATGGGAAAAAATAAAATGAGATACCTATTTCACATGAATGACAAAAATAAATGCCATATTGAATAAAACCTAAATATGACAAGGAAGGCCTCAAAATTTTAGAAAAAAAATGCAAAATTATAACACATTGGGAGATAATTTCATAAACAAGACCAAAAAAACCCATAAAGGAAAAGATTGATAAATTTGAGATTAATAATTTAAAGATTTTTACTAATGATATAATAAAATCAAAAGATAAGTCACAGACTTAAAGAAGACATTTCCTTTTTTATTTTTTTATTTTTATTTATTTATTTATTTATTTTGAGACAGTCTTGCTCTGTCATCTAGGTTGGAATACAGTGTTGAATTCTCGGCTCACTGCAACCTTTGCCTCCTGGGTTCAAGTGATTCTCCTGCCTCAAACTCCCGAGTAGCTGGGACTACAGGTCTGCGCCGCCACCATGCCTGACTAATTTTTGTATTTTTAGTAGAGACAAGGTTTCAACATGTTGGCCAGGCTGGTCTTGAACTCCTGACCTCAGGTGATCCACCTGCCTCTGCCTCCCAAAGTGCTGGGATTACAGGAATGAGCTACCGCGCCTGGCCGAGAAGACATTTCCAAAGCAAATGGATGAATATCCAAGATATTTTTAGGACCTTCCCAAATCGAAACAAAAGAAGCAAAAGGAGAAAAAAAAAATGGACAAAGGATAAGAAGAGGTAACTGATATAAAAGATAACTGGTCAAAAATCATATAAAAATGTGTTTATTGTTATTAGTAATTAGAAACACAGATGAAAACAATGCACTTCCTTCATAACTCATCAGATTGGGAGAGAGAGTCTAATCTCCTAAGTGTTTGTGAAGGTGTGACAAATCAGAAACCCCTACACATTTTCTGTGGACATAGAAATACTGCAATTACGTTTGCACCAATCTATATTTACTTTCAAGAAACTCCTGGGCTGGGCGCGGTGGCTCACGCCTATAATCCCAGCACTTTGGGAGGCCGAGGCAGGTGGATCACCTGAGGTTAGGAGTTTGAGACCAGCCTGGCCAACATGGTGAAACCCCATCTCTATTAAAAATAGAGAAAATTAGTCAGGTGTGGCAGTGCATGCCTGTAATCCCAGCTACTCGGGAGGCTGAGGTAGAAGAATTGCTTGGGCGACAGAGTAAGACTCTGTCTCAAAAAAAAAAAAAAAAAAAAGAAAAGAAACTCCTGAACATGTCTACATAGGTATATAATAAAAAATATTCAACACTAAGTGTACTCATGAAAATGTGGAAGTGATCACACTATTCATTAGTAGTAGAGTAGATTATATAAAGTGTGGCTTATTCTTACAATGGAATACTACAATCAGTTAAACATTTTCAACCAGATCAATATTAAGCAAACTTTTGAGTTTATAAAGCTATTTATAATCAGAACTTAAACATAGATATTTTATGTGTTTATAAGTTATAGTTTTTTGCAAGATTTTGTTTGGAAAAGAGAGTTCCACTTTTCCACAATGTTTAAAAACTGTGATATAATAAGTGGCCATGGAATTAGCTTCATCTGTAAAACATAACCCTTAAAACCTATCTTGGCCAGGCGCAGTGGCTCACACCTGTAATCCCAGCACTTTGGGAGGCCAAGGTGGGCAGATCACCTGAGGTCAGAAGTTCAAGACCAGCCTGACCAACATGGAGCAACCCCGTCTCTACTAAAAATACAAAATTAGTCGGGCGTCGTGGCACATGCCTGTAATCCCAGCTACTCGGGAGGCTGAGGCAGAAGAATTGCTTGAACCCAGGAGGCGGAGGTTGTGGTGAGCCGAGATTGCCCCATTGCACTCCGGCTTGGGCAACAAGAGCAAAACTCCGTCTGAAAAACAAAGCAAAATACAAAAAACCTATCTTGCATACCTGTCATAAGGCTTAGACATTGTAAATACATAGAGATGGAAACAGAGATCAAGGTAGATAAAGTGATACAGTCATGGGGCAGATTGTTATTGTCTACCCAAATCCACCTCCACTTCCCTTCTTTTCTTTTTTTCTTTTATTTGTTTATTTATTTCTTTATTTCTGATAGGGTATTGCTCTGTTGCCCAGGCTGGAGTGCAGTGGCACAATCACAACTCACTGTAGCCTTAAACTCCTGAACCCAAGGGATCCTCCGGCCTCAGCCTCCTGAGTAACTGGGACTACAGACATACACCACCATACCTGGATAATTATTTTTACTTTTTGCAGAGAGAGAGTCTCATTATGTTGCCCAGGCTGGTCCCAAACTCCTGGCCTCAAGCGCTCCTCCTGCTTCAAGCCTCCCAAAGCACTAGGACCACAAGGGTGAGCCACCACAACTGGCCCCTTTTTTATTTCTTATAACCCTTAATTTTATTCAGGTATTCACCCTCCTCCACATGGTTAGGTACTTCAGAGAAAGATGAACTAATTCCCAGCTCCAAGCATAGGGTAACCTGACTTAAGCCCATTGTGGTCATCCCATTCTTCCTGCCCATGATTAGTTTAGGGATGAGAATTCAAACTGATTCTACCAATGAAAGCTGCCAGGAGACTGCTGGGAAGAGGCCAAAATCCTGCCACCATCTTTTGACTTTGAGGTCACCATGGGTAAAACCCCTGAGGGGGACAGGGCAGAGAAACAGAAGGAACCTGAATCCTTGATGACGTTTTTGAAAATCTGTATCTATCAACCTGGAAAACTGCCCTACTTTTGTAAGATGACAATTTGTTTTGTAAGATGACAATTTCCATCCTGCATGAGCCAGTTTGAGTTGGATTAACTGTTATTTGTTGCTGAAACATCCTACATTATTTAAAAAGAAAGAAAAAGAAAAAGAAAAGAAAAGGGAGCAGGGGGCCAGCCCAGAGCCTAGCGCATAAAAGACCTGCTGTCATCCATGGCAGCTGAGATCATTATTCTATGCCACCTCCACTCATCCAGTCTCCTCTCTTGCCATCCTCCAATACATTAACAATATAACGCAGATCAAACTACTTTCCATCCTCATTCTGGTCACTCTTATTCTTAAGCAAAGCAACTATTCCCTATAGTTACCATTAGCATATATTCCAAACTTCATTTTTTCTAAGTACAGTTTTTATTGCTGACTTGGGAGATTTAGGAACAAGGGTGATATTCACCAGTCTGCAATTATGAATTATAGGTTAGGATTCACTCGGTTTAGTTATACCTACATTTTTACTCTAATAAAAAAAAATCAGGATGTACAATTCCAATAGATTACCTTCCAGCAGAAACCTTGGGTATTTGATTACCACAAGACAACCAAACTCCAGTAGAATCCTAATAGAAAATGAATCCTTTCAGATTTTTGACAGGTAAAACATCAGGTGAAGTTTTCTGTCCTTTTATTTTCAGATTGGAGGACAAGACCAAGAAGTTAACAAAATTAAGAGACAATGCCACAGCACATATACAGATAGACATCTTTTTCTGAATAGGAATCCAGAGACCACATGGATCACAGTGGAAAACATAATGAAGCCGGGTGCAGTAGCTCACGCCTGTAATCCCAGCACTTTAAGAGGCCAAGGCAGGCGGATCACTTGAGGCTGGGAGTTCAAGAAGAACCTGGGCAATGTAGTGAGACTCTGTCTCTAAAAAAAATTTAAAATAAATAAAAATAAATTTTAATTACCCAGGTGTGGTGGCATGCACCTGTAGTCCCAGCTACTCATAAAGCTGAAGTGGGAGGATCTCTGAGCCCAAAGTTTGAAGCTGCAGTGAGCTATGATCACACCACTGCACTCCAGCCTGGGCAACAGAGCAAGACCCTGAAGACCTATCTCTTGAAAGGAAGGAAGGAAGGAAGGAAGGAAGGAAGGAAGGAAGGAAGGAAGGAAGGAAGGAGGAAGGGAGGGAGGGAGGGAGGGAGGGAGAGAAAGAAGGAAGGAAGGAAGGAAATGATTAATAATCAGCAGCGTGATAGACCAACAAGTAAAAATATGAATCCTTCCTTTTTAGCCCCCAAGGTAGCAGGACATCCTATCACCAACTTAATCAAGGAAAATATCCTTCACCATGAGCAATGTTGCTTGCTAAGGCAGAGACTCTCGAATGAGGGTGAAAGCAGGAGTGTAATTGTAAGGCTGGGCACGGTGGCTCACGCCTGTAATATCAGCACTTTGGGAGGCTGAGGTGGGCAAATCACCTGAGGTCAGGAGTTTTAAACGAGCTGGACAACATGGCAAAACCCCATCTCTACTAAAAATACAAAAATTAGCTGGGCCTGGTGGTGGGTGCCTGTAATCCCAGCTACTCGGGAGGCTGAGGCAGGAGAATCATTTGAATCCTGGAGGCGGAGGTTGCAGTGAGCCAACATCATGCCACTGCACTCCAGCCTGGGTGACAGAGTGAGACTCCATCTTGAAAATAAATATATAGCCAGGAAGGTGAATCTGGTTCAGCTTGGGTAGCATAGGGGAATCCCCTGGTAGAAAATCCTGTAGTAACAAGTCCAGCAATCACATTCTACCAAAAGCTTGTAGGGAAGACTTAGTAAGCCAGGAGCTTCCCAAACGAGCACCTACCAAAAAAAGACAATTACCATGTTCAAAACAGAAATGACGCTCGAACAAATGGCTCCACATACCTCCAATATCTTCCAGAGAACAGAGAATGATGCAAAAATAAGATCATGTACAGAAAATAAGATGGATACTGCTGGAGGAAATATAAAGAACCAATAAACTGTAGAACTTTCAAAAGGGCATAGTTCTGTAGAAACTGATTTGTTTAGGGACATTAGCTGCAAAGAACTGGATATACCCACAGACTGAGACACCACCTGGTCCCCCTGAATTCTATGTTCTCTGTAGGTTCTTGGAAGCTGTTATTTACTCAACCCTCTGAGGTTCTGGAAAACATACAGGTGAGAAATAAATTTTCATCTCTGGCAGTCCTTATGCTTCCTAGCTGTTTAGTAAGGTGTTCCTGCATGTAATTACCCCACAGGGAGTTTGTGGGGAGACAAGGACATGAGCAAACATACAAACCACCCAGCTCGTTCTGCTAGACAGAGTCATTCTTTAACCTGGCCTCGTCTAGAGGCCCTGCAGGCAACTGGATTTCTTAAAGCGGGAAAGTACTCTTAAGCAAAGCAAGTTGTTCTGTAAGCAAAGCAAGTTGTTCTGGTGAAATAAATAACTAGAATCTTATTAGCAGATCCCACCTGCATGAAGTTATGGGGAAAAGAGGAGGAGAAAGGACTTAAGTTTTGTTGTTAATTAACACACGAAGAGCATATGAACCTGCTTCAATGACCACTAGGCTATAAAGCATCTGACCTTGGACAGCAGAAGTTAGTTAGACACAAAGAGATGGGGGCCTCTTGTCATGTGGTGCAACAGTCCCTAGGGTTTGGGGCAGACACCCTTGGTGACCTACCCAAGGCGACCCTACCCTTCTTCCTTACTAGCAAAACCCCGATTCTGTCCAAGTGACCCCTCGTGGTCAGGTCAGGCAGGGCTCAGTGATGTGACTTGTCACCCAATTCTGAACCATGAGAAATAAGAGAAAATCAGTTCCGGGAAAGCCTTCTTGGCACTGAAAATGAGGCACGAGAAGAAGAATGTCCCTCTTTGTGCCTCTGAACATTGGCATGTGAAGATGTGAGCTTCAGTCTGTAACCACTCTGTAATCATGAGGGCAACAAACCAACCTATCAGGCTGACAGAGAAAAAGATGGAAAGAACCCATCTTGATAACTTGTGGAGTCAGAGAATTAGCCAACTTCGAAGCCAGCCCACCTTCAGGTCTCGGGTAATGCAAGGTAAATATCTTTTCAGGCTTCCTGTTACTCCAAGTTGAAAAGATTGTAATAGATACTGAGCTCTATAGACTCCAAATGTAACCTATTTAAAGGTATGAATTATATCAACAGATTGAATACAAATAAAAATATTTCTGTCCAAGGAAAACTCTTGCTGTTGCATTAACAGCAAAGGCAGAGGCAATTTCCTACCATTGTGATTTGTCAGTGCTTTCTCGTGTGCCTAGAATTCTGCTCCTCTTCTCAAATAAACTTCTGATCATTCTTCAAAATTCCTGTGAAGTCCTTTCTTAGCTCTGTTAGGGACATTCACATGTTCCCTAATACTATTTCCGTGTACCATGTAAATATCTACTGAACAGCACTGGACTCATTCACCTGTGACTGTCCCATGTGAGTTTCCTGTAGAAGACGTAATGTCTTACTCATCTTCACATCCTTGCACTTAACAAAGGGCCTGGGACTCGGTTAGTGTGGCAGTTTTTAAATATGATCCCCAAATATTTGGCATTTCTTCCATTTTGTGGTAGGTCCATGCCCCTGCCTTTGAATCTGAGTGTGCTCATACCATCAGAGTGGGGCGGAAGTGATGCTGTGTGACTCTGAGGAGATGTCATATAAAGGGGCATGCAGTATTCACCTGGTTCTCTTAGGATGCTCGCTCTGGGGAGTGCCCCACCCCCCCAACCCCCTACTGCCATGTAAGAAGTCCAACCACTCTGAAGCTGCCATGCTGGAAAGGTCACGTGGGTGGCTCCAGGGGACGGTCAGCATCAACAGGCCACCACAGGAGTCCCCCCCAGCTTGGTTGTTTAGCCCCCTCAAGCCTTCAAATGACCCTAGTCCTGTGGACAGCTGAGTTCAATGGCAGGACAGGCACCAAGCAAGAGACCTGCCCAGTCAAGCCTTTCCTAAATTCCTGACTCTCAAAATTAGGAACAAAATAAAATGGTTGCCTTGAGCCACCATGTTTTGGGATCACTGCTGTACAGCAACAGGAACCAGAACAGTTGGTACTAAGTAAATATTTATTGACTTTACTTTGAACTCATTCTAAACTAGAATTTTTCAAACTGTAACTTGCCAGACAGTGTTTTAAGACAGCAGGCCCAGAGTTCATATTTATGTTGTGATACTATTTCAGTAAGCTGAACATATTAATGCATCATTTTTTTCTTTTATCTATATGGTATCATTTTACTACAAATTATACTTCTGTATACTATAAGCTTATCCCTATAGAAGTACATTTGCTTCTAAGAGCAACCAAGACTCATACAAAAAAAAACAAACAAAAAACAAATGCTGTCACCTCTAGAAAAAAAAAAATGCTGTGTTTACCTGAATCCAGTCAAAGATAGACTAAAATAGAAAGAAATGCCTTTGTCATCCCTACCATCTCCATGTCCTGAGTGCCCTAATAATTATAATTTGCATTACTGATGGAAAATTTTATCAGTAAATGGTGGTTTCAGACCACCATTTAAAATGGATCATTGTTACCAGACATAAACCCTTGCCTGGACCAATTTTTTGATATAAAGCTTCCTGCACATTCATAAGCAGTTCAGTTGGAATTCAAAAATTTCCCTTGCATTATATTTAAATTAGTCAATACAAAAAAAAAGTTATTCAGAGCATGATGTAGGCTTATTTTAAAAATAATAAAAACTTTTGAAAAATGAAAACAAACAGGCCAGGCCTGGTGGCTCACTCCTGTAATCCCAGCACTTTGGGAGGCCGAGGCAGGCAGATCACTTGAGGTTAGGAGTTGAAGACCAGCCTGGCCAACATAGTGAAACCCTGGCTCTACTAAAAATACAAAAATAAGCCGATCATGGTGGTGAGCACCTGTAATCCCAGCTACTGAGGAGGCTGAGGCAAGAAAATCGCTTGAACCTGGGAGCTGGAGGTTGCAGTGAGCCAAGATCACACCATTACACTCCAGCCTAGGCAACAGAGTGAGACTCCATCCAGGCAAAAAAAAAAAAAAATGAAAACAAACGAACAAAAAAGTTATATGGACAAACTAACAAAATGTTTCATGGATAGGCTTAAAAGAAACACAGAAACTAAAACTCCAGAATTGCATCAATGTTTTTTGTTTGTTTTTGAGATGAGGAGTCTCACTCTCTCACTCTTCTGGCCCAGGGTGGAGTGCAGTGGCATGATCTCGGCTCACTGCAACCTCTGCCTCCCAGGTTGAAGTGATTCTCCTGCCTCAGCCTCCCGACTAGCTGTGATTACAGGCACCCACCACCACGTGCAGCTCATTTTTGTATTTTCGGTAGACATGGGGTTTCACCATGTTGGCCAGGCTGGTCTCGAACTCCTGACCTCAGGTGATCCACCCACCTTGGCTTCCCAAAGTGCTGGGATGGCAGGCGTCAGCCACCGTGCCCAGCCTGTGTCAATGTTTTTAGTTAAGTCTCCAAATGGGAGGGGGAGTTCTGAAGAAAAAGGAAATAGGGAGTGAGTTCCACTACAGTGAATGCACACTGCAAATAAAATGCGCTGTAAACTGCTTGACGTTTATTTCATACTAAATGTACAAAGAACTGTATTGTGTGAACTTCAAAAAAAAAATGTAGATCTCAAGGTTTTCTTGGATCTAGATCATGCTTAATTTATAACCCTGCATAAATTCCGCTGTAAGACCAGGGAAGTTGACTCAATGGTATTGCTTGGAAGTTCACTGCTTTCACACAGTAATGTGCATCTGACACTGTGGGTTGTCCCTCCTCCCCTTCCTGGCTACCAGTGTCCCCATCAACAGCCACTCTCCAGATCCTCACTTTCACAGCCTCTCTTGCAGCTAAGAGTGGCCAAGTGACAGATTCAGACCAGGTTGCCCAAAGGGGAAGTTAGCCAAGGGCCTTCAGGGAAAGGCTGTCATTCCTAAGGGAAGAAAAATATCATAGCAGTCCTCCAGCCCTGGCCACAGTCCAATGTGACAATTCAGTGGTGGGAGGCCCCCTGTAACCAAAGGGGAAACCAACAGTCTAGAAGCCAACCTGCAGCCCTAACCTCCTGGAGCTGCAGAAAGAACTGACGGTGAAATGTCTGCTTCTAGACTTATTGATATGTTGAGATGTCCTTCTTGGCTAAGCCACTTTTACCCGGGAGGTCTTTACTGGACCTGAAATCTACCAAACTAATGCACAATGCATGCCATAATAAGAGCTTCAATATCTGGCAAATATTCCCATGTGGATGAGAAAAAAAATCAATTATTGATTTTTAAAACAAATTTTAGAATAATTATCAACTTAAATAATGGCAGTGCGGTCGCCGTATTCCAAAGCAGCAGCTGCATGTAAAGTGAGCATGGGCCTGCCAGCCAGTGGCACAGGTGGGCCTGTTATCTCCATCCATGTGCACCTTGGCCTGGTGACAGCAGACACAGCAAAGAGTACTTCCTTCCAACAGGATCTCTTTCCTGGCAGTGGAGAGAACAGAAGCAGCAGCACTTCAATTGAGTTTCATGTTAATAAGGAAGAATATAAAAATAATCTCACCTGTTTAAAGCTAGCAGAGATTGATGAGGCCAGTTCACCTCTACCTCCCCTTCCATTTATGGACTGAGAGACTCAAGACATAACCCTTTGAAAGGCAGATTTTTAAAACACCAAGATGCCCCAATATTACCATTAGAGGTTTTGTTATTGTTGTTGTGGGTTTTGTCTTTTTTTTTTTTTTTTTTTTTTTTTTGAGACAGGGTCTCTTTCTATTACCTAACCTGGAGTACAGGCATGATCACGGCTCACTACAGCCTCAAACTCATGGACTCAAGCGATCCTCCCACCTCAGCGCCTCAAGTAGCTGGGACCACAGGTGCGTGCTACAGGCCCGACTAATTTTTTTTTTTGTTTTAGACAGACTCTTACTGTGTTGCCCAGGTTGGAGTGCAGTGGCAAAATCTCAGCTCACTGCAACCTCTGCCTCCCAGGTTCAAGCAATTCTCTTGCCTGAGTCTCCCAAGTAGCTGGGATTACAGGCACCCACCACCATGTCCAGCTAATTTTTGTATTTTTGGCAGAGACAAGGATTCCCCATGTTAGCCAGGCTGGTCTCGAACTCCTGACCTCTAGTGATCCTCTGACCTCGGCTTCCCAAAGTGCTAGGATTACAGGCGTGAACAACCACCGTGCCTGGCCTTGTTTTTTTGTTGTTTTTTTTGTTGTTGTTGTTGTTTTGTTTTTGGTTTTTTTTTTTTTGGTAGACTCGGGTCTTACTATGTTGCTCAGACTGCTCTCCAACTCCTGGCCTCAAGCGATCCTTCCACCTTGGCCTCCCAAAGCACTAAGACAAACGTAAGCCACTGAGCCCAGCCAGTGATAAGAATTTTATATTATCTAATAATATAGTACTTAACTGTTTTCTTGAGAGAAAATAATATTTGGCATTTATTTATTTAGAGACAGGGTCTTACTCTGTTGCCCAGGCTGGAGTGCAGTGATACAGTCATGGCTCACTGCAGCCCCAGCCTCCAAAACTCAAGTGATCCTCCCACCTCAGCCTCTGGTGTAGCTGGGACTACAGGCACATGCCACCGCACCCAGCTCATGTTTGTATTTTTTGTAGAGACAGGGTTTTGCTATGTTGCCCAGGCTGGTCTCGAACTCCTAGACTCAAGCGATCTGCCTGCCTCAGCGTCCCAAAGTGCTGGGATTACAGGCATGAGTCACCGTATCTGGCCAATATTTGGCAGTTTATAACACCTGAGAAATTGTATTAGTTACCAAAGAGTTCCTCATTTAATCTTTGGAACGTATCATTCTGTTAGTATATGCCAGGCTCTCTCTTCCATCCAGATTCTTATATTGGATTTTTAGATGGTAATCCACTGGAACATGATTTCCCCAAAGTTTCTTAAATTTGTTACAGACAGTATTGATAGTCCCCTGTCTAACTCGGTAGCCAACGTTTTGTAAAACCTTCCCTCCTCTGAGGTAGATTCCTGATTCCAACTGTTTACATTATTTGCTTGCAGGCCATTCAGCAACAAGCCATCTGCTCAGAAATCCCTTTAGAAACTTCCCTACATTATTTATGTCACTACTAAAGCTATTTCCCCTCCCCTAAAAAACAGCTGCTTTACATACAATGAAAATATCATTATTTAGCCATAGAAGTTGATATATGTTCTGGTTACTTCTAGGTAACCCATCATTACCTTTTACGCACTAATTGGCTACAGAAGTCTCTCCCTTCTCTGAAAGACTACCAAGTAGCCGTTTAATTTAACAGTAGATGTAAAATGCGATTCTTATATTCTCTCAATTAAAAGTACATTTGTCATGACTTTTATGTAACTGGTTTTAACCTCACAAATCACTAAGATCTCCCAAATAGCTGATATGATTTTTGAAATTCTGAACTTCAGTCTGCTTATTTTCTCATGCAAACTTAACATACTTACCCAAAATTTCCACATTCCACATCATCAAACTTTTCATCTTGTCTCAAAAGAAAAAAGAAAAAAAATTTAAAGCCAATTAAGAGCCAAAATCAACCATTTTCAGCTTCAATTTCAATTTTCAAATGTCAGTTTGTTTTTACCCAATTCTAGCAAATTTATGTAGTGTAATTCTAAACTTCACTATTTGACATTTCCCCGTGGAAGAAAAGCAACAGAAACTTTTCACCATCTGTGTTGCTCTTGGAAACCAGCCCCTCCCATCTGTGGTGCGGGCAGTGCAGCACCCTTGCTGGTCTTTGGGGCTCTGCCTGCACCGCTGCCCTCAGATCAGCACTGGAACCTCTGGCAATTACCTGCAGCTGATGCGTTCTGGAGACTCGCCCTCTGGAAACAAGGTGCCAACCGCAGAGATAGTGAATTTCTACATTCAACATACAAGTGGGAATTCCGATTTGCAGGAGGTGAGAAAAGAAAAAAAATTTTTTAATCAAGTAAAGGTCTAGTCTGTATTTTTGAATAGCCCGTTTTCTGCTGAATCAGCTAATATTTCTGAAGCCTTTGAATTCCGAATTCCTACGGACTTTAGTTTTTCCAAAACAAAAGTGGGAAGGAAGTGTTGTTTTTCAGTATAAAGAGGTTCAACTCTATAGACTAAAACTAAAAAAGTTAAAAAGATAGGGGGGTATAACTATAGATTGGTGGATATGCCTAGAACACAGAACTTGCCAAAAACGGGGCGCTGGGGCAGGGTGCGGTCTGACAGTCTACTTGTAATATGTTTCATAATGAGGTTGCTAACTGAGCTACAGAAAGCAGGAGGAGGAAGACATAGATGCCATCAGCTCAAGCAATCTACAAATACTGCTGGTTATTTTTGTTTTATGACAAGAGTTGTTTCTGAACGGACAACCACGAGCTACCACCACCACCAGCAGCGCCCCGAAAACCGGAACTGGCCTCAAATGTACTTTTAATTCTTTTGCTCTGTCCCCACGCCCTCTGCAACTTTTGTTCTCCAACTGTACTTGTTCCGGTATGAAACCTGGCAAATAGCAAAAATCTTGAAACAAGAAGAGAGTGAGAGAGCGGAGAGAAAAGGGAGGGAAGGAAGGAGAGGGAGGAGGGGAAGAGGAGGAGGGGGGAGAGAAAGTGGTGGGGGAGAGAGAGAAGGAAAGGAGGTGGGGAGAGAGAGAGAGGGAAGACAGAAGAGAGGCAGGGAGGAAGAGGGAGAGAGGGGGACGGAGATGGGGAGGAGGCGGGAGGGAGGGAGAGAAAGAGAGAGAGAAACATATTCTGCCACCCTCCTGGCTAACTGAAATGCTTGTTCCCGAGATTACAGTAATTACTGCCCCAGCATGAGTTCCATACAAGCGCTAAATGAAACAGCACATCAATTAAAAAATAAACACTCCATTCTAGGAGAAAGACAGCCCCCTGGGACGCCCTAACAAGCGTAAATGAACCTGCCAGGCCGCCGGCCCGGGCCGCCCGCAGCCCCCCTCCCGGCCCGTCTTAAGGTGGCGGCGGAGCCGGCGGGGGCAGCGTTCGCTGGCGGTGGCCCAAGCGGCTGCTAAAAGCAGCCCGGGTCCGGCTCCGGCCTCGTGCAGAGAGCAGATACGTGTCGCGGAGTCCACGCCAGAGCGCAGCGCCGCCTCCCACCAGAGAAAAGGAGGCTCTGGCAAAAGCCTGTGAACTTGGGATGGATGAATAGACGTCCTGAAAGAACGAAGGGAAGACAGGGAATCCAGCCCCAGAGTTTCCAGCCTGTCCTATTTATAAGTTTCGAGGTTTGTTTTGAATTTTAGAAAGAAATTGAATGATTTTTCCTAAGAAAGCACGGCGGCTCGGGGCTTCCTATATTTTATCTCACCTAATTATCAAAGCCCCCTTGGAGATCTGTGCTATGATCACCCAACTCTCTAGGTGGGGAAACTGAGGCTCCCCCAGGTCACGCAGCGGAGGCGGGAGGAGAGTCTCTGGCGGGCATTTGTCCCCCGCGCCCCTCGCGCGCCCAAGGCTGGGCTCCGGGGCATCTCACCCGGGCCGTCCCGGGTCCAGCCCCAGTTTAGAATGACTCCACACCCCCCACATCTCCAAGTCTCAGAAACCATCGTTCTGAGAACCCCAAGGAGGACACCCTTTCCCGGGTCTTCTGCAGCGCCGAGCCCCGGCAGGCCTCCCCGGCGCTCGCCTGCTGCGAGACCTTCCTGCCGCCCCGAGGAGCACGAGACCCCAGCCGCCTGCAGATCACCCACATTTGCGGAGGGTGGCAGCAGGGGCTTGGCTGGTTTGAAACGCGCCGGGGAGGCGCGCGCTGCACCAAACCCCGTCCCTGTCCCCAAGGGCAGACTCGGGGTAAGGGGACCAAGACCTCCGACGCACTCAGCGCCATGGGGACAGCCATGGCCAACACTCTGTCTCTGCGGTCAATCCCAAGGTTACCAAAACTCTCCATCCGCAGAGAGCGCGCACAGCAGTGCGGACACTCGGGGACTGCCTTAAGGAAGGCTGAGCCCTGGGAGCGCGTGGACTCCGCCCTACCGCCCGGCGATTGGCTCGCGGGGCTGGGGGCGGAGACCGAGTCCGCGCTGTATAAATATTCATGAGCCGGCAGCGCGGCGCGAGCGGGGCTGGAGCCGGGAAGTTGGGCTAAGGGCGCTGCTCCCGCCGAGGAGGAGGCGGCGGCTGGGCGCGGGCCGCGCCACTCAGGTGTCCGCTCCGCCTTCCGGTCTGGATTTGCTCCTGGGTGTCCAGCAGGAAGGAGACTGTGTGCACCTCGCCCGACTGCGGCCGGAGCGCGGCGCTGACTTTTCCAGGCGGCGGGGGTCCGTCTGTCCCGGCGGCGGACGGACGAAGGACGGACGCCGGAGAAAGAGGGCGGCGGCCTGGGCCGAGGCGGGTCCCCAACTCCGGCGGCGGCGGCGGCGGCTTGGCCTTGGGGGCGGGCATGAGCCCCCGGGGGCCGAGTGGTGGCCGCCAGGGCTGACCCGGCGCGGCAAGCGGCCCGGCCCAGCCATCTTGACTGCGCACCGCGGCCCCAGAGGAAACTTGCGGCGCCTCCGCCCTCTCTGTCCGGCGGAGTCACCGCCGCCCGGCGCGGCGGGGAGAAGTGGTCGGGCGCGCGGAGAGGAGGCGAGCGAGCGCGGGACGATGAGCCGAGGCCCGGCCGCTCTGCGCCGCGAGGGCTGAGCGCGACCCGGGGCCAGCAGAGCGGACCTACGGACTGTGGCGCGCGCCTGCAGCCGCCTTCAAACCCCCGGAGCGGCGGAAAGGAGTGCGGAAGGGCCCTGCCCAGGCTGCGGGCCGCGCCGCTGCGGACGCGCCCCTAGAAGGGGTTAGATTATCGGCAGACCCCCCTCCCGGGCGAAGCATAAGGGAGACCCCAGATCACCCGCTGTACCCGTCTGCGGCTCTCTCGTGGGCCCCCCCCCCGGCACCCCTCTGCGCGCCGCCTGGAGGGCGAGGGCACCGGGCCGAGGCGCACAGCATGGAGTGGGGTTACCTGTTGGAAGTGACCTCGCTGCTGGCCGCCTTGGCGCTGCTGCAGCGCTCTAGCGGCGCTGCGGCCGCCTCGGCCAAGGAGCTGGCATGCCAAGAGATCACCGTGCCGCTGTGTAAGGGCATCGGCTACAACTACACCTACATGCCCAATCAGTTCAACCACGACACGCAAGACGAGGCGGGCCTGGAGGTGCACCAGTTCTGGCCGCTGGTGGAGATCCAGTGCTCGCCCGATCTCAAGTTCTTCCTGTGCAGCATGTACACGCCCATCTGCCTAGAGGACTACAAGAAGCCGCTGCCGCCCTGCCGCTCGGTGTGCGAGCGCGCCAAGGCCGGCTGCGCGCCGCTCATGCGCCAGTACGGCTTCGCCTGGCCCGACCGCATGCGCTGCGACCGGCTGCCCGAGCAAGGCAACCCTGACACGCTGTGCATGGACTACAACCGCACCGACCTAACCACCGCCGCGCCCAGCCCGCCGCGCCGCCTGCCGCCGCCGCCGCCCGGCGAGCAGCCGCCTTCGGGCAGCGGCCACGGCCGCCCGCCGGGGGCCAGGCCCCCGCACCGCGGCGGCGGCAGGGGCGGTGGCGGCGGGGACGCGGCGGCGCCCCCAGCTCGCGGCGGCGGCGGTGGCGGGAAGGCGCGGCCCCCTGGCGGCGGCGCGGCTCCCTGCGAGCCCGGGTGCCAGTGCCGCGCGCCTATGGTGAGCGTGTCCAGCGAGCGCCACCCGCTCTACAACCGCGTCAAGACAGGCCAGATCGCTAACTGCGCGCTGCCCTGCCACAACCCCTTTTTCAGCCAGGACGAGCGCGCCTTCACCGTCTTCTGGATCGGCCTGTGGTCGGTGCTCTGCTTCGTGTCCACCTTCGCCACCGTCTCCACCTTCCTTATCGACATGGAGCGCTTCAAGTACCCGGAGCGGCCCATTATCTTCCTCTCGGCCTGCTACCTCTTCGTGTCGGTGGGCTACCTAGTGCGCCTGGTGGCGGGCCACGAGAAGGTGGCGTGCAGCGGTGGCGCGCCGGGCGCGGGGGGCGCTGGGGGCGCGGGCGGCGCGGCGGCGGGCGCGGGCGCGGCGGGCGCGGGCGCGGGCGGCCCGGGCGGGCGCGGCGAGTACGAGGAGCTGGGCGCGGTGGAGCAGCACGTGCGCTACGAGACCACCGGCCCCGCGCTGTGCACCGTGGTCTTCTTGCTGGTCTACTTCTTCGGCATGGCCAGCTCCATCTGGTGGGTGATCTTGTCGCTCACATGGTTCCTGGCGGCCGGTATGAAGTGGGGCAACGAAGCCATCGCCGGCTACTCGCAGTACTTCCACCTGGCCGCGTGGCTTGTGCCCAGCGTCAAGTCCATCGCGGTGCTGGCGCTCAGCTCGGTGGACGGCGACCCGGTGGCGGGCATCTGCTACGTGGGCAACCAGAGCCTGGACAACCTGCGCGGCTTCGTGCTGGCGCCGCTGGTCATCTACCTCTTCATCGGCACCATGTTCCTGCTGGCCGGCTTCGTGTCCCTCTTCCGCATCCGCTCGGTCATCAAGCAACAGGACGGCCCCACCAAGACGCACAAGCTGGAGAAGCTGATGATCCGCCTGGGCCTGTTCACCGTGCTCTACACCGTGCCCGCCGCGGTGGTGGTCGCCTGCCTCTTCTACGAGCAGCACAACCGCCCGCGCTGGGAGGCCACGCACAACTGCCCGTGCCTGCGGGACCTGCAGCCCGACCAGGCACGCAGGCCCGACTACGCCGTCTTCATGCTCAAGTACTTCATGTGCCTAGTGGTGGGCATCACCTCGGGCGTGTGGGTCTGGTCCGGCAAGACGCTGGAGTCCTGGCGCTCCCTGTGCACCCGCTGCTGCTGGGCCAGCAAGGGCGCCGCGGTGGGCGGGGGCGCGGGCGCCACGGCCGCGGGGGGTGGCGGCGGGCCGGGGGGCGGCGGCGGCGGGGGACCCGGCGGCGGCGGGGGGCCGGGCGGCGGCGGGGGCTCCCTCTACAGCGACGTCAGCACTGGCCTGACGTGGCGGTCGGGCACGGCGAGCTCCGTGTCTTATCCAAAGCAGATGCCATTGTCCCAGGTCTGAGCGGAGGGGAGGGGGCGCCCAGGAGGGGTGGGGAGGGGGGCGAGGAGAGCCAAGTGCAGCGAAGGGACACTTGATGGGCTGAGGTTCCCACCCCTTCACAGTGTTGATTGCTATTAGCATGATAATGAACTCTTAATGGTATCCATTAGCTGGGACTTAAATGACTCACTTAGAACAAAGTACCTGGCATTGAAGCCTCCCAGACCCAGCCCCTTTTCCTCCATTGATGTGCGGGGAGCTCCTCCCGCCACGCGTTAATTTCTGTTGGCTGAGGAGGGTGGACTCTGCGGCGTTTCCAGAACCCGAGATTTGGAGCCCTCCCTGGCTGCACTTGGCTGGGTTTGCAGTCAGATACACAGATTTCACCTGGGAGAACCTCTTTTTCTCCCTCGACTCTTCCTACGTAAACTCCCACCCCTGACTTACCCTGGAGGAGGGGTGACCGCCACCTGATGGGATTGCACGGTTTGGGTATTCTTAATGACCAGGCAAATGCCTTAAGTAAACAAACAAGAAATGTCTTAATTATACACCCCACGTAAATACGGGTTTCTTACATTAGAGGATGTATTTATATAATTATTTGTTAAATTGTAAAAAAAAAAGTGTAAAATATGTATATATCCAAAGATATAGTGTGTACATTTTTTTGTAAAAAGTTTAGAGGCTTACCCCTGTAAGAACAGATATAAGTATTCTATTTTGTCAATAAAATGACTTTTGATAAATGATTTAACCATTGCCCTCTCCCCCGCCTCTTCTGAGCTGTCACCTTTAAAGTGCTTGCTAAGGACGCATGGGGAAAATGGACATTTTCTGGCTTGTCATTCTGTACACTGACCTTAGGCATGGAGAAAATTACTTGTTAAACTCTAGTTCTTAAGTTGTTAGCCAAGTAAATATCATTGTTGAACTGAAATCAAAATTGAGTTTTTGCACCTTCCCCAAAGACGGTGTTTTTCATGGGAGCTCTTTTCTGATCCATGGATAACAACTCTCACTTTAGTGGATGTAAATGGAACTTCTGCAAGGCAGTAATTCCCCTTAGGCCTTGTTATTTATCCTGCATGGTATCACTAAAGGTTTCAAAACCCTGCATTCATTTCTGGAGTCCGTGATTTTGAAAGCACCTGGTGTTCCAGGGAGGGAACGCATTGCTGAGGTGTAGAGGTTAATGTTTTAAACCATAGCTCACCCTTTACAGTAGAAGTCACTTGACAATCTGGTAGGGGAGCAGGCGCTCTTCAATGGATTAAACTAACGGGTTAACATCTTAATAACCTTCAGTGCTTGTGTATACCAAATGTGCTGCTTTTCCTAGAGAAAAAGCTATTGTTCCTCTGTCAAGACTAAGCTAATTTATTTGAGCAGAAGGCTGTTGAATTAGCAGAAGAATGCTTCGGCAATTGTTGAACTTTTTACCTGTCTGCCCAGTGGCTCAGCACATCATTCCTTTAAGAGGAGCTAAATGAATAGGGTTAATCTGTAGGGAACTTGGTCTTTTGAGTTTGAAAAACTTTGATCTTTTCTCCTCTGCAAATGTGCTGTATAGTCTGAAGTTTCTTTCCCTGCTGCCTATCTCCTCTTAGTGCAGACCAATTGGCCACCGCGGAGCCTTAAAGTTCTTCCATTAAAGGGATGTGGGACTTTTACTTTAAAAAGGAGAGAGAGCGCGAGAGAGGAAGACTTGTAACAGTTAGTGAAGACCGGAGGCACAAGTGCTCAGCCTTTTAAACAGCTTTTCCCGGCATTGTTAGCCAGCCTGCAGGCAGCTAGGCATGGGTTGAAGCTTTATAGAAAAGGGCTCTGAATGCCCCACAGGTGGTCTGCGCACATAATCCCCCAATTTAAAGCGTTTTCCTTTGCTGGACAATTGCATTACAAAACTCCCTTCTTTTTCGCTCCTAATTGAACCAATGAACTATTATAAACTACAAGTTTTTCTTTAAAAAAATTGCCGGTGCCTAAATTCTATTGACTAAATTCTAGCAAGTTTTCTAACTGAACCTTTTAAGGCACCGGAAGTAAAAGCTGCTTCAGCAGACGTTTCTGTTTCGCGGATATTTTTATTCCTTATGCTTGTTATTTTCTGACAGATTAGCAATAATTTAAAAGTAATTGGTAAGATTGTGTGTTAATACTGAAAAGATAGCCCCAGGTCCCTTATTAACCTGTCAATCAAGATAAGAAATGGGCAGCTACCCTGCTAATGATGGGGCATCAATCATTGTGGGATGGGAGGGGCTTTGTTCTGCACATCCTGCTAAAATGTTTGTTCTCCTTACTTTACCTAATAGGAATCTTTAGTGGCTAAAAAAAATTTTAATAGAGTGGACGCTACTTTCTTGGCCGATCTTTCTCATGTAAGAGGCTTCGCATAGGATCTCCATAGTAGTAACATTTTGCAGATCCTTTTCAGAGTAAGTCTCGGTGTTAATTAAGTTATGCAATTAGAACCCCTGCTTTAGCTATCATGCCAATCTTATTTTTTAAAGCCAGAGACACTGTAAAAGTGTTCACCTCTCCAGTAGTTTTACTCATTAAAGAATTATTTTGTAACTTAGGTACCTATCAGTGGCCTACATCTAACCCACGTGTTGACTCATGTATAGTATACATATGCCAGCCATAAACTTTTTATATTCAGTTATAAAGTAGAATTTTGAGAGCAGATCCCAGAGTCTTTACCACATATGAAGGATGGAGAGAAAGCTACAAGACACAAGTTAGCATGTTGGCTTTCTCATGTAGCAGTATTGTCATTATTGACGCATTTTCAACTATATAGCACAGTGGGAAAATGTCCAGCTTTGAAGCTTTTTACCTTATTCTTCAATATATCATTATAAAATGCTATATTCGATAACTCAAGATGTATGTGTGTTTAAGCGAACTTATTTGACAAAAAACCCAATTTAAATTCTGAGGACAGTTCTCAATAAAAAGACCTGCATCTGTCATCACTAGAGACTGATTTTAGAGATGGTATTAAGACATAAGTGCTGGTTCTTTGCCTTTAAAGCTAAAACTTGAGTTGCATATTTGCCAGTACTCAGATGGTATCTACTAAGGGAACAAAACCCCAAAATTGATTTTAGGGTGGAAGAAAGAAACGAGTCTCTATCTGGCCAATTGCATTAGACAAATGAACACCTCTGTGTGCTATACAGGTGTGTCTTTAATTACATAAAACAAGTGTTAGTTTTTCAAAATCTTGTCAAATTGGGAGAGGGGTTGATGTGGTTGCTGTGTGGCTAGAAGATCAAGTCTAACATGATTAAAACCATTACTAAAGCCAAAGCTCATTAAAATTGCTTGTGGGAGAAGTTATGTGAAACACTTTCTATTTGCTTTATAATAAATGCAATTTGAAAGTACCATGAAACAGAAGGGAAAAAAGTTGATAAGAAAGTTTAAGGAGTAAACCATGGCACATTACAGTTTCTTAACCTGCACTGACCGCATTGCTGGTGCCTGTAATACTTCAGAGTTTGGGCAAAGAGAGTGAGATTGTCTTGCCAAAAGAAAACCAGGAGCAGTTGCAGAGCACGGGATGCAATTTAAAGTGTAGGTGCAAACGTTCTGTTGAGACATAAAAAGCAAATCAGTGCAAGTGTCTATCCGCTTTCCACATTTGATACTATACTGCCATCTGGTGGTAGTACGGGGTCCCAGAACCAGGAAGTTAGGGAGGTTCCTTCATTCAATTCATTCATTCAAAAATAGCACATGGAGAGCTAGCCTAGGCACAGGCACAGCCTCCGCCCAGAGGACCTGCAAACATTTTGTATTCATAATTCTGAATCCTTTCTCTGAAGCGCTCCAAAATTGCATCAGTGCACACTGAAGTTTAAGGACCCGCAAGACATTCCCGCACAGTGATAATACTTTTATTAACTTCAATTGCATTAAGTCCTCCATATGACCATTATGCTAAAAATGTAATTAAGCTGCGTTAAATTCCAAGAGCTGCGTTAAATTCCAAGAGCATATCTTCTTTAAATTAGCTTCTGAGTTACTTTTATTTAAAGAATGGGATGCTCACCAAAGATCCACCATATCAAAGCTTTCATGGAAGAAAGGATGAATAATAAAGAGTATTTTGAGGTGGGATGTGGTTGGCTTGCTTAATTAAATGTGCCGCTTTACAATTTCTCATGTAGAGGTCAACTCTGAGTCCAGGGGATGTCCGTCAGTACTGCACGTGAGTGCTGTTAGGGTGAGCAAGACGCAGGCCATCTCGTTTTACCTAGCCAGGTGTTCATGGAAACACACCAAGGAGTAGAAACTTCGCTGGAAAACAAGGTCGGTGAGCATCTGCGTTGGAATGCTGGAGCCCTCGGGAAGGAAGATGACACAGCACTGAGATGTAGGAAGAACAGGATCTTAAAGAAGGATGAGCAGGACCAGGACCGGTGGCTCACGCCTGTAGTCCCACCACTTTGGGAGGACGAGGCAGGCGGATCACCTGAGGTCAGGAGTTTGAGACCAGCATGGCCAACATGGTGAAACTCTGTCTCTACTAAAAATACAAAAATTAGCTGGATGTGGTGGCTGGCACCTGTAATCCCAGCTACTCAGGAGGCTGAGGCAGGTGAATCGCTTGATCCAGGAGGCGGAGGCTACAGTGAGCTGAGATCACACCACTGCACTCCAGCCTGGATGACAGAGCAAGACTTTGCCAAAAAAAAAAAGGGATGAGCAGAGAAATGAGGTTTCTGAGGACTGGAATGTCTAGTGGGGATAGGAGGGAAGGAGGAGACTGTGACCAAGGACCACATAAGATCTTGGAGGACTTACAGAGTTCAGAGGCCTCAGGGGCAAGAATCTTGCTGCCCATGAACAAGGAGCAGGGGCAAGAACCTGTGGCATTAGGGAAATGTGGAATCTCAGATCTCTCTTACTGAATCAGAAACTGCATTTTAACAAGATCCCCAAGCTTCACAGGCACACCGAAGGGTAGGAAGTTCTAGCACACCATCCCACATTTCACTGGTTAGAAAACAAGCCCAAAACAACTGTGCTTACTGAACATCACACAGTCAGGAGCACAGCTGGGCCTAGAAGCCACTAAGCCTACTTGTCACTCCTGTCTCTGTAGATCTTTTCCAGCAGTCCCACTCTTCTGTGTAGACCTCTGAGGCCACCACAAGGTGCATTCAGGCTGGGTGTGGTGGCTCACATCTGTAATCCCAACACTTTGGGAGGCCGAGATAGGAGGATCACTAGAGGCCAGGAGTTCTAGACCAGCTTGGGTAATATAATGAGACTCCATCGCTATAAAAAAATAAAAAGCCAGGTGTGGTAATGCATGCCTGTAGTCCCTTGGGAGACTGAGACAGAAGGATCGCTTGAGTCCAAGAGTTCAAGCCTGCAGTAAGCTATGAATCTGCTACTGCACTCCAGCATGAGCAATAGAGAAAGAGTCTATCTCAAAAAAAAAAAAAAAAATGCATTCATAGCTGATACAGCAACTTACCAGGGCTGTGTTTACCTGGTTACAGAATCATAGCAGAGTTCTCTCACAGTTTGGTGGTGGCCTACACAGGAAATGTGAACGCCCATCCTTCAGAGACAAGAGGAGCACTGTGGAAAGGCTTGCCTCTTGGGATCCTGGCCAACTTAGGCCAGCTCACCTGCCTTTTGCCTTCTACAGCCACCGTGTTCCAATAAATTCCACATTTAAGAGTCTGTGTTCTAGCTTAGTGAGAAGGCACAGTGACTGGGAGTAATATGGTTTGGTTCTGTGTCCCCACCCTAATCTCGTTTTGAATTGTAATCCCCACATGTCAAGGGAGGAACCTAGTGGGGGGTGACTGGATTATGGGGACGGATTCCCCCCCTTGATGTTCCGATAGTGAGTGAGTTTTCAAGTGGTCTTGTTTGGTAAGTGTCTGGCACTTCCCTCTTTCTCTCTTTCGCTCTCCTGTGACTGTGTAAGATGTGTCTGCTTCCCCTTCACCTTCCACCATGATTGTAAGTTTCCTGAGGCTTCCCCAGCCACGCGGAGCTGTGAGCCAATTACTCCTCTTTCCTTTGTCAATGACCCTGTCTCAGGGAGTATCTTTATAGCAGTGTGAGAGAGGACTAATCCTCTATTAGTCAGATGGGCTTCTGTTACTGATTGAGTTCACATGGGGAGAGGGGCCAAATGTGGAACGTGTTGGCCCTGGCTGGCAGAGGCCTGAGGGCCTTTCAGGGAGAGCCTGGCCTCGGCCAGGCAGAAGGAGAAACAGCAGAACCACTGTGCCGTGAAGGCCAGTGCAGGGATCAGGGAGAGAAAAGGGCTTAGGGAACCCAAGAGAGCGTCCCAGAAATCTCTGCAATGACAGAGCAACCTGAGGAAGAGCTTGACTGGCCCAGCAGACTCATGCTGCAGGCTGTGCCCGGGAGGGGGCCAAGAGCATGGGTGGCAGCTGAAAAGGTCAGCCAGTAGCCAGAGAAAGGTGGAAGGAAGGAATTGCCCCAGGACAAAAGGCAAAGTTAGGATCAATGTTAGTGAAACAACCCAAGTTGGATAGCTTTCCGAATCTGGGGCACAGCCATTCTTCACAGGGGACAAACGCATGCTTTTATAGCACCATGTTTATCATGCAGGTGAATCATACACTGATTTAAATTAGAAAACCAATTTCTAATATTTTCACCCCTAACAAGCCCATTTTTAATTAACTAGCACTCCAGCAGTAGTTCTTACCATGCTTACATGTTAAAAGCACTTGGGGTATGTTTTTGTTTTTTTTTTATCATTACCAATGCCCATGTTGCACCCCAAACCAACAGAATCAGAATTTTGGGGGGTGCCAGCTGAGAATTCAAAGTTTTCTAAAACTTCCCCAGGCAATTCCCATGTGCCGCCAGAGTTGAAAACCAGTGAATGTAACTGAATGTGGTATTATCATCCAAAGTGAAATATATGCAGATACAGATCTGGATATGTAGATGTATTTATAGATATATAAATCTGTAGATCTGTAGACATATAGATCTATATAGATATATAGAAATAGAAATTAGCTAAGCAAACTAGCTATTGTCATCTAACTTGACTAAACAAAAGCAGTTATTTTTTTCTTTTTGTCACCCTGAGAGGTATTTGGGAGATGACAGGAGTGCCCTCACCTGGCCCCAAGAAAGAACTTCTCAGTACACAGTTTTTGATAACTGTTTTTTCACCTATAAGGAAATAACAAAGAATTGTGCACATAGGGTATAATTCTATTAAACTAGAAATTAAACCCAACCTGTGAAGTTAGGAGGAATCAATAAGGTGGATGTGTTAGTTAGTAAAGATATTCAAATATTATCTTCCTACCAAAAAGACACCTGCACTCATATGCTTATTGCAGCATTATTCACAATAGCAAAGACATAGAATCAACCTAGGTGCCCATCAACAGTGGATTGGATTTTAAAAATGTGGTACGCTATACATTGTGGAGTACTATGCAGCCACAAAAAGAAGAATGAAATCATGTCCATTGCAGCAACATGGTTGCAGCTAGAGGCCATTATCCTAAGTGAAATAACACAGGAACAGAAAACCAAATACCACATGTTCTCACTTCTAAGGGGGAACTACACATTGGCTACATATGGACATAAAAACAGGAATTATAGACACTGGGGACTCCAAAAGTGGGAGGGAAAAAAGAGGGCAAGATGAAAAACTTTCTATTGGGAATTATGTTCACTATTTGGGTAACAGGTTCAATAGAAGCTTAAACCTCAGTATTGCACAATATATCCATGTAACAAACTGGCACATGTATTCCCTGAATTTAAAAAATAAAATAAAATAAAATATTCTCTTCTTGTTCAGTAGATGTTTATGTATTGAGACCAACTCAGCTGGAAATGAAACCTCAGTCAGTCTGCAGAGACCAAAGACAGGCCTGACTTTCTAAGACTGGGTGCAGGGTCGTATTGTAGCCCAGGAAGCAAGGGTCAAGCCAACAGTGGGTCAGGGGAATCCTGAATGCGTGTCAATACATGTGTCTTCACCTCACCTCTTTAAAAGGAACCTGATAGTACCTTACCTCATGCTAGCACATTGTTAAAGTTGTAGAATTATAAGATAGCATTCATTTGGTGCAGAAATCTGCTCTGTCTCTGGGTATCATACAAGAAGTTAAGAGTCCTTAACCAAAGCCCCAGAAAGTGAAATCCACTTTCCCAAGTAAGTGCGGAGGTTTTCCTGACTCTGGCTGATGTATATGATGTTAGAGCTTCACTGCTACATTCATCATTATTCTGTAAGAAAAAGCCCAAACAGAGGGTCCTAGGTTGTTAAACCCACAACAGGGATGCAAACTTTGCACAATATCATCAAAAAACGCCTCTTGGCCATACTCAGTGTGAGCCAAAAAGAAGCTAATAACTTAATCATTCTGGAAAATATCTCTTAATGAACACCATATTAACTTAATTAACTTAGAAAATCTCCAGGAAGTTACAGAAAGCCAGTAACAATGAGGGATTAAGAGAGCAGACTCAACCCCACTGCCTGGCTCCTTTAGTGAATGATCTTTGGCAAGTTACTCAGCCTCTGTTTCCCTCAGTTTCCTCCTTTGTAAAATGGGAATAAGAACGGTATCTATTTTATAGGGTTGTTGTAAGGATTAACTTCCGGTACAGATAAAATGCAAAGAACAGTGCCTGCCTGGATGAGTAAGTGCCAGGTGCCATCAATAAAGAGTTTGTTTTATCGGGCTAGGCATGGTGGCTCACGCATGTAATCCTAGCACTTTGGAAGACCAAGGCAGGTGGATCACTTGAGGCCAGGAGTTCAAGACCAGCCTGGCCAATATGGTGAAACGCCAGCTCCACTAAAAAAAAAATCAAAAATTAGCCAGGCATGGTGGTACATGCCTGTAATCCCAACTATTCGGGAGGGTGAAGCAGGATAATTACTTGAACCTGGGAGGTAGAGGTTGCAGTGAGCTGAGATGGTGCCACTGCACTCCAGCCTGGGCGACAGAGTGAGACTCATCTCAAAAAAAGAAAAAAAAGTTTTTGTTTTATTGTTTTAAATAAAAATGTTTCCATGTGCATTTTTGTTTTGTTTATTTAATTTTTATTGTGGTAAAAACACACACACACACACACAGGCCAGGTGTGGTGGCTCACACCTGTAATCCCAGCATTTTGGGAGGCCGAGGCAGGCGGATCACCTGAGGTCAGGAGTTCGAGACCAGCCTGGCCAACATAGGGAAACCCTGTCTCTACTAAAAATACAAAAATTAACCAGGCATGGTGGCAGGCACCTGTAATCCCAGCTACTCAGGAGGCTGAGACAGAAGAATCGCTTGAACCCAGGAGGTTGTAGTGAGCCGAGATCGTGCCACTGCACTCCAGCCTGGGCAACAAGAGTGAAACTCCGTCTCAAAAAAAAACCACATAAACTGTATTTACTATCTTAACCATTTGTAAGTATATAGTTCTGTAGTGCTAAGTGTATTTACATTGTGGATCACCAGAACTTTTTCATCTTGCAAAACTGAAACTCCATATCCATTAAACAATTACTCCCTTCTCCTCACCCCCAACTTTTGAAAACCACCATTCTGCTTCCTGTCTCTGTGAATTTGACTACAATAGGTACCTCATATAAGTGGAATCAGACAGTATCTGTCTTTTTGTGACCAGCTTATTTCACTTAACATAATTTGCTCAGGGTTCATCCGTGTTGTAGCATGGGTCAGAACTTCCTTCCTTTTTAAGGCTGAACAATGTTCCATTGTATGTGCATCCACATTTTACTTATCCTGTCATCCATGGATGGACATTCAAGTTGCTTCCACCTCTTGGCCATTGCAAATAGTGCTGCTACGAACATGGCTGTGCAAATCTCTCTTCAAAGACCTTGCTTTCAATTCTTTTGGATATATACCCAGAAGTGGGATTCCTGGACCATATGATAGTTCCATTTTTAACTTTTTGAGGAACCACCATGCTGCTAATTATTATGTTGGTCCATTCATTCATTCATCTAACCATCCATCCACCCATTGATCCATGCATTCTTTACCCATTTATGCTCCTTAATTTCTATATCAATCAGAATAAGTTAGGTTTTGCTGCAAAAACAACAACTACAAAATCTCAGAGGCTGAACACAACAAAAAATAATTTATGACTTTACATATGTCCCGTGCATATCAGTGAAGAGATTCTCTTCACCCTGGGCATTCAAAGATCCGGTTTGACTAAAGTTAATCTTGGCATGTGTTTCCAGAATCCTTGCATCAGTGGGGAAGGAATGTATCAATTCATGCACTGAACCTTAAAGCATCTGCCTGGAAAAGGCACATGTCATACCTACATGTGTCATTGGCCAAAGACCTACATATGTCATTGACAAAGGAAGTCGTATAGGCATATAGCACCCCAAATGGTGCAGGAAACTAATCCTACGACTTGCCCAGAAAAAGAAAAACTGGAAGTATTTGTTAAATGGCAATAATGATTTCCACAGTTCTCCACTCTAATACAGTCACATGTCCCCCCTCTCTCTGCCATAGTTACCTCTGCTTTCTACTGAAGGTAGTAAAGTAAAATATAAAAAGAACTAATGAAGGTCAAACTGCTGCACTCTTGCCCTTGTGTTTTATGAGCCTGAAATCTTGTTAACTTTTCTGAACCTGTTTTTCTTCATCTATGAAATGAGGCTACTAATTATTGGTCTGCCCTTCTCACATGAGTCTTCTAAGAAACAAATGACACTATTGAAATAAAAATAGTACATTTTAAACTTCTAGTTACAGGCCAAGCATGATGGCCCAAACCTATAATCCCAGGAATTTGGGAGGCTGAGGCAGGCGGATCACTTGAGCCCAGGAGTTTGAAACCAGCCTGGACAATGTGGCGAAACCCCATCTCTAAAAAAAAAAAAAAAAACAAAAAAACACAAATTAGTTGGTTGTCATGGTGCATGCCTGTAGTCCCAACTACTTGGGAAGGTGAGGTGGGAGGATCACCTAAGTCTGGAAGGTCAAGACTACAGTGAGCCGAGATCACACCAGACTACACTCCAGCCTGGGGGACAGCCTGTCTCAAAAATAAACAGATAAATCTCTAATTACAAAAAAAGAAGGCAATTCAAGATGTTATACTGTTCAATAAGATGTCTGTGACTTCCAAAGTAGTGAGAATGGTTAAACATAAGTGCTTTAACCTACTCAAAAAATAAAATTTGTACTGCCTTTAAATTTGTGCCGTTCAAAAAACTCATCCATTCAATACATATTTGTTGAGCAAACTACTTTGCCCAAAGAACTGGGAATTACTTTCAGTGTCTCCATTGACTACCATAATGTGGGGGTGGGGGAACTTTAGGAGGACCCTACTCAGCTGTAGAAACTTTCTTTGTGTGAAACTAACTGATCCATGGAGAAAATGAACATATGTAAAACTGAACAGTGAGAAAAGAGAAGCAAGAAAGAATAGAGAAGAAAGATTATGAGAAGAAAAGTTCAGACCAGCCAGGCACGGTGGCTCACGCCTGTAATCCCAACACTTAGGGAGGCCAAGGCAGGAGGATTTCTTGAGCCCAGGAGTTTGAGACCAGCCTGGGCAACAAAGGGAGACCCCACCTCTACAAAACAAAATTTAAAAATTAGCTGGGTGTGGTGGTGTGTGCCTCTGGTCCCAGCTACTCAGGAGGCTGAGGTGGAAGGATTGCTTGAGCCCTGGAGGTCAAGGCTGCAGTGAGCTGTAATCACACCACTGCACTCCAGCCTGGGTCAAAGAGCAGGACTTTGTCTCAAAAAAAAAGAAAAGTTCAGATGAAGTAAAAAATATTTTTAAAATCAAAATCTCAACAAAATGCTGCAGCCACATTAGCAATATTTCATCCACACACAGTTTTCATATTTTAGGCTTGTAATTCTACATGCTGGAAAACTGTATCTATGCTTTATAATTTTTATGCTGGAAAGTTGGATTTCATATGAAGGAAATGACTAAATCTGAAATACTCTAGGTTTAAAATGACTCACATATTCTTAAGATTAACAGAACCTTACACTGTCTTATGATTGTGTATTTGCACTTCAAAATTCCCAAAGGATTTAGCAGTCTGAGACCAAAGATTGGATTTTTTCAAATCACACAGAAGCTTTTAAATCCAAGTTTAGTCTAATTAAAGGATGAATGTGGCGAATTCCGTGAAACTTTCCAACACCATCGTGTTGCGCCAACTCAAGAAGGATTAGTGCAAGACTCACACAGATGTTTCCAAATTCAATAAAGGAAGGGTGGGTCCGAAGTGAGTCAATAACCCAGTTTTCTAGGCCCCTAAAGTTACCAGTTGAGCTTACTATAAGCTGTTCATTAGCTTGTGCGAGAAGTGTCAAGTTAATGACAAAAGGTGTTAATTCCATTTGGGTTATCAGCGGTGTTATTTCCCGAGCACAATCAAGACTTTATCAAAACAATTGGATGCCATTCCACTCTTTATTTCATGGGATTTCCAGGTCTAAACTTTGCCTCCAAATCTGCTATAATTGTTTCTAAATCTACTATTGGAGACAGCCTACTGAACTTGGGCTGGGAACCAATTTGAGAAGCAGGTGAAGCATGTCTCTGGAGTAAACCCCCGCCCTCTTTCTGTGACCTTCTCTTAGGTGACTTCCATATTTCTCTCTCCAGTCCTGAGTGCCATTCTGTATCCTTTATTTACTGTGAAATGTGTTATTCATCTCTTGCTAACCCATCCCATCAAGACTCCAAGAAAATGAAAACAAAATACACATCCTGTCCATACCAGGCTTTCTGTGAGGTATAAAAAATATAATATAGAGAGTATGATTTATGTCCAAACACTGCCTAATAAGTAAAAATTGATTAAGAAAGGTTGGTGTTAGGCCGGGCACAGTGGCTCATGCCTGTAATCCCAAGGCAGGTGGATCATCTGAGGTCAGGAGTTCGAGACCAGCCTGGCCAACATGGTGAAACCCCGTCTCTACTAAAAATACAAAAATTGTCCAGGTGTGGTGGCATGCACCTGTAATCCCAGCTACTCAGGAGGCTGAGGCAGGAGAATTATTTGAATCTGAGAGGCAGAGGTTTCAGTGAGCCAAGATCGTGCCACTGTGCTCCAGCCTCAGCAACAGAGTGAGACTCAGTCTTAAAAAAATTATTAAAAAAAAAAAAAGAAGCGAAGCAATATTGGTGTTAGACAAATCAACAAGCAAAAAAAAAATTCCATTAAAAAGTGGATAAATGACATGAACAGACATTTCTCAAAAGAAGACATACATGCAACCAACAAGCATATGAAAAAATGCTCAACATCACTAATCATTAGGGAAATGTAAATCAAAGCCACAGTGAGATACTATCTCACACCAGTCTGAATCACTATTACTAAAAAGTCAAAAAACAATAGATGCTGGTGAGGTTGCAGAGAAGACAGAATGCTTCTACACTGCTGGTGGGAAGGTAAATTAGTTCAGCCACTGTGGAAAGCAGTGTGGAGATTTCTCAGAGAACTTAACATAGAAATACCATTCGACACAGCAATCTCATGAATGGGTATATACCCAGAGGAAAAAAGTCATCCTACCATAAAGATACGGACACACGCATGTTCATTGCAGCACTCTTCACAATAGCAAAGATATGGAATTAACCCAGATGCCCATCAACAGGGGATTAGATAAAGAAAATGTAATGCATATACACCATGGAATACTAAGCAGCCATCAAAAAGAAAGAAATCATGTCCTTTGCAGCAACATGGATAGAGCTGGAGACCGTTAACCTAAGCAAATTAATACATCAACAGAAAGCCATATTCCACATGTTCTTACTTATAAATGGAAGCTAAACATTGAGTCCACATGGACACAAAGAGAGAAACAACAGATGCCAGGGCCTACTTGAGGATGGAGGGTAGGAGGAAGGTTAGGATTGGAAAACTACCTTTTGGGTATTATGTTGATTACCTGAATTGCAAAATTATCTGTATATCAAACCCCTACAACAGGCAATTTACCTGTGTAACAAATCTGCACTTGTATCCCCAAACCTAAAATAAAAGTTAGAAAGAAAGAAAGAAGTGTTGGTGTCAGAAACACATCCAGGGTATTGGCAGAGTCCACCTGCCCAGGGAAGTTTTTCAACACCCCATTCATCCTACCACTGAGGAAGCTGCATAACTCCTTGACCTTGGCCTGACCCAAAGGAGTCTGCTGCACCTCTGATGGCCCCATTGGAGGTATGAAGTTGCTGACATGTCAGTTAGTCCTGACTTGGGCCCTTTAGTCCCCTCTGATCATACACTCACAAGGCAAACCACCATTCCCCCAAGTGTTCAAAGCCACCAGGCTCCATCCTGCACCCTAGCCAGCGTGCTGCTCCCCCAGCCTCTCTGCAACTCCAAACGCACTGTCCTGAACCTCTGGTCCTTGATCTCCTCAAGCACAGGAGCCGCCTGTCCCGCTGTTCCCTGCCTGGGCTCCCTTCTTTGTCTCTCGCTGTCTCTTACACAAACTTGGTCTTTGTGACTCCAGTCTGTTCTCCTTTTCTTCCTCTTGCCTCTTTGGTGCCAACTCTTTCTCCCCTCCAACCCCGTGAAGTCCACACAGGCCCTCATTTCATATTCCCCCTCCTTTTCTCATCATTTCTCTAAGCTGTCATGCTCAACAGTGGGTAATGAGCTGACACAGGGAGGCCTTCTGCCGGCCTTCTTCCCAAGGCATTTGGATGGTAAAAGGGATCCCAGCTTCAAGACTTAATTCAAAACCTGAGTCGTTGGTGGGTAATTTTTTTTTTTTTTTTTTTTTTTTTTTGAGCCAGAGTTTCGCTCTGCTACCCAGGCTGGAGTGCAGTGGTGTGATCTCGGCTCACTACAACCTCTACTTCCCGGTTTCAAGCAATTCTCCTACCTCAGCCTCCCAAGTAGCTGGAACTACAAGCACCTTTCACCACACCTGGCTAATTTTGTATTTTTAGTAAAGACAGGGTTTCACCATGTTGGCCAGGCTGGTCTCGAACTCCTGACCTCAAGTGATCCACCTGCCTTGGCCCCCCAAAGTGCTGGGATTACAGGCATGAGCTACTGTGCACAGCTTTGGTGGGTAATTTCAAATACCAACCATAAGTGGGTCCTACCCAACTAGAAAAAAATTCCAAGAGTTACAGACATAACATTTCACACCTCTGTCTTAATGGCTTGCTAGGGGAGGTTTTACATCACTTTTGGTATTTAAGTTCTATAAAAAGACAATGATATAGTTTGGAAGTTTGTCCCTTCCAAAACTCATGTTGAAATGGGGTCCCCAGTGTTGGAGGTGGGGCCTGGTGGGAGGTGTTTAGGTCATGGGGGTGGATCCCTCTTGAATGCCTTGGTGCCCTTCCATGGTAGTGAGTGAGTTCTCACTCTGTTCGTTCATGCTAGAGCTGGTTGTTTAAAGAACCCTGGCATCTCTTGCTCTCTCTCTTGCCCTTTGATGCACCTGCTTCCCTTTCATCTTCTGCCATGAGTGGAAGCCTCCTGAGGCTTTCCCAAAAGCAAATGCTGGCACCATGCTTCCTATACAGCTTGTAGAACCATGAGCCAAATAAACCTTTTTTCCTTATAAACTACCCAGTTTCAAGTGTTCCCTTATAGTAACACAAATGGACTAATACATGTAATTAACAAGGTTTAATTTACTCATGCCCAGAGCAGATTCTGTGCATGCTGGGAATCCGATAAAGGGACCAAGTGCATGCAAACTTCTACACACTTGATAGGAAGAGAGAAGCACTGGATGCATTCTCAGCTTGCGAATCCTCTTATGATTACAAAATCAGAAGTTGGCAAAGGTAATCCATAAGCATCCTCTCTCTGTTCTTGGACCAGAAAAAAAGTGATGAAAAAGCCTTGAGCAAGCCAAGGGTTGATTAAGGTGTGGGAAGGGCTTTTCTCCCGTTATAAGCCAAAAGCTTGCAAGGGGCGGTAGGGTGTGGAGAAAGAACAAAAGGTTTTTTTGTTGTTGTTTTTTGTTTTTGTTGGTTTTGTTTTTGTTTTGAGACAGAGTCTCACTCTGTCACCCAGGCTGGAGTGCAGCGCAATCTCGGCTCACTGCAACCTCCACCTCCCAGGTCCAAGCGATTCTCCTGCCTCAGTCTCCCAAGTAGCTCGAATTACAGGTGCGCACCACCATGCCCAGCTAATTTTTGTATTTTTAGTAGAGGCGGGGTTTCACCATGTTGCCCAGGCTGGTCATGAACTCCTGACCTCAAGTGATCCTCCTCCCTTGGCCTCCCAAAGTGCTGAGATTATAGGTGTGAGCCACTGCTCCTGGCCGAGAACACGAGTTTTCAAAGTCACATCTAGATTCTGACTCCAGTTTCCTCCTGTGTGTGGCCCTGAGAAAATTACCAGTGAGGCTCAGTTTCCTCATCTGTAAAATAGAGCTCATGGGGCTACTGAGAGGATTGAATGCCTGGACCTGTGCTCTCAGTATGCAGTAGGCACTCAATGAACACCCTCCTCCTCCAGCCATGGGATACCAGGTGATTTTTTGTGTGTTCCTGGTCAGCTTCCTTCCCCAGTCCTTACAGCAGCTATTGCAATAGCTAACTTGACTCTTCCCAAAGCTGCTATTCTTGGTGCCTCAACCCTCTCCCCTACCACACTGGCCTCTAGAAACCCCTCATCCTGCAATGAACAGCCTCGTTTGCTCCCATCTTTGCCCCTTTCCTCTGAAGGAGTCTTCTCCCTTCTCCTCAAAGCCAATCCCGTGACCTGTGTTCTCTGTTGGATCCTCTGTCAACTCTCGCAACTATTCTGTTATTGCTTCCCTCTTTACCTTCTGCCTACAAACCTTCCCTGTGTGCTGCCTCTGCCTCATGGGCTTTGCATTTCTCTTATATCAAAACTAATTCAGGCTGGGCATGACGGCTCACTCCTTTAATGTCAACACTTTGAGAGGCCAGACAGGAGGCTCACTTGAGGCCAGGCGTTCAAGACCAGCCTGGGCAACATAGCAAGACTCTGTCTGTACAAAAATTTAAAAGTTTTTAAAAATTAGCTGGGCATGGTGGCATGCACCTTTAGTCCTAGTTACTCAGAAGGCTGAGGTGGGAGGATCACCTGAGTCTGGGAGGTTGTGGCTGCAGTGAGCCAAGATCATGCCACTGCACTCCACCCTGAGTAACAGAGTGAGACCCTGTCTCTAAAAATAAATACATAAAGTAAAATAAAATAAACTCAAAAAATTGTTGATTGAACACCTATCCGGTCCTGACACTACACCATATATGGAGGCTACAGTGGGAACTTGGACTTTGCAGAACATCCCCTATTCACAGTTTCCTCAACTGTACATGGAGTCCCACTATAAAACTGTGCCTGTCTCAAAGGGGTGTGATGATGGGTTAAATTAGAAAGTCCAGACAAGGCACAAAACGCTGCCTGGTACATGGTAGGTCCTCATTTCATGTTAGAATGCAGCGAGAAATACAGTAAGGTAAACAGGAAGTCAGGAAACGGGGTGGAATGTGGTGGGCAGAGAGAAGTCCCCATCGAATGTCTTCTCTGTCCATAGGAAGCGAGGCCACCTGCCAAGGTGTGAGAAGAGCAGAAGAGGCTTACATGGATGATGGGAAGCTCGGACAGTGAATGAATTAGGAACATGGAGGTGAGGATACAGTGCTGGAGGCCCTCCTGGAGACCACAAATGTAGAATGGCACCAATTTGGTGCTTGGACCATTGTCTCCAAAAAGGCCAGCCACTGGGCATCCCCTCCAGCCACACGTTCTTCCCAGCACTTGACGAGCTGTCCCTGGAACGCCTTGTGTATTTGCGTCTAGAGAGTAAAATTGGCAGCCGGGCACAGTGGCTCACACCTGTAATCCCAGCACTTTGGGAGGCCAAGGCAGGAGAATCACTTGAACCCGGGAGGCAGAGGTTGCAGTGAGCCAAGATTGCGCAACTGCACTCCAGCCTGGGAGACAGAGCGAGACTCTGTCTCAAAATAAAATAAAATAAAATAAAATAAAATAAAATAAAATAAATATATGTATATATGTATGTGTATATATTAGCATGCTGAAATTTAAACAATATTTCCCAAAAAAGTAAATTTAACCTGGCAACAACAACAGAAATGGAAACAACAGCGTAAGGATGGTATTTAAAAAAAAGAAAAATCCATTTAACACCAACTCATTCATGCTTACAAAAATAGCGTTAAGTAAATAAGTAACTCTGCTCTTTCCATCAAATAAGATAGTGTAGGACACCAGAATGTTCCCCTCTCGGAATGACATAGAAATACAAGGGAGGGACACGGGGGTCCAGGGAAAGGCTAATTTGGTCAGAGAAGGAGGCAGCTCTGTAGGCTCACCTGGGGCAGATCCAGACGGTCCATCCCTCAGAGGTTGTAGGTGGAAACCTGGGTGGTATCAGGAGAGGAAACACAGGACAAGAGCTTGGAGTTTAACAGAAATATGTCTGCACAGGCTGGGCGTGGTGGCTCACACCTGTCATCCCAGCACTTTGGGAGGCTGAGGCAGGAGGATCACTTGAGGTCCGAAGTTCCAGACTAGCCTGGCCAACATGGAGAAACCACATCTCTGCTAAAAATACAAAAATTAGCTGGGCATGGTGGTGGACGCCTGTAATCCCAGCGACTCAGGAGGCTGAGGCAGGAGAATCACTTGAACTTGGGAGGCAGATGTTGTAGTGAGCCAAGATTGCACCACTGCACTTCTGCCTGGGCAACAGAGCAAGACTGTGTCTCAAAAAAAAAAAAAAAAGGGAGAAGAAAAGAAAAGAAACAGAAAAGAAACATGTCAGCACAGATATTTGAGAACCTCAGGAACACCATAGATCTGCTGTTTGTCCCACTGACCTGGTCACCACACAGGGTAAATAAATCAGGGCAGTTTTGCTGTAAGATCTGCTTCTTCAGCTGGAAAACAAAAGAATTCACCCCCCTGGGAGTGATCGTAGGGATCCTGCTATCCTTCCTGATGCCACCTGCTTTCCCTGTCCCTTAGGGTCACCAAGGAGGTGTGGGGTTGTCTGAAGCAGAGGGAGACTGGGCAGCCACACCCAAGGACTCGAAAGCGGCTCTGTGTGATGATTCCACAATCTGTCTCCAGCCAAACTCCTCTCTGTGCTCGGATCCAGCAGTCCAACTTCCTACTCAGCATCTCCTCCAAAATACCCCAAAGGCAACTTCACCTTGACATTTCTACACCAGAAACTGACCGGGCGTGGTGGCTCATGCCTGTAATTCCAGCACTTTAGGAGGCCAAGGCAGGAGGATTACTCGAGCCCAGGAATTCAAGACCAGCCTGGGCAACATAGCAAGACCCCATCTCTAAAAAAAAAAAAAAAATTAAAAACTAGCTGGATATGGTGGTGCATGCCCATAGTCTCAGCTACTCAGGAGGCTGAAGTGGGAGGATCACGTGTCCCCAGGAGTTCAAGGCTGCAGTGAGTTATGGTCATACCACTGCACTCAGCCTGGGTGACAGAGCAAGACCCTGTCTCTAAAAAATAATGGTAATAAAATAAATTGTAAAAATAAAAAAAAACAACAGAAACTATCAGCAATCCATCTCCTCCTCCAGGGTGTTCTACTTGGGTGAATATGACTATATTAGTCTGTTCTCTCACTGTTAATAAAGACATAGCCCAGACTGGGTAATTTATAAAGAAATAGAGGTTTAATGGACTCACTGTTGCACATGGCTGGGGAGGCCTCACAATCATGGTGGAAGGCAAAGGAAAAGCAAAGGCACATCTTACATGGTGGCAGACAAGACAGCGTGTACAGGGGAACTGCCCTTTATTAAACCATCAGATCTCATCAGACTTATTCATATAACAAGAACAGCATGGGAAAGACCCACCCTGATAATTCAATTACCTCTACTAGGTCCCTGCCATGATATGTGGGGATTATGGGAGCTAATGAGATTTGGGTGGGGACACAGCCAAACCATATCATATGCTGGCACCATGCTTCCTATACAGCTTGCAGAATCATGAGCCAAATAAACCTCTTTTCCTTATAAATTACCCAGCTTCAGGTGTTCCTTTATAGCAATACAAATGGACTAATACAGGCAAAGTTCATCGGGGACCAAAAAAATTAACCCAGGCTCTCCTCCCTCTTCCTCATTCCTGCCCCCCATCCCCTGATCCAGCCAGTCACAAAGCCTTGCATATTCCCTGGATATCTGCCTCCCTCCTCCCCAGGCGAGGATGGGCCTGAGTACCTCGAAGCTGAAATAGAGCAGATCCGGCAGGGGGCCGGGGGAATATGGGAAGACCATCTCTTCATCAAAGCAGTGGGGAGCCACAGGCTGGAATGGTACATTTGGGTTTCTGTGTTTAATCTGGACTGAAATGTATTCCAGAAAGGTAATTTCCTCATTTATGGAGGAAAATTAAGTTTTAAAAATCACAACGTAAAAGCTGCACATAGCTGATCAAGCACCTTTAAAAGTTGGCTCAATTTGTGAAGCTTATTGAACTTAAATTCTCAAGCATGTGAGCATAACTACTTTAATAACTGGTTAATTACTAACATGTAATTAACATGCTTCATCTATGACTGTTAAACACGCTTGTGGAAAACGTCACTGAGGCTCACTAGGGAGAGCTCAGGTACCCTGGCTACCTAGAGGGAGGTTCCTGAAGTTCAAGACAAAGCGCCAGAGAGAAACAGCATCTTCAAGTTTAGTGGTTTTTGGTTTTTGTTGTTGTTGTTCTTATTGTTGTTGTTGTTTTTTGAGACAGAGTCTCGCTCTGTTGCCCAGGCTGGAGTGCAGTGGCACGATCTCGGCTCACCACAAGCTCCGCCTCCCAGGTTCACACCATTCTCCTGACTCAGCCTCCCGAGTAGCTGGGACTATAGGCGCCCGCCACCATGCCCGGCTAATTTTTTTTTTTTTGTATTTTTAGTAGAGACGGGGTTTCACTGTGTTAGCCAGGATGGTCTCAATCTCCTGACCTCATGATCCACCCACCTCAGCCTCCCAAAGTGCTGGGATTACAGGCATGAGCCACCACGCCTGGCCTTTTCTTTCTTTCTTTTTTTTTTTTTTGAGAGATGGGGTCTCACTATGTTGCCCAGATTGGTCTCAAACTCCTGGCTTCCAGCAGTCCTTCTACCTGAGCTTTCTGAGTAGCTGAGATTACAGGCACAAGCCACTACACCCCGCTGGTTTAGCATCACAAGATCAACCTGTGAAATTATGGCAGCTTCACAAATAGTAATCTGCATGTGGTTGACACTATTAATAGCTTAATAATCCATTGAGAATGTATGTGAACTTAATTTTTAGGCTGGAAGCAGTGGCTCACACCTATAATCTCAGCATTTTGGGAGGCTGAGGCAGGAGGCTCCCTTCAGCCCAGGAAGTCAAGACCAGCCTGGGCAACACAGTAAGACCCCATCTCTACAAAAACATTTCTTTTTATATTAGTTGGGGATGGTGGCGCGTGTCTGTAGTCCCAGCTACTTGGGAGGCTGAGGCAGGAGGATCATATGTGCCTAGGAATTTGAGGCTGCAGCGAGCTTTGATCACACCACTGCACTCAGCCTGGACAGCAGAGAGAAACACTGTTCCTAAATTTTAAAAATTAAAAATTTCTAGAAAACTATTTAAAGGAAATAATCCAAAATGTGAAGGAAAATCCTGTGTACCCATGCTGTGTTATTTTGTAACATCAAAAGGCTAGCAGTATTTTGTTCAACAGAGGCTGGGGCAGATGATCAGACAGCCATCGCTTCATAGACTCCTGCCACCATTCGAAGTGGTAAGTTATGAAGACTGGAGAACCATGGAAAATGTGTATGATGTATTAGCAAGTGAAAAACACAGAATGGACATAATACAAATACAACTATAAATTTTAAAACCTAAGAGGCTAAGAATATAAACAGGTTGATATGTTATTTAGGGAGGATGGGGCATTATTTCTAAACTTCTGTGTTTTTATATTTCTATCATAATTGTCTAACTTCAAGAAATGATTGCCACTGTAATCTGTCATCAAAAACCAATTCTATTCTTATTCTATAGGTCACCTGCAGACCCTTCATATTGCCTCAAATGACACTATTAAAAATGCATTCTGGGCTGGGTGTGGTGGCTCACACCTGTAATCCCAACACTTTGGGAGGCTGAGGCAGGATAATTGCTTGAGACCAGGAGTTTGAGACCAGCCTGGGCAACACAGTGAGAACTCATCTTTACAAAAAATGTTTTAAAATAAAAAGATTAGCTAGGCCTGTAGTCCTAGCTACTCAGGAGGCTAAGGCGGTAGGCTCACTTCAGCCCAGGAGTTTGTGGCTGCAGTGAGCTATGATCACACCATTGTATTCCAGCCTGGGCGACAGAGCAAGACCCTGTCTCTGAAAAATAAAAAAACAGAGATGCATTCTATTGGGCCCCTGAGCCCTCTGTTAATTTGCTGATGCTCCTAGAAAGCTTATACATTAAGCTGTTGTGAGCAGTAATCCCTTCTACCCGATGACCTTCAAGAAAGCAACCTGGAGCAATGGAATTCTAGAGCCAAAACCTGCTCAGAATGAGAAGATTTAGCCACCAATTGACCAGATTGTTTTAGACGAGTTACATCGCCTTCCTGCACCTTCATTTTTCAGGTGTGAAATGAGCTAGAGTCAAGTCACCAATTTCCCTGGCAAGTTGAGGACGCTATGATGGGACTCGGGCTCAGGAGGTTCTTGAGGGGCACAGTCTGGGTGAGGAGCCATGGTTAGACAGGCAGTGAGGGGGCAGTGCCTGAGGGAGGGGCGCCAAAGGGAGTCGGGGTCACAGGAGGGTATAGGAGGATAACACCAAATCCCAGCTTCTCCCATGCCCCAGCGGAGTGATGCAGGCAGCGCCCCCATTCCTTTACTTGATGCAAGAAGCTTTGCTGTCTGACTCAATGTTGGCTGACTTACAAAAATATAAAAGTTTCAATATTCAAGTCTGAGACATGAAATTTAATTTTGTATCATATGCTGCCTTCATATAGTTCCCATTTATTTCTTGGAAAGAGATCCTTAAATGTATGTATAGTCTTTCCTTATCACTCTCTTGCCCCTCATCCCATGCCTTGCACAAGCATCACCTACATCAAAGATGCTCAACAAATGTGCAGAATGAGTCATCCTCAATGTTTACACTTATCTTACTTCCAAAGGGGTAAAAACCCCTTAATCCACATTCCGACAGGAAATATCATTTCATATTTCCAAGTAGAAGAGATGACATTTTTGTTTCATAGATAAGAAATAAAGGTACACAAAGAAAAGCTCATGTTTGCAGAGTCCTTAGCTAATGAGACAATGAAAATATTTCCTAGTCCATTGAGTACAAGTCTTTTTTTTTTCAGAGACAGGGTCTCACTCTGTCACCCAGGCTGGAGTGCAGTGGCACAATCATAGCTCACTGCAGCCTCAAACTCCTGGGCTTAAGTAATCCTCCCACCTCAGCCTCCCGTGTAGCTAGGACTTATTGTTTTTTACTTTTTGTAGAGACAGGGTCTTGCTATGTTGCCCAGGCTGGTCCTGACCTCCTGGCCTCAGTCAAACCTCAAACTTCAGCTTTCCAAAGTCCCAAAGTGGTGGGATGACAGATGTGAGCCCCACACCCTGGCCCCATTGAGTGATGTCTTTTTTTTTTTTTTTCTGGAGACAGGGTATCACTCTGTACTCTGGAGGGCACTCCAGGCTGGAGTGCAGTGGCGTGACCACAGCTCACTGCAGCCTCGACCTCCCTGGGCTCAGGTGATCCTCCCTCATCAGCCTCCCAAGTAGCTGGGAACACAGGTGTGCATCATCTTGACCAGCTGCTTTTTGTAGTAATTTTTGTAGAGACAGGGTCTTGCTATGTTGCCCAGACTGATCCTGAACTCATGACCTCAAGCAATCCTCCCGCTTCAGCCTCCCAAAGTGTTGGGATTACAGGTGTGAGCCACTGCACTCAGCCCCATTGAATGCATGTCTTAACCACTCTATTAACTTCTCTCTAAAGAAGCATTTTGGCCACACAACAAAATTTGATGAACTTGCTTTAGCATAAGACTTTTAAAATTTTTCCTTAAAATGACCAATCCCACAAACTACATCTATAAAATTACTGAATTTTCATTTCTGAAGGAAATAGCACTAGATATGCTTAGTTTAAACTTTAATAACACCTGAGGTTTTTTTTCCATATCAAATATCCCAGGTAAGGAAGACCAGTTGATAGACATTTAATTGCTTCACAAATATCATTTCTGAGATCAAAAGCACGTTAACTTTTTTTTTTTTTTTGAGACAGAGTCACACTCTGTCGCCCAGGCTTGAGGGCAGTGGTACCATCTCAGCTCACTGCAACCCCCACCTCCTGGGTTCAAGAGATTCTCGGGCCTCAGCCTCCCAGGTAGCTGAGATTACAGGTACCCAGCACCATGCCCGGCTAATATTTTTAGTAGAGACAGAGTCCTTCACCATGCTGGCCAGGCTGCTCTCGAGCTCCTGACCTCAGGTGATCCGACCGCCTCAGCCTCCTATAGTGCTGGGATTACAGTCGTGAGCCACCATGCCCAGCCAAAAGCACTTTAACTTTCTAAAGCAACAAGAAAAGGGGGGAAGTTTCTCAAATGTAAAATAACACATCATTTCATAAACCGAGGGGAGGAAAATCTTATACACTTTGCAGGGACTTTATTTGACAAGTTACAGCCAAGAGGGTGTTTTTGTTGCTGTTTAGTAAACAGCTGGAAGGAGGAATCTGAAATGAGGAAGAGAGGATATCTGTGCTCTGTTGGCAGGTGCACTAGACAGCCTCCCGAGCAGCCACACCGTGTGGGTGTGCAAGCTCTACCAGTTCCACCACTGTCTCTCTCACCTGTCATCTTTTATTACAAATCTGCAGCACAAGCCACACCTTTGCAGCTTGCAGCCTGATCAGGTAAAAAGCCAGAGAAAAGGACAACCAAACACTTGTGGGCAAAAATAAAGAAAATAATTCGAATTAACAAGCTGCCTCTGAACCCCGAAAAGATAAATCATTGTCTTGTTCAATTAGTCCCTTCCCAGGAAGCCAGCTTGCCCACAATTTCTCCATTATCCCCAACTTTCTCACCCATTCTGCTATTCAAAGTCACCTACTAGAATACCCAGATCCATTGCTGAGAATTCTTAGATCCTGCTTTTTCTGGCCAGAGAGAAATAAGAAAGAAGAATGAAAAGAATGAGCTCATGAACACGGTCAAGAGGTACCACCAGAATTAATTAACATTTTATTTTGGAGCTTACAAATATTGCACCTTAAATATGGTCCAAGAGAGGCCTCTGCTGGTAAGAGAGAGTGCAGGAAGGACGTTGCAATGTCCTAAGTCTGTGGACATCCTTCTCCCCCAAGCAAGCGTTGTACATCACACATTCCCAAAGAGAAGCATTTGCAGTGATCTGTCCAAGCATTGGTGATTTTGCAGCCTAGGAAGCACCTACGATGACACATGGCTATGTCCCTCTCAGGGGCTTCCACGTCCACCATCTCATCTGAACTTCCCAGCAAGCCCATGAAGTAAGGTAGCTGTGATCTGCCCATCTCAGCACTGAGAAGATTAAGGTTCACAGGAGTTGGGGGAATCAGGCAGAACCGAAACAATGACCTTTTGCTTAAACTCTTCCCACCACAGGTTGCTGATGCTTATGTGATAAGTCGATTATTTTTTTCTTTTTTAAGACAGGGTCTTGTTCTGTCACCCAGGCTGGAGTGTGGTGGCACGATTGTAGCTCACTGCAGCCTCAAACTAAGCTACAGTGATCCCTCTACCTTAGCCTCGTAAGTAGCGGAGACCACAGGTGCGTGCCACCAAGCATGGCCAAGTTTTGTTTTGTTTTGTTTTGTTGTTTTGCTGTGTTGCCCAGGCTGGTCTTGATCTCCTGGGCTCAAGCAATCCTCCCACCTCGGTCTCCCTAAGTGATGGGATTATAGGCATGAGCCACTGAGCCTGGCAGGTTGATTTTTTTTTTTTTTTAGCTCCATAGAAAAAAAAACAGGAAAGGAAAAGAACCAAAAAATTAACTTCTAGGTGCAGGGTCATGCCAGTTGGGCGTACTCTTTATAATCACCTGATCTTTTAAAGGTGTCATGCACTTCTCTGTTTCACCCACCTGGGGAGGGAGGAAACTCCAAAACCAAAATCTAGTTTTTCCATTGACTTTTAATTTCCTGGATTCTCCATGAAACACCTTCCAACCAGGTTCAGTTTATCAGAACATGTAGTCCCTTCTTTTGGCTCTGCTGTGTGCCCCTCCCATCTGCCCCTCTCAGGTCACAGAGATGGAGCTCAACTAGAAATTTCCCCGAGAAAGAGGTTTGCTCTCTGATGGACAAACAGATCAAAGCTCTGTTTGCTCTGAGGGAGCAAACAGATCAAAGCATGCATTTCGAATGCAGGGAGAAAGCTATCTGTTTTGTCCCTAGGAAACATTTATCCCACAGCACAGCCAAAATACAGCTGGTGAGATTTACTAGATTCTGTTGCTGGCCCCACTCCTAGAGCTGGAGTGTTGGGGTCCACAGTGGGAGGTGTGTACATTGCAGAGGATCTTTAGCAAATTTGTGCCTGAGAAATCCAATGTCCCCTCTCCTCATCTGTAAAGCAACCCCCTCCTCAGCACTTCTTACCTGAAACCAAAATTACACTCAGAAAATTCAAAATAGGTTCCCTCAGCGGATTGCAATATCCTACCAAAACAGAGTCACATCTGTTAATTCTATAAATGCTGTTCTCGGCTAAGCACAAACTGCTTTATAAGCATAATCTCACTGATCTTCATAATCTTTCATTTTGTCTCTGCAGGTAGCCAGCTGCACGTGTCAAGCCAGAGCTTGAATTGCCATTAGAATCCACCTACAGATTGCCCTGGGAAGAGATTTCTAAATTAAACTCCCCAGAAAGTTAGACGCCAATTATCTCATGAGATTTTTGTGCTGTGCAAAGACCAAAGAGCTCAACTAAAACCCCAACGTGCACACACTTAAACCAATTAAGATCCCTTTTTATTTAAAATGATTGTAATTAAGAGGACACTCCCTCAATATGAGATTTGGGTTCTGTGCCTAATTCAGTCAGTTGTCTTTGTCCTTGTCACCTCCTTTCTCTTCTCTCCACCACCATCTGAGGACCTGAGCCAATGGCCCTGCTCAGCTTTCCCTAGAGACCAGTTTGTTGGTCACTAGGATTTATTAAATGCCTCTTACAGGGCAGGTGCCCAGATAATAATTGCTGCCTTAGGCAAACACTGGCTACCTGTTCACCCCAACTTTTCCTCCTTCTTTCTGCGCATGTAGCTAAGCCACCTTTCATAGCTTCCCTTGCAGCTGGGACTGAGTTCTACTTAGAGAACGTGGCCAGCGCCATCTCGAGGCCAGGCCTAGGGAGCCCCTATTGTCCTCCCCGCAAGAAATCAGTAACATGAGCAGAAGATGTTGGTGCCACAGGATGGAGGGGTCCCTGAGTCACCACCTGGAGCATAGCTGCTCACACCAGGAATAGACACTTTGTACTCATTGAGGCTTCTTCTGCATTAAGTGGCTAAAATTGGGGTTTGCCGGTTATTGCAGCTGCAATTACATTAACTTGCACAGTCTCTGCCCTAAGCCATAGGATCCTCCTTAACTGTCTGTGGAAGGGATGCAGACATGCGAGCCATTTTTCAGTCATTCGGTGTCAACATGCAAAGACACGGATTGAAGTCTGGAAAAGGAAGATGGAAGCCACATGATTTTCTACTGTTTTTAGCCTTTTGAATATAGTCTAAGATTTTTTTTCCCCTCTCCCTTTAAAGGACTGGAAAAGCTCTTTTTTTTTTTTTTTTTTTGAGATGGAGTCTCGCTTTGTGGCCCAGACTGGAGTGCAGTGGTGCAATCTCAGCTCACTGCAACCTCTGCCTTTCGGGTTCAAGCAATTTTCCTGCCTCATCCTTCTGAGTAGCTGGAATTACAGGCATCCGTCACCATGCCCAGCTAATTTTTGTTTTTTTAATAAAGACAGGTTTTCACCATGTTGGCCAGGCTAGTCTCAAAACCCTGACCTCAAGTGATCCGCCCACCTGGCCTGCCAAAGTGTTGGGATTACAGGCGTGAGCCACCACACCTGGCCATGGACTGGAAAAAAATCTTTAAGGCTTTACAACCTAAGTTACAAAACTAGGAGAGATCTTCAGTGCCCAGTGTGACAGCAAAGAGAAGAGAAATAAGGACACCTGCATTAGCACATTCCACAGCATAGTCACGGTCACGTGAGCATGACCAGCCAAGTTCTAGGATAGGCCATGCCTCTTCTGACACCTTGCTCCTCATGGGACGGGGTCCCATCAGATGTCTTCTGTGGCCCCCAGGTCTGTCCACTCAGCTCTCAGCCATCACTCAGTAGAGTATGAAGTTGAGGACTCGTCCTCGGACCACCTGCCTCCACTTTCCACGTGGTCCCTGACTCTTTTATGACAGCTCTTCTGTTCTTAACATTTATTTTTATGGAAAATAAAATGCTGGAGTGAAGGGTGGTGCCTCTCCCCAGCCCTTCCATACATGGAAACCAGGGAATAGTCATCTATTTCTGAGCTACACCCAGATGCCTCTTTCCTCTCTTGATTAGGGTGAGCAGGTTAATCCTGTCCCATAGCAAACCTCTGCTCTACTGTATCCTCCTACCTGCCTGATTTCGGCCAGCACTAAACTTGAAGGTCACACCTGAACTTGGGCAGCACCTAGATCAAAGCCAGAATGACACTAAGCAGTGCAGAAAGGCCTGGATCGGAAGCCCAGCCCAAGACCTGCGGCATTTGTCTGTTGCTACACAAAAAGTCATAAACACAGACTGTGCATTCCACAATACCCACAGTTTTTTTCATCTTCCCCACTGGAACATGAAGATTCTCAGGGAAGTCTGAATTGTATGACTCTCTAAAGGGCACAGACAAAGCCTGAATTAAAAAACTTGTGACAAATCTATGGTCACTCCTCTACAGCAAAAGCACTCCCTCTATGCGGTGAGGACAGCCACCCAGCATACACACACAGGGACAACTCATCCTACATCCTGTGCACTTTACACCCATACACGGGAACAGTATCAGATGCCCCTGGAAACCAACTGTTTATTAGCCATATTTTCTGCATTTGTCATTTCTGCTCTAACACAATGATGTATGAAGCGTGATATTATAATGCAATCAGCATTAATTTTTGATATGGTTTGGCTGTGTCCCCACCCAAATCTCATCTTGATTTGTAGCTCCCATCATCCCTGCGTGTTGTGGGAAGGACCTTGTAGGAGGTAATTGAATCATGGGGAAGGTTTTCCCATGCAATTCTCGTGATAGTAAGTCTCACAAGATCTGACCGTTTTATAAAGGGGAGTTCCCCTGCACATGCTCTCTTGCCTGCCATGTAAGATGTGACTTTGCTCCTCCTTCACCTTCCGCCATGATTGTGAGGCCTCCCCAGCCATGTAGAACTGTGAGTCCATTAAACTTCTTTTTCTGCCAGGTGCGGTGGCTCATACCTGTAATCCCAGCACTTTGGGAGGCCAAGGCGGGTGGATCACAAGGTCAGGAGATCGAGACCATCTTGGCTAACACAGTGAAATCCCGTCTCTACTAAATACACAAAAAATTAGCCAGGTGTGGTGGCGGGCGCCTGTAGTCCCAGCTACTTGGGAGGCTGAGACAGGAGAATGGCCTGAACCCAGGGGGCGGAGCTTGCAGTGAGCAGATATCACGCCACTGCACTCCAGCCTGGGCGACAGAGTGAGACTCTGACTCAAAAAAAAAAAAAGAAAACTTCTTTTTCTTTATAAATTACCCAGTATCGGGTATTTCTTCATAGCGGTATGAAATGAACTAATACAATTTTATTAAGGGGTTTGGAGAAGTTTAATGTCTCTCTATTTTTGACATGCATAACAGATGTTTCTTTCATCCAAAGCAGAAAAACAAAAAAAACCTCATGATAATTCACTAGAAAATATTAAACATTAATAAACTATACTAATGGAAGAAAACATGCCTTACATGAAACATATGGCAAAGAATTTGATAATAGAACCGGGAGAGTGTGGCCGACAGAACCATCTCACCATCATCAGAAAGCTGACTCCAGTTCATCACTTTAGTTTTGTTGGGGCATTTGAACGTCATGTGTTTTGTTTTTTTTTTAAATAAAATGTGTTATCTAAATTAAATCCGTACTGAGAATATATCTCCTGTAATGTCCGTGTGTCCCCAGGCCAGCTCGCCCTTCTGCCTGAGGACCTTCGTTGAGTGATGAGATTTTACAGGTGCCAAAGTGAGTATGCATCAGCACAGGCATTCCCGTGTGCAAAGGACAGCCGGGCTCTCTCAGCTCTGCTTGGTGCTTTTTTTTTTTTTTTTTTTTTTTGACAGGGTCTCACTGTGTTGCCCAGGCTGCAGCGCAGTGCCGTGATCTTGGCTCACTGCAGCCTCGATCTCCCAGGCTCAAATGGTCCTCCCATCTCAGCCTCCCAAGTAGCTGGGACTACAGGAGGGAGCCACTGTGCCCAGCTAATTTTTAGATATTTTGTAGAGACGAGGGTCTCATTATGTTGTCCAGGCTGGTCTCAAACTCTTGGGCAAGGAGATATATTCTCAAACGATCCTCCTGCCTGGGCCTCCCAAAGTGTTGGGATTACAGGCGTGAGCCCCGGGGCACCGCCAGGTGCTGTTTTTTTCACACCCACTCAGACTTCCTGGCTCTCAGGTGGGGAGCACCACTGGAGCTGGCAGGCGGGTCAGGGGGCTGCAGGCTGCTGCAGGAAGGGGGCGCGGCCAGGCGGCTGGGGGCTGCTGAGGGCTGCTCCTCGGATCCTGAGCCCCTGGGGTCCTGGGCGGCCTCTCGGTGGGGCCTGCCCCGGGGCTGTCTGCCCAGCTTTTCGCTGGCGGAGGATGTCACCTCACTCTCATCCTCATCCGGAATCTTCGTGTGCCCTGACACCCTGGATGTACGCCTGGGGCTGCCAGCCCCCTCCCCTCCGGCGCGTGCACCCGGGGGCGCCGGTGCCCCCTCTTCCTCCCGCCCACCCTCCTCGTCAGTCCGGCGTCCCTCCGCGTGGCCTGAGGCTCCGCTCTGCTTCCGGATGGAGGGGCTTGTGGGGGGTCCCGGCCTCCTGCGCATCCGCCGCCGCAGGCTGCAGACCAGGTCGGCGAGGCCCAGCAGAAAAGACAGCGCGCTGACCGCCCAGAGGAACAGCATCAGCAGGGACTTCTCTGTGGGCCGCGACACGTAGCAGTCCACCACGCCCGTGCACGGAGGGCGCGTGCAAGGGAACTTCTTCGGGGCCAGGAATCCAAAGAGAAAGTAGTGCAAGGCCCCGAAGGCTGCCTCCAGCAGGGTCCGGAGGAGGAGGTGGATGATGTAGCCGGCCGAAAAGTCGGGCACCTGGAGGCCGCCGCGCTCCCCGAATGGCCGCGGGCAGCGTCTCTGCCCGGAGGCCGGCTCCCGGGGGTCGGGGCAGCGGCGGGGGCCCAGCGCGGCGAGCGTGGCTCCTCGGTGCAGGACATAGACGCTGAAGACGGCGGAGGGGAGGAGGACGCACACGCCCTGGATCAGCCAGAACCGCAGGTGAGACACGGGGGAGAAGACGTCGTAGCAAACATTGGCGCATCCCGGCTGCAGCGTGTTGCAGACAAACCTCTCCTGCTCGTCCTGGTAGACGGGTCGCCCCGCCAAGACAATCACCAGCATCCGCAGCAGCATCGTGAGGACGAACCAGAGCTTTCCTGGAAGAGAGGAAGCGGGCATGGCCTCATCACCCCGAATACACTGCCCTGAGTAACAGCTTTAAAGTGTCTATTGGGGCTGAGATTGGGAAATTGAAACGTCAATAAGCATGTCTTTAGTTTTCTGTTTGTTTGTGTTGTCGTTGTTGTTGTTGTTGGACACAGGGTCGTGCTATATTGCCCAGGCTGGTCTTGAACTCCTGGCCTCAAGTGCTCCTGCCGCCTTGGCCTCTTGAGTAGCTGGGATTACAGGCATGAGCCACCACACCTGTCAGCTTGTCTTTACTCACAGCATCAGGTAGTTCATTTGACAAATATTTACTGAGCACTGAACATCCTTGTTTGTAAGATGCTTCAAGATGAGTAGATTTTTAAAAAGCATTATATTAAAAGTGTTTTAATCTGTCTGCTAATTCAGACTTTTGGTAATGTCTCCTGGACTGATAGGTCCAGAAAGAAAGTTTGGCTGAGCAAATTAATGATTTAAATAAGATTTAAATTTTCTTCTTAGGAGAATAAGCCTTTTAAAAGAGGTTGGTGTATTTCTGTAACTGCCAATTCGAGCTGCTGATTTCAGTAAATCTTACTTATGACAACAGTCCAGGGATCTCTATTTAATCACAGGGCTTGTATTTAATGTTAGTCTACGGCCCTTGAAATTGAATTTCTTTATGAACATTCCATTTTTCAGATTTTTTAATCATTCAGAATTCCTCTTCCCCTTTTCCAGTTATTAGGAATGAATGGGGCTTGTCTTTCTTCAATGTATCGTGAAGGAATGACACCAAGCTAGAAAACCAAAATAACTGTCAAGCCCTATTTTCATGGCACCGGCCAACTGTTTCGAAACATGTTTAAAACTCAGCCAAAATAACTTGTGAATATTGTGTTTTGTGATGAGAGAAACATCGCCTGACATCATAAAAACAAAACAAAAATAAATATGTAAAGACAGTCAAACAAAGAATAATATCATTATGTGATGAGTCATTGAGTTGAACTTTTAACATCAAGTTGGTTTTGTCTAAATCTACAAAATAATGAGCCAGAAAAGTATCAACTGCATCTCCGGCATATATTCATCCTTTTCTGACCCCCATACCTCTCTGAAAATGTGAGTCGTCTGCATTAAACAAAAATCTATTATTTTCTTTGTTAAAAAAAATAACTAAACTTGGGATTTGGTTTAAAGTGCACAAGAGAAATGGCTACTCCTTAAAAATTAAGCTTCCAGGCCAGGCGTGGTAACTCACGCCTGTAATCCCAGCACTTTGGGAAGCCAAGGCGGGTGGCTCACGAGGTCAGGAGATCGAGACCATCCTGGCTAACACGGTGAAACCCCGTCTCTACTAAAAACACAGAAAATTAGCTGGGCGTGGTGGCAGGCGCCTGTAGTCCCAGCTACTCGGGAGGCTGAGGCAGGAGAATCACTTGAACCCGGGAGGCAGAGGTTGCAGTGAGCTGAGATTGCATCACTGCACTCCAGCCTGGGCAACAGAGTGAGACTCTGTCTCCAAAAACAAAAAAAAAAAACCAAGCTTCCAGAATAAAACCTAAAGGTATCACCTTCTGATTAACATTTGTTGTTCTGTTCCTTTTCCTGGTAACGTAGCCACACCAGGGTTGCACACAAACACCCCTCCACCTGCTTTGGTCTTTGGAGTCAGCACCCCAGTGTCAGCACAGGATGATCTGTGAGAGAACAATGTCAAACGCAAGACTCCCTTACATGACGGAGGAACCGCGGAACCATTCAAAGAAACTAGAAGCCTCAGCTCTCTTCCCTCCAGAAAGGCACAGCCCTTTCTTTTGGGAGTGGGTGGACTTTCAGCTTGGTGCTTGCACACTGAAAATGAGTAAATACCTGGACCCTTTAAGGACTCAATTCCACCATGGCAGTGGAAATAAAAACAGCGCAGGAGTTTGGAGATGGTCCCAATACTCACCCACCATGGTCACGTTGCAGTTTAATGTGATGATGAGAAACCCTAGCAAGTCCACGCCTTCCATGCTTCCAGAATGTCCCAGGCTCCAGGCTGCAGGAGACACTGGAGGGCTGTGTTCTCCAAGGAGGCGGATAAATGTCCTTTAACTACATAAGACTTAAAGGTGTGAGCTGGAGATAAGAAAGCAAAGGTCTGAGCCAGGAGTAGGAGGTGGGTTTTTCTGTCTCCAAGTTGAGACGGCCCTAAGCCGTTTGCCTCTGAGGCGAAACATTCCTGACAACTGCAGTGACCAGCAGAGCAAGCAGCAGTCATCTCTTATTGTGGGCTATTCTTACTCGCCTGGGATATTCCCGGCCTGTGGCAGCGCTCATATGTCCCCACCAGGACAGCCAGATGCTTCAGGATATAATAGCAGCAACTACTTTTAACCCAAGAAAGAAAACTTCTGCTAACTAGCCAAGTAAATTTCTCTATTAAAAAGGCATTTCCTCCTTGAAAACATTTCCACAACCACTTCACTTGTGCAAGAAGCCCTTAAAGTGTTCACGTTTTGTCTTCTCAATCAAGCATGAATCGCCATGCCACCATCACACGAACCCACAAGGATCTCGCCCTTATTCTGAATTCCTGTGTCATTGGTGCAGGCAGAAATCTGAAACTCAGTTGGGTGTCCCAACTTTAGACCGTGACTTGGTTATTCTCCTGCTGCTTCCTGTGCAGTGAGTGACAACTCTTCGCTTGGAGACAAAAGCCTGGGTGCAAAGCCCGGGGCAGCCCCCTACTCACTGGGGAAGTCATTGGATCCTTCCAGATAGCCTCATCTTGCAATAAGGAGAATCATGCCATTCCACTTGCCATTTGTGGGAGGCTTATGTGAAATGATGGTGTAGAATAAGAGCAACTGGTGTGAAGTGGGTGTACGACAACCCATATCCGTGGGATTTCAATCCCTAATTGGCCTCTACGACCTTCACAGATTACATCTTCCCTTTGTATCTCCCAGCCCCATCTAGCCTGGAGCTGTTCCCATTGAATCTACTTAATAAATGTCTGTTAAATCTGTCATGAAATATCACGGTCTGGACCTGCTGACATCAATCACAGTTGCGTCAAAATCCTATCGCTGCAGCCACCTTCATATCTGGGAAGAACCCATCCTGCAGGGTTGGGGATCTATGATCAGGGTGGAAATTGTAAACTTTAAAAGGAATGATTTCAATTTTCCATGAAAGCTATTCTTTATATCCCCATCTTTTCTTCATTTCTGATCTATTCTTGACTTTAGTAATATCCCTAGAAAGATTCCCAGAAGAGTGCAACAAAGCTACTTTCATCTTTGCTCACATGACATGCTCCCATCCACGGAAAACGTTTTGACCCCCTTGAAAGGAACAGTGGTTTTGCTATATTTTAGTCAAATGCTTCGACATGAGCAAGGAAATTTGAGAAATTGTAGTTAAGTAAAAATATTGAAATAGTCACAGGGTGTAAGTATAAAATAAAGGAGAATTTGTCTCCTAATAGACTGCTCATGGTATTGGCTTTAAAAAAAAAATGAAATATCAGGAAAGCAATTACTGACTCTTGCTGTGTGATAGAAATAGCCCATCCCAAATGTGGAATAAATTAGCCCTGCGCGACCATGAGCAAATCACTGCAGCTTTTCATGCTTCGGTTTTCTCATCAGTGAAGCAGAAAAAAAGAATGTGTTCTTCACCCACTCACAGTGACTGTGATATGCAAATGTGACCAGAGATGTGAAAATGATTTTGAAATGTAAAGAATGACCCAGTGTCAGTGACAGGCGCTTCTCAGGGTTGGCTCCTCTGGTCCCACCCTTCAGGGCATCTTCTGAGCAGCCCATGCCCACCCATCTCCCTTCTCATCCTGGTCACCTTTGCTCTTCCTCCTTGAAGTCTACCCCATCCCCATTCCTTGTCTTTTTTCTCTTTCTCTTTTTTTCCTCTCTCCTGCTAGGTGACATTTTGCTTTACTTGGAAATCTAACTCTGGTCAGGCGCGGTGGCTCACGCCTGTAAATCCCAGCACTTTGGGAGGCTGAGGTGGGTGGATCACCTGAGGTCAGGAGTTCAAGACTAGCCTGGCCAACATGGCGAAACCCCATCTCTACTAAAAATACAATAATTAGCCGGGCATGGTGGTGGGCACCTGTAGTCCCAGCTACTTGGGAGGCTGAGTCAGGAGAATCACTTGAACTCAGGAGGCGGAGGTTGCAGTGAGCCCAGATCACACACCACTGTACTCTAGCCTGGGTGACAGAGCGAGACTACATCTCAAAAAAGAAAAGAAATCCTAACTCCAGTGGCTACCTGAAGCTAGCTGGAGGTAAGGGAAGCAGAGAAGGTGGAGGCATCTGGGCATCAACTCCCGACTCTCTGTAAGAGCATCCCAGCACCGATGGGAAGGTTTCTGTATGTGTCTGTGGATTAGAGAGAAGATGTGGGGAGTGCTGTGTTCAACCCATGGCCAAAGAAACCAGCTGGGAGTCGGGCTGAAGTGTACAAGATGCCAAACTGGGATAGTTCACTAAACGCAAGTGGTCAGCATGGGCCCTGTGGCTCACATCTGTAATCCCAGCACTTTGAGAGGCCGAGGATGGAGGATCACTTGAGGCCGGAAGTTCAAGTGATCACCCTGGGCAACATAGAGAGCCTCATCTCTACAAAAATGTTTTTAAATTAACCAAGTGTTGGCATGCTTGTGATCCCAGCTACTCAGGAGGCTGAGGTGGGAGGATCACTTGAGCCCAGGAGGTCAAGGCTGCAGTGAGCCATGATCATGCCACTGCACTCTACCTTGGGCCTCAAAGCAAGACCCTGTATCTAGAAAAAAGAAGAAAGTGTTAGCAAAAAGGAAAGAGAACAATAGCACTACATGGCACTCAGCCTTGGCCTCACCTCTCTCTAGTGTAGTGACTTTGGCAAATTATCTAGGCCTCAGTTTTACCATCTATAAACTGGGGTAATGATACTAAACGTACAGGGTTGAGAATTAGTGTTCATTTAAATAAGGTTCTAGCACATTATCTGCCCGGTAAGAAGCTCTCAAAATATGATGAGTTCAGTCAATTCTCATTATTCATAGTAGCTATGTTTTATAAAGTTACCACCAGCACTGCAATAGTGAATACTAGGGGCTCCTTGGGGAAATACACAGTTAGGTGACAACACTTTCACCAATCAATTAACACATTGCCTTATTTTATGTGTGTGTCTGTTCAAATAAATCTTATTTAATATATATTAAACATATATTAACCCATTCACATTAAATCATGGCCCACAGCACTATCACTCACATCTGAATGAAACCCATCTAACACATTCTGAATGTACTTTCTCTGCAAGCCCTGGCACAGCCCTCCTGCACTCAGAAGAACCAGCCAGCACTCGTGCAGCGCTGTGCTTGGGACCATTTTATTTTATTATTAAAAAAAATTTTTTTTTAGAGACAGGGGCTCGCTCTGTCACCCAAGCTGGAGTGCAGTGACATGATCATAGCTTAGCTCACTGCAGCCTGGAACTTCTGGGCTCAAGCCATCCTCCAGCCTCAGCCTCCTGAGTAGCTGGGACTGCAGGGTTGCATCACCAAGCCTGGCTAATTTTTTAGTTTTTTGTAAAGATGGGGGTGTTGCTACATTGCCCAGTCTGGTCTCGAACTCCTGGCCTCAGGCAATCCTCCTGCCTCAGCCTCCCAAAGTGCTGAGACCACAGGTGTTTGCCACTAAACCCATTGGGGGCCACTTTAAATGGCAAAATCACCAACCAAATGCACAAAAATGCAAAAGACATGGCACTAACCAGACCTTGGGAGAAAGTACCCATTGACATTGTGAGAGCAGAAACAAAAAGGCAGGGCAGCCCCTGCTTCCACCCCAGCTGAGAGCACATGTGTCAGGCGACGCACATTTCCCACCACTCTGCATGTGTCCATGAATGGCGGAGAAAGTCTTATGAGTATTGGTTTGGGGATTATGAATAAATTTTAGCAAGTAGATGAACTTGCAAATAAGAAATCTGTGAATATGAGGACCGACTGCACCTAATAGAAGGATCAACTAGCGAGAAGAGCAGCTGAGTCCCAGGAAGGGCCAATTCAGAAGAGAAACGGGTCCCTGGGAACCCCAGGGACTCAGAGTCACAAAAATTGGAGGAGGATCCAGGCTCCAGACCCCACCCTCTTACTCCTGCTTCACTTAGAACACCTCCACTACTGTCTGTGTTGTCTTTTATGCTTTGGCCAAGACTCCCCTTGGATAAAGCGTTCTGCATCTAAAAAGGAATGTTGAAAAAGAGATGGTCTCTGTGAGAATTATTATGAGAGGCAGCTTGATATCAAGGTTAAGGACAGAGGCTCTGCAGTGTGACCTCCTAGATTAAAACTCCAGCTTCTTGACTGTGTGATTGTGGGGGAGTCACTTAACTCAGTGTCTTCACTGTAGAACCACGGTTCCCTACCCCCTAGAATGATGGCAAGGAATACATGGGAAAATGCCTAAAGCCTAGAGAACGGTGCCCCACCAATAATGCATACCCAATCACTGGCTTTTCTTTTTTATTACCTGCCAAGAATGATGTACCAGCAAAGATGCAGGAGGCTTGGAGTGACTTTTTCTCGATGATGGGTGCTCCAGGGCTGGTGGGAAAAGGGCTCCCAGGGAAATAGAGTTCACTTTCTGGAGGGCTAGGAAATGATAGTAACTGTTTTGTTTTGGGGGGTGTGTGTGTGTGTGTGTGTGTGTGTGTGTGTGTGTTTAAGGAATCATGTATCTGATTTGAGAAATATATGTTTTCATTGTTATCAAGATGTAAATGACTTTTCCAGGACTGTAGACAGAAAGCAAATATTTAGCAGCTGCACCAACACAACAGTTTAATCATGCCTACAGTTGCATCTCATCTGCATATGCAAATCTACCCCCAAAATAGATTATACTACTTTCCTGTCAATCTAGTTTCCCACTGGCACAGGTACTGTAGGGTGAACCAGGTCAGTGCCATCCCACCCCAGCCACACTCACAGACTCCCCCTCACAAGACTTAGAGCTAAAAATTAACCACTGATACAAGGAAGAAATTTTCTGTTTTCTTCAGCTGAGCCTTTTCCTGCTCTTAAAGTCCCCAAACAGTCGTTCTTGGACTGCATTTTCAATTCCAGTTCAACTCAACTGCACAGCTCCCCAATGTCTTCTCTACCAAGACAGCATTCACAGTGCCCCCTGGAGTTTGTTTTTGAGGCAGTTGGGCTGGTTCTTCTATGCAGAGAGGCATAGCTTCTCTCCCAAGGGAGGAAAAGAACTTCCAAGCACTGTTCCCACCTCCGACAGTCCTAAGATCTTCCAAGATACACTGAATGGACACAGATTCATTCTCTCAATCATACCAAAATGATGCCTCCTCCCCAAGCCACAGGAGGGCATGCTGGCCAAAGAAGACCCCAGAGGAAAGTGCTGAACTAAACAGCTGCCTATTAGATGCAAGCAGGTCAGATGAGGCTGCAGGTTAATAGATATCTCACTTGTGAGATGTGCATCAATGCGCTTAAATCACATTCCCCAAGGCAGCAAAGACGGGCCCCAGTGTGGAATGCATAGACCCCCAAAATTCCACTTTCCACAGACTCGCGGACCCAGGCATCTTTGGAAATGGAAGTCACCTTAAAATATACTTAGTCACCTTCCCAACTTTCAGGTGAAATTAAGATGTGGCCAAGACCATCCAGCCTCAGTACAGAGCTTAAATGATATTTGCTATCCCTGACTTTTGATCTGTAACACATCAAAAACACACACAAAAAATTCAACTGTCCTGACTGTTAAGAAATACAATTATCTGGATAGCCCAATGTTAGCCCTTCAAGTGTTTGAAATTGTATTATTTTAACTTTTCTATGGAATTTTTTCTAAGGCACCCTTCAGAAACAGCAGAGGCCGGGTGCAGTGACTCACTCCTTCAATCCCAGCACTTTTGGAAGCCAAGGCAGGTGGATTTCTTGAGCCCAGGAGTTCTAGACCAGCCTGGCCAACATGGAGAAATTTCATCTCTACTAAAAATAGTAAAATTAGCCAGGCGTGGTGGTGTGTGCCTGTAGTCCCAGCTACTTGGGAGGCTGAGGTAGGAGGATCACTTGAGCCTGGGAGGCGGAGGTTGCAGTGAGCTGAGATCACACCAGGCCACTGCAGTCCAGCCTGGGCCACAGAGCAAGACCCCGTCTCAAAAAAAAAAAAAAGAAAAGAAAAGAAAAGGAAAAGAAATTGAGCAGAAAAATCAGGGGAATTGAGTTTTCTTTTGTGAAGAAAGCAAAGGACTCCACCATTGCTCACAGGTCCTGAGCAATATGTCAGGACACCCTTCATGTGATATCAGCTGCAATCAAATCCAACACATGTTCTCACCATCCAGGCAGGAAGGAATCATCCTCTTCTTTGTCATTGTTTCTAACAATGCCCTTTGACTTACTGATGCCTTTCAAAACATTACCAATAGTATCATGAACACAGTTAGTACCATAAATGTTCCCTGAGCACCTGCTGTGTCTTCAGCACTGTTCTTGGCACTAGGGAAATGGCAGAGAATGAAGTATAAAAATTCCTGCCCTCACTGAACTTACATCCTAGTGGGAAGAATTGACAAAGAACAAGATAAATGTCTTCAGCAAAATTGACTGTTAGTAATAAGTTCTAAGGAGGGTAGTGGATGCCAAGGTTTAATGGGGTAGCCAGTGTCCTAAGAAGAATACATTTGAGTAAAGACAGAAGCCGGTGAAGGGGCAGCCACGTGGACGTTATGACCACGAGCCCTCCCTGATGAATTCCTGCTCTCTTTTCTAATTCACTTGGACCAGTGGCTGCATGGCACATTTTGAAAATTACTAAAATGCCCTAAAATTCTGTATAGTGTATGCACATGGACCAAGTTACCTCCTGCAGCCTGTCTGTAACTCGTGTCACCTGTCCCTCGCAGGCTAAAGTGACACTACCCAGCAGGGACCTGGTGGAAGCATTCCCAGGCGTCGTTTTCTCTCCAACACACAGGTGTCCAGCAGGGGTCTCTGCACTGGCCACAAACACACTGTTCCTTTCACGGATGGGAATATTCATTTTTAGAGTCAAATCAATGAAAAAAGTACTCATCAAGCAGTCACTGGTAGTCAAAGAAGTAATTAGGAGAAAACAGCACAAAGTTCAAGGGTAGAGGACGTGGGTTCAGTTCTGGTTCCAATTGCTGACCAGTGTTTGACCTTCAGCAAATATTAGGTTGACACAGAAGTAATTATGGTTTTTGCCATTAATCATGACGTTGCCCAGGCTGGTCTTGAACTCGTGGCCTCAAATGATCCTCCTGCTTCAGTCTCCCAAAGCACTGAGATTCCAGGTGTGAGCCACCTCGCCCGGCCACAGGTTCTCTCTCTAGGTGAGTGGCACCAAGATCCATCTCACCCAAGCAGAAAACTAGTACTCAGTGTCCGTGAGGTATGTTTTAAAATTTCACTGCTTAAAGCTCTTCAGTGGCTCCTCACTGATGGTGCCAAACAGAGCTTGCCTGGCCCTGCGAGCCCTGGACTCCGCTTGCCTCTCGGGCCTCACCCTTTACTCCCCCCGACCCTGCAATGGCACTGACCTTGCACGGCCTCTGATCTCTGCTGCCTCTGAGACTTGCCACAGCCGTTTCCTCTCTGTGACTGGCTCCCAGGGATTTCTATCTCCTTTGCCCAAGACTGGGTTGGGTGTCCTCCTCTTGCGGTGCTCATTATGACAAGAAGCACATGCATTGTCAGAGCAATGCCTGCCCTGCCCAGCCTCTCTGCCCTGCCACCCCCAGCCCAAGACCATGTGAGGCTCTAGTCCTCCCTGGCCAAGATGTGCCTTTGCACTCACTGCCCCTCAGCTGGAAGTCAGCTCCACTTCATCAACAGTAGAGAGAATACGCTGGGAAGAGGTCCGGCCAGTCTCAGTCCCCCACGGATCCTGAATCTTTTTCACTCAGTTGTGAAACAGGGATAATCAAAGCTCCTACTTCTCAGGGTTGTAAGAGAATGAAACGAACTAACAAGTGTAAACTGCCCAGCACAGCAGAAACATCCGATAAATAGTAGGAAGAATTCGGTTTGCTTCGTATGTTTCTTTTTTTTTTTTTTTTTCTGAGACGGAGTCTCACTCTGTCACCAGGCTGGAGTGCAGTGGCATGATCTCGGCTCACTGCAACCTCCGCGTCCCAGGTTCAAGCAATTCTCCTGCCTCAGCCTCCCGAGTAGCTGGGACTACAGGCACACGCCACCACGCCCAGCTAATTTTTTTATTTTTAGTAGAGATGAGGTTTCACCATGTTGGCCAGGATGGTCTCAATCTCTTGACCTCATGATCTGCCCGCCTCGGCCTCCCAAAGTGCTGGGATTACAGGTGTGAGCCACCACGCCTGGCCTTCTTCTTGTCGTTCATACTTCTTTCACATGGTCCATTTTTTGTGTGTGTACAGGGCTGGCCTTTTTTGGCATGGCCAACCAACTGGAGTGGTTCTTTCTCTTTGCTCAGTGAATGAAGCAGTCACAACACACCAGAGGCTATTTCTCATGTCTCGAACCCTTCCTGATTCAACGTTCCCTGGCATGGGATGTTCACTGTCAACCATTCGGTCCTGACCTCTCTGTGTCCACAGCCCTTTCCAAAGCCTAGGGCTCCCGATGGCCAGACATTTGTCCAAATCTTAATTATCTGCAAAAGTGTGTTGCACTATTTCTCTGATGGAACAGATTCCATGACCCGCTGAGGCCTTCCAAGAGCACAGCTCCCCAGCAATCAGTGGCAGCACCCCTGAATGGAGGGTGCTTGTCCCACGAGCGCTAACACCCACAGGCAATGCACTGCCAGCCGGAGTTCTTCTGTGCTTTGCAACCAGCATTTCACAAATGGCAGCACTGTATGTTTGCAGGGAGGTCCTCTCTGCTTGGAAGCAGTGCAGGCTTTGCTTTTTCAAAATTTTAAGTTATCGTGTTTTATTCTCTTTGTTGTATATACCATTGAAGAAGTTAGTCTTTTTAAATTGACACATGATAATTGTACATAGTTATGAGTACAGTGTGATGTTCCAATACACGTATAGACTGTGTAATGATCAAATTGGGATAATTAGCATATCCAGCATCTCAAATACTTACCATTTCTTTGTGATGGGAACATTCAAAATCCTCTCCTCTAGCTATTTTGAAATATAGAACACATTATTGTTAACTATGTCACCCCACTATGTGACAGCACATGAGGACTTATTAAGAAAGCTTTCTTCTTACATTCTTTTTTTCTAAGTAGTAAAAGTAGATGGAGGAGGCCAGGCCCGATGGCTCACACCTGTAATCCCAGCACTTTGGGAGGCCGAGGCAGGCAGATCACCTGAGGTCAGGAGTTCGAGACCAGCCTGGCCAACATGGTGAAACCCCATCTCTATGAAAAATATGAAAATTAGCTGGGCACGGTGGTGCCCACCTGTAATCCCAGCTACTTGGGAGGCTGAGGCAGGAAAATCGTCTGAACCTGGGAGGCGGAGGTTGCAGTGAGCCAAGATCATGCCACTGCGCTCCAGCCTGGGTGACAGAGTGAGACTCTTTCTCAAAAAAAAAAAAAAAAAGTAAATGATTGTTTTCCTTCCCTTCTGGATAACAGGCAGGCAGCTTACGGACCCTGGGTAGGGCCTCCTGCCTCAACACACCTATGCCTCTTGTCTAACATCAAATATTAAATACTTGAGGTCTTCTGGCTTTTAAGGGTGATAAAAATTAAAATCTCTGGGAGAGGCAACTCACTACGTCTTATCAGTCATCTTTACTATGGTGTGAGTTAGAAACACTGCTCCTGGAAGCAGGCCTTTCTGTGAAGGTAAGGGCCTGGGGTGGAGAAGGGGGCCAATGGGATGTCACGGATATTTTCCCATGCTGCAGAGCTCCAGCATCACACAGAGCAAGGCCAAATTCAGGATTAGTGAGTCCTCATATCGACCTCCTGTTCATTTTTACGTTTTAGACAATAACTGAAAGAAGGAAGGAAAGGGAAAGAAAGAGAGAGAGAGGAAGGAAGGGAGGGAGGGAGGAAGGAAGGAAGGAGGGAAGGAAGGAAGGAAGGAAGGAAGGAAGGAAGGAAGGAAGGGAAGGAAGGAAGGAAGGGAAGGAAGGAAGGGCGGGAGGGAGGGAAGGAAGGAAGGGTTGGGGGAAGGGAGGGAGGGAAGGAAGGAAGGAAAGAAGGAAGGAAGCAGGGAGGGAGGGAGAAAAGAGGAGAGGAAGGAAGAGAAGAGAGGAAGGGAGGGGAGGGAACAGAGATACAGGCAGCTGTGATCATGGTGACTTCAGCATCAGATGATTAGTCTTGTTAAGAGAGAGGAACTAGTCCACGTTTTCCCTCTGTGTGTTCTCTTTGTTCTCTGCCGTGAAATATTAGAAGAGGGAATGAAGGAATTCAATCCATTTTAAAACTCACAACTGTTAGATGCCAACCCTCCAAACATTCACAGCCACTTTGATTCAGGACGAGGTTTGTTCCAAATGCGGATATATTCAGAAGGGCCAGACAGTAGTGTCTTGAAGCACAGGCGACAGCTAATTTATCTCTGAGCTAATGTCCCACCCTGTGGGACAATTTGTTTTGTTTGGTTTGGTTTGGTTTTTTAGAGACAGGGTCTTCCTCTGCCGCCTATCATCACTCAGGCTGGAGTGCAGTAGCCCAATCACAGCTCACTGCAGCCTCAAGCTCCTGAGCTGAAGCAATCTGCCTGCCTTAGCCTGAGTAGCTGGGACCACAGGCACACACATCACCATGCCTTGCTAATTTACTTATTTATTTTTGTAGAATAGGGGTCTCACTATGTTACCCAGGCTGGTCATGAACTCCTGGCCTCAAGCAATCCTCGTTTGGCCTCCCAGAGTGCTGGGATTACAGGTGTGAGCCACTGCGCCCAGCTGCACCAGCAATTTGAAAGACAGGTGATCTCGGGAGGTCTTTTTAATTCAAATTTTCTCTTAAGGAACACAAATGAAAGGAAGGTAGGGTACATTCCATTTTGTTTGCTGCAATGCAGTGGCTATGGCCTGGATCTCCACGGAAACCAGCAATGCAATTACCAAGCTCTATTTCCAGATGAAAGCAAAGACAAACAACAAAGTAGGAAAATTAAGTATGAGAAAAACGGACAACAGCTTCAAATCGACTGGGTGAAGGGACAGAGTTGGATCTGGTGGCACCACTGTCGTAAGGATCACTTTTATACCCATGAGTGTGATCTGGGTCCCCCGTGAGCCACCAACCCTGGTGGGTGCACATGCACTTCACTTCTGTGTTCGATGGTCAAGGCCACCCAGCCGGTGAGGGGAAAAACTGGGCCTGACATGGACGCTCCCCACCCCATATGCCACAGAAGTGTGACGGCCTCAGCCTAAAGAGGACCCATTCTGTGAGGCAGCTACAGGAGAAAATGGAAGGAGCCTTTTGCTTTTGCTTTTCTGTTGTTCTGTTTTTCACTTCCCTAAAGGAAGGAATGAGAGTTTATTATTGAGTGTTTCTGAAAAGGAATGAGAGTGGCCTTCAACAATAACACACTGAGCATCTGCAGTGTGCCGGACAATGTGTCGGGACTGCGAACAGGTAAGACGCAGGCTTTCCCCTGTAGGAGAGGGAGGCAGTTGAGTGTACTTCCAACAGCAAGAACAGTGACCAGCTTCCCATGTCCCCAGAGGCAGAAGACATGGCCGCATAACAATAGTGAATAGTAAGGTCTATAATAGAGTATGAAGAGAGCAAGAAGGAGACAACTAGGGCTGTTTTCCTTCTTGAAGTATTAGCGCTTAGCCTTACAAAGGTTGAGGGAGCTGCATAGTCATCCCTGCTAGTCCAAGTGTCTACATGCCCCCCACGCTAGGGTCTGCCGGAACCCACGGAATTGGAAATCTAGTGGAAACTCATGTTAACGTTACAGAAGACCTCCTTTGGGGTTCCAGTTAGGCTTGTCCCACAGTGGCCACCCCGTTTTTCTACCCATTCTCCAAGCAAGTGGTGAGCTATGAGTGCACTCACACGATGAAGAATGGTATTTGCATTACACACACACGCCTGTGGGTGAGGTAAGTTAGAGAGAAGAAAATAAGTCTCTGTGAGATTTCACAACTGCCTAACACCACGCAGGCTGTAGATGACAAGGCTGGGATTCTATCCCAATTGATTTGACTCCGAAGTCCATATTCTTCCCACTTGACACAAAGAAGCCACTGGGAGACCCAGGGAGAGCGTCATGGAGAAGCTCTCATTGTCAGGCAAGACTATAAGAGACAATCTTTGAGAAGTTGCTTCTCCTTTCTGGAACAAGCTAAGATCTACAGCAGGCATGCTGGCAAGCAACTTCAATCTTTCTTGGAAAGAGCTGGCATAAGAAAACTCAACGGATGATTAAAAGGCAACACAGAGCCCTTCTTGTTAGCTCAGTTTGGGTTTATGAAAAGACTCTGTTAGGGTAATCCATTCTAATCCCAACACTACCTCCAGGCAATTTCCTTGGGAAATGGGACTGAATTTTAAAAGATTAAATGTGTGTATATAAAGCATATATATAAATGATTTTCCCAAGGGGTGGCTCCTCTCTCATCCTAAGTGAGGCCTTGCTGGCTTAACTATAACGAGTGCGAATCACCCTGAACACTAATCCTTTTCCTTTTTCAAGACGTATTCTTCATAATGTGAGCGCACTCATAGCTCACTACTTGCCTGAAGAATGGTAGAAAGTGGGGTGGCAGCTGCAGTATAAGCCTAACTGGAACCCCAAAGGAGATCGCTAGTCCCATGTCTTCTGTAATGTTAACAATGAATCTCCACTAGATTTCCAATTCTGTGGGTTCCGGTGGACCCTAGGAGGGGCTTATGTAGACACTTGAACATAGCAGGGATGACTAAGCAGCTACCTCAAACTTTGTAAGGCTAAGCACTAATACTTCAAGATGGAAAACAGCCAACAAGAGCTTAATGATTTATTGGATTCAAAAATGGAGAGGCAAACATTTAAGGAAAATACAACATGACACATGTCTTTTAATCTTTTAATCTCTGTGCGTGTGTTCTGTATTTCAACCCTATTTGAGCTTCTTAAGACCAATGTCGAATCTGTTAAAGTGTTTTCCTGTCACCTAGGTTAATGCCCAAGGATAGTGTACTTAATAAATTTATGTTGATAAAAATCACCTTGCAAATATCTGTGTGGAATTTTTCTTTTTAATTTAAAACAGTAGATATAGATGTTATTTCCTGATTGGCCGGTTTTATGTATTTTGAAGTTTTGTTATCAGGTGCGTACGTATTAAGATTTGCATGGCTTCTTGATGAATTGACCTTTTTATCATTATGAAATGTCCCTCTTCATCTCTAGTAATATTTCTTATCCTGAAGTATATTTTTCTGAATCAATGTAATGATTCCACTCATTATATTTGTTTTCTTTTAAATCCTTTACCATATTTAGAATAACTGGTCTAAAGTTCCTCATCTGTAAATTCCATCATCTAGATCTATTATTTCTGAATCTATTTATACTGACTGATTTCTTTCCTTATTATGGGTCACATTTTCTTGTTTCTTAATCTGTCTAGTTGTTTTTATTGCATGCTGAACATTATATGTGTTATGTTGTTGAATGTCTTGATTTTATCTTCCTTTAAACAGTGTTAAATTTTGGTTTGGCAGGCAGTTAAGTTGTTTGTGTATTACTTTGGTCTTTCCCAGGCTAATTTTAAGCTTTGTTAAAACGGGTCTAATTTAGCCCTACTATCAGGGTTTTATATTTCCTGAGTCTTGACTGAATTTCTCAGGTGTTTAAGAAGATCTCCCAACTGTAGCTAGTCAGAACTTAAATATCTCCTTGCCCTGTGTGAGACTTAGAATTGTTCAGCTTAAAGCTTCCACTCAAAGCTGTTCATTTCCTGACTTAGAAAGTTCCATGCTTTGCATGCACAGTTTAATATTCAGCCCAAGACTCAAGAGGACTTCGACGTAGATTTCTGGAGTTCTGCATAGCTTCCTCCTCTCTGTGTCTCGCCCTACACACCTCAGCTGTGCCAACCTCCCTAATCTCTGATCTGTGGCTTCTCAACTCAGTGAGACCCCTCTGCCCTACCTGGATACTTCCTGGATGCCATTCAAAAAGTGCCTCCAGGTAAAAGCTCAAACTATCATAGGACTTACTTCATTTCTTTCCATTGTGTCAGAGAGCATGATCCTTTGCTGCCTGTTTTCAATAGCCGAACATTATTGCTTCCCATATTTTGTCTAGTTTTTTAAGTTATTTGCAGTGGGACGTCTAGTCCAGTACTATTTATTCTATCTTGGCCATGAGCAGAAACCTCTGCCTGATCATCTGCATCAACCTCGATCCCAGTTTACCTTTACCCTGGGGATGCAGAGATATAGTAAGATACTTCCTCCCATGAATCTGTAATCTGTCTTTGCTATATGAAGATGTGTGCTTGCCTCTCTGCAAGCAACCTGAAATAAAATATTCTAACCAGGCCATGAAAATGATAAAGTCAACCTGGACATGATCATGTATGGGGCAGATTGTGTACACTTAGGAAAGAAACAAAAATGAAAAGTAAGAGAAAGGAAGAGCTGGAAAACCAAGGAGAAGAGAAGGAAGAAGAAAAAAAAATCACAAAAACAATAATGCCATGATCTGAATGTTTATGTGCTCCCCAAATCCATATGTTGAAATCCTAACCCCCAAGGTGATGTGATATGAGGAGGTGGGGCCTTTGGGAGGTGATCAGGTCATGAGGGTGGGGCACTTATGAATGGGATTGGTGCCCTTATCAAAGAAGCTCTGGAGAGCTGCCCTGCCTCTTCTGCCATGTGAGGACACAGCAAGAAGTTGCTGGGTCTAGGAACCACGAAACACCCTCACCAGACACTGAATCTGCTGATGCTTTGACTTTGGACTTCCCAGCCCCCAGAACTGTGAGAAGTAAATTTCTGTTGCTTATAAGTCACCCAGTTCATGGTATTTATTAAATAGCAGCCTGAATGAACTAGGACAAAGAACAGACATGGAAAATGAACTAGAATTTTAACTCTCCATGACTTAAGTTTTACAAAAGAATAAGACTCTGCTTCCAGCCCTGTGGCTCTCCAGAAATGCTGTGGGCATTGAGACATGGATTAGAAATAGAAACCAAAATATTTCTGTTTTCATTCATTGAGTTTTCTCCCATTTGCAAGGAAAAGCATGCTTATGATAAGAAATCCTTATACTAGCAAGAGTAAACTATTGCTTTTCTCAGTGACAAAGGTTGTTTTGTTCTATTTTTTTTTAATCTTGCATGCCATACTGTTTATTACCTCCCATTTTCAATTATTATTATTATTATTATTATTATTATTATTATTTTGACAGGATCTTGCTCTGTCACCCAGGCTGGAGTGCCATGGTGCAATCATGGCTCACCGCAGACCCAATCTCTTGGGCTCAAGCAATCCACTTGCCTCAGCCTCCTGAGTAGCTGGGACCATAGGCACGTGCCACCATGCCTGGCTAATTTTTAAAATTTGTGTCGAAATGGGGTCTTGCTATGTTGCCCAGGCTGGTCTCAAACTCCTGGGCTCAAGAAATCCTCCTGCCTCAGCCTCCCAAAGTGCTGGGATTACAGGCGTGAGCCATCACAGCCAGCCTGCCTTCTATTTTTCAATAAATAAACTATAAACTTGGGGCTCTCAGCCTTTACAGGTGAGGAAACATCTTGGTAATTCAACACCTAATTCTCCCCCATGCCTGAAATTCCTCTCACAATGCAGGCATTACACCCCTGTCTCTGTGAGAGACGTCATGAGGCACAGAGAATAAAACCCCTCACCATGTCTTCTGTAATGAGGGTAACATACTGTCCATTTCTTTATGAAGAATCCCCTCTCTTCCCTTCAGATTGCAAATCAAAACTTGATGGCCTCCTATGATTGTGAAAATATTTTAACTTAACAACTGAAACAAATATAAAGTTCTCAAAGGAAGCAGTGAATTTTGGCACTGGAATGAAAGTAGGTATAGAGTGCTGGAGAGTCCAAAGAGTTGAGCCTGTTTCTAAAGCTGGGCCGGGTGCAGTGGCTCACACCTGCAATCCCAACACTTAGGGAGGCTGAGACTGGAGGATCACTTGAGCCCAGGAGTTTGACAGCAGCCTGTGCAACATGGCAAAGCTCCACCTCTACAAAAAATACAAATAAAAAGAAATTAGCCAGTGTGGTGGTGCATGCTTGTCATCTCAGCTACTCAGGAGGCTGAGGTGGGAGGATCACTTGAGCCCAGGAGGTCGAGGCTACAGTGAGCCATGATCATGCCATTGCATTCCAGCCTGGGTGACAGAGCAAGACTCTGTCTTAAACAACAAACAAACAAAAACAAAAACAAAAAACAGCAACAACAACAAAAATAAAATACTTGAGCTGAGCTGATTGATACAGCTACTGCACTGTAGCTCCATTAGCTTCTGCAGCAAAATGCCTTCCTCTGTGCAGTTTATGACATCAATAAATAATTGACCCTAAAAGCAACAGGTGTGGAGTTCTTCCTTCTATTTCTAACTTCTTACTTAGCTGTTAAAAAACAAAACCCATGCTGTTGCCAGAGTGATCAAAAACAGAAGGTCTTTTTCTGACAAAAGACAGATGGGTTGAAATTAACTGTGCCTTTGTTTATGTCATTTTGGTTTTGGCTCAGTTTGTTGTTGTTGTTTTTTAAGCTCTTATTCAATGAAAGCCTTAGCAATGAACTGAAACAGGATGGAAATTGCAGGGCATTTCTACCATTTCTCAGGAACAACCAAACTCTAAAAGCAGTTGCTTTCTGTTTCTCTCTCTTTTCTGTTAAATTGGATACTGAGGCAAACCAGGAGCTGAAGATATCCAAAGTTCTCTCAGAGTACAGCACTTTCAATATGGCCATTGGGAGCCATTATTTAAGGGAGCAAGGACAGGATATGCATGAGCTTCTGACAGTAACTACACAGATATGCTTCTTCTCTTTGGAGCTGAGAGGAGAAAAGGATGGTTTCGGGCAAGAATTCCTTTCAGCCCCCACAGGAGGTCATTTTCTGTTCCTGCACTTACAGCTCCATCCACCATTTTCCTTAGTGTAAGGGGGGGCAGCTCAGAAGGAGTTAACAGCAACTTGGGAGGCTGAAGCAGGAGGATTGCTTGAGCCCAGAGTTCAAGACCAGCCTGGGCAACATAGCAAGACCTCCATCTCTACAAAAAATAGAAAAACAAGTTAGCCAGGCGTGGTAGTACATGCCTGTAGTCCCAGCTACTCAGGAGGCTGAGGCAGGAGGATTGCTTGAGCTCAGGGGTTCAAGGCTGCAGTGAGCTATGACCATGCCACTGTACTCCAATCTGGGCAACAGAGGGAGAACTTGTCTCTTAGGAAAAAAAAATGTGGTAACACTCGCTGATTCTGGGGCTGGTAGCAGATACAGGAGCCAGTCGAGACCTGAGGGGTGGGGTGTGTGTCCTGATCCACACACTCACAATGAGGATGTGCCCAGAGCCAGGGTGGGCCTGGGCCTGCTGTTGGGTGGAGCCCTAACTAGGAATGGTCCTGGGACCTCAAGGAGCCCTGCACGCCGGGCCACATTGTACTGGGCCCCATCTTCCTTCATGTGAGCCTTGCCTTCTTTCTGTTCCCTGACTGCCACTCTAAAGTGCAACCTAGAGAGGGAGACAGCTCAGATGACCTTAGCTATGACAACACCAGCAACTGACAGAGATGGAGAGGGAGGGGTGTTCTCTTCAGATGGAGAGGTACATGCAGAAAGAAAACCACATGGCTGGCTGGGTGCAGTGGCTCAAGCCTATAATCCCAGCCCTTTGGGAGGCCAAGGCAGGTGGATCACCTGAGGTCAGGAGTTCAAGACCAGCCTTGGCCAACATGGTGAAACCCCATCTCTACTAAAAATACAAAAAATTAGCTGGGTGTGGTGGTGGGCACCTGTAATCGCAGCTACTCGGGAGGCTAAGGCAGGAGAATTGCTTGAACCTGGGAGGTAGAGGTTGCAGTGAGCCTACATCGTGCCACTGCACTCCAGCCTGGGCAACAGAGTGAGACTCCATCTCAAAAAAAAAAAAAAGAAAAGAAAAGAAAAAGAAAACCACATGGCCACGGCCACCTAAGTATTTGTAGTCTCAGGAGAGAGGACAGAGAGAGAGAGAGAGAGAGAGAGAGAGAGAGAGAGAGAGAGAGAGAGAGAGAGAGAGACAGACAGAACTCCCAGACAGAACTGGTTGATTCAGAGAGGACTTCGGAAATCACTGGCTTGACTCCTTCAGACATCAAGAGCAAAAATGAAGCTGAGAAAAGTGCTGTAGGCTGAACAAGTCCCCCCAACATTCATCTGCTAACGTCCTAACCCACAGAACCTCAGAACGTGCCTATATTTGGAGACAGGGTCTTTTAAGAGGTAATGAAGCTAAAATGAGCCCATTAGGGTGAGCCCTAATACAATCTGACTGGTGTCCTAAGAAGAAGAGATTACGACCAGAGAGAGACACCAGGGAGGTGCGTGCACAGGGAAGATGCTACAGGCACCGGGGGAAGCCGCCATCTGCGAACCAAGGAGAGAGTCCTCGGGAGAGACCAACGGTGCCCACACCTTTGTCTCGGCTTTCTGGCCTCCAGGACAGTGAGAGGGTGTTTCTGCTGCAGAAGACGCCCAGTCTCTGAGGTATTCTGTTCTTGTAGCCCTAGCAGAAAGTGAGGGAATTTGCCCAAGATCACAGAAGAATCTGGACTCAGAGCTGCCTCTTCCAGGACCGTGGTCTTTCCATTTAACCCAGAGCTGACCACACACACACACACACACACACACACACACACACACGTAGGTACATGCAGGAGCCTCACACTTCCAGAGGGTGTTTTTTGTATAGTCCTCTGAAGGCACAGGGACCTCTGAGGGAGGAAATTGTGTGAAATTCAAGCAATACTTATTGTGGTCACAAGAAACCTGACCCTGGACACTCAGATCAGAAGCAGAACTGGTGGTGCAGCGAACACCCTACCCTAATTCTGATCTCTTGGGGTACAGGCATTTTACATAGGGGTGTATGGGGGCGTGTGTGACAGAGAGAGAGAAAGAGGGAGGGAAGGAGGGAGAGTGAGCACACACCACCGGGGAGCCTGAACACACGGAGGCTGGGGTAAGCTGCAGGCTGTCTCTTCTCTGCCAGCTGTTTCCAGGCTGTTCTAGAGGGCAGGTGCCTTTGCTGTCACCACCGAACACGCCCAGGCTGAGAACAAATGCTTGTGTGTTCCTGTGGTGCCTGAGAGCTTAGATCAAAGATATTTTTGAAGGACTTTGCACAAAGGAAGAAGAAATAACTTCAGCTTACCTCCAAGCTACTTGGATGCCAACTCCCTAAGTCTTTGGGTGTTCCTCCAATGCAGAACTTCTATGGGGTGCTCACACCCTTCACATTCGGTCTGAGTTCTCCACACCTCACCCTTCCCTCTGGGCTCTTTACGCAGCATCAGGTCCCAGCTCAGCCTACCTTGGAGCATTTCCAGCCCAGTTTCATGGGACAGTCATTTCCCTTGAAGTCGGGTTGGCTAATGTATTTCCACTTCTGTAGCTTTTCTCCATACAGTGTCTCCCCTGACTTCATAATAGCACTCACTTGGCTATTTACAGAGTATGTTTTCCACCACCAAAGACCCACCTGTGTTCCCATGGGGCAGGGGTGGGCGCTGGGAAGTTCCTGCAGACCACCTTCTGCTCAGCCACTTCCAATCTCTTGCAGCCATTTACTCTTGGTGGAAGAGTCAAAATGCAACCTTTCTGAGGTGACATGCCTTCACAGCATGTCTGCGACCAGTGTGTGTGATATGTTTGAGTGTTCAAACTTTATTAAGTTGCTAGTTTTAATTCAGTGAGTGGCACATGTGGGCATGGTGCTTGGCACTAGGGATACTACGGGGCCAAGCCTCTGCCCAGGGGGTCTCCATGTGGAATGGGATGCAGGAAGGTACCTGCAGGTCAGCAGCGCAGCAGGGTGCAGTATCCGGGTTAGGGCTGTTTCTGAAGGAGAGGCGTGGCAGGCTCCGAAGGGATGCGAGGGTCGCCAGGCTGTGATGGGCAGGAAGCAGCACATGCAATGCCCTAAAGCTGGGAGTGAACCTGCGGGGTACCGGGCACTGTGTGCAATGCAGGACAAACAAAGCCTGGGCGGGAACAAGGTGAGGGTGGAAGCAGGGCCCTGTTTGGTCCTGGGACAGTGTGGGTTCTACCCGATCGACAATGGAAAGTCACTGAAGGTCTCCATTGGAGGTGACACAGTCGGATCTGCATTTGAGGAAGATGGCATCACCTGTTGTGAAGAGAAGGACCCAGAAGGCGGCAGCGGTGGAGGTGAGTGCCCCTCAGGCTGCCAGGGATGGAACCCGGGGGTTCTGAGGAGGCCAAGTCCAGAGCGATGGGCATGAGTGAGGGTGGAGACAACCCAAGGGGAGGGAGCCTCCTGGCCCAGGCACCCAGGCAGATGGGGTCCCTCATTAAGAAGGGACAGGTGTGGGACACAGGGCCAGGGAGTGGGAGGAAGGGTGGCCTCCGTCAAGTAGAGGTGTCTGACAGACGGATGTGAGGACAGCCTGAGCTAGAGACAAAGCCCTGGAAATACTCGAGTAGATGAACTGCTGTTTAATGACCTGTCCATTGGAGGCATTTCGTGGTTCTTCAAAGGTAAGCTTCCATCTTTATCACTTGTATCACAGGCTCTCACCAAACGCAACTTCCCTTCTTGCAGATGCAGTGGGACCTTGATTTCTCACGAGGTGTCAGCTTTTTTGTGGAAGGTCTTGTTGAAGTGGAGATGTCCATTAACCTAACCCACCATAACACATCTTTTCCACACCTTTGATTTTCCGGTCCCACCGCCTCCCTTCATTCCTCTTTCATCCTCTTCTCTCCAAATGCAGCTGCCCTGTTTGCACCCTCAGCTACCTGTTCAAGTCTTTCCAAACAAGCATGAGGTTACGCACCTTGGGCAGCACGACAGGTTGCTACATCAACTATTTTTATCATCCTCTTTCTGCCATAGGAAGCTGGAGCAATCTAGTCTTCGGGCCTGGGCCCTCCTGGGTTTTGGTGAAGAGCCATCCTCCGTGGGTGGCAATTGGTTTGCCTGGGTTGGCTTCCTCCAAGAAAAGCCAGAGGGCTGGAATCATTCAGACCTCCTGAATCCACAGTGAGTTGACTCTCACAAATGAGTGAGCTCATGTAAAGCACCCTCATCTGTAACATTCTACCATCTCCCCCAATCGCCAAGGAATGCAGGTCCTGAGCATCCCGCCTGGGGCTCGGGCTCTAAAACAATAAACTGCAATGCTGGGAAGTTGTGCGCTGTGCCCAGTTGCTCCGGTTATTTCAGGACATTTTCCTGCTCACAGGCCTGATTGCCAGTACGTTTCCGTAGGGGCACCCGGTTGTCCGTCAACTCAACTTGTTTACTCTGACAAGTTTCATGTACAGGCAGAATGTGATTGGGAAAGACGTCTTCATGTCATTGAATACCGAGACTCTTCTAATTTTTATAACAGATTACACAGAGAACAAGATGCATAAGTATATGAAAATATTATTCACAAAATCAAAGATATTTCAACAGCTAGAGACGTTCAAATTTCCCCAGGATTTGGTTCAAAGAGATTGATCATTGACATTCAGGGGAAGCTGCATAAAGGCCATCCCTGATCAGGGAAAGTAGCAGAATGAGGTTGGTGTTGCACTGAATTAGGCTGATTGGGTCCCATGGATGTATTTTTCCTGTGGGCCAAATTTGTATTCTCTGTGAAGTAAAAAAAACAGGCCCGGGGAAATGAAAATGGCATGGGGAAGATTTAGAGCCTGTCTTACCTTGTTCACATTAAATGTTTTTATTGTAGCAGAGTCCTTGGAGCTTATATTTGTGACACAATTATAGCGTTACAAAAGTTTCAGGGAGGAATACGTCAAGCAATTTGCAAAAGTAAAGGTCCTGTAGTGGAGATAATAAAATACAGAACTTCAGTATACTCTCTTGTGAGCAATCTAATAAAATACAGAACTTCAGTATACTCTCTTGTGAGCAATCTCTGCTGCTGACTAGTGAGTAAAAAGATGAAATGTTGTAATTGGACCTAAAAACCTCAAGCACCAGCTAAGCACGGTGGCTCATGTCTGTAATCCTAGCACTTTGGGAGGCCAAGATGGGAGGATTGCTTGAACTCAGGAATTGGAGACCAGCCTCCAGCATAGCAAGATCCTGTCTCTACTAATATTCAAACAAATTAGCCAGTCGTGGTGGCACATGCCTGTAGTCCCAGCTACTTGCGGGGCGGGGCTGAGGAGGGAGGATCGCTCAAGCCTGGGAAGTCAAGGCTGCAGTAAGCCCTGCATTCCAGCCTGGGTGACAGAGAGAGACCCTGTCTCAAAAGAAAAAGATGTCAACAAAAAAACCTCAAGCACCCACAAATGTACAATTTTATGTGCAAAATGCCTTGTCCACTACCAACTGGTGGGCCTTTCAAAGTCCCATTTATTGGAGCATGAAGTCAAGGATGAAGAAGGCACTGTGGATTAACAAACCAGACACCTAATGGGGCAATGGATAGGAAAATATTTTAATGGGTATTTAGTACTAGGTTCTCTAATAAATAGTCCAGTGACTAGTGGAAAAATCCTTTTATATGTCCTTCATTCCTTTCAAGCAAGGAATTTGCACTCACAAGATTTTTTTAAAGCAGTATATTCTTTCTTTTTTTTTTTTTTCAGTCTCACTCTGTCACCCAGGCTAGAGTGTAGTGGCGTGATCTCAGCCCACTGCAACCTCCACCTCCCAGGTTCAAGCCATTCTCCTGCTTCAGCCTCCCTGGTAGCTGGGCTTACAGGTGCCCACCACCGCACCCCACTAATTTTTGTATTTTTAGTAGAGATGGGGTTTCACCATGTTGACCAGGCTGGTCTCGAACTCCTGACTTCAGGTGATCCACCTGTCTCTAAAGCAATATTTTCTTGATTCATCTCTGTCATCAATAAATAAGTCACTAAGATTTCTAGGGAAGCAAAATTAATAGATAGAATCTGAAAATCTAAGAAATCACATGGAGTTTGTTCTTTCTCCCAAAGATTTTTTTTTTTTTTTTTTTTTTTTTTTTTTGAGACAGAGTCTTGCTGTGTCGCCCAGGCTGGAGTGCAGTGGCATGATCTTGGCTCACTGCAAGCTCCGCCTCCCGGGTTCACACCATTCTCCCGCCTCAGCTTCCCGAGTAGCTGGGACTACAGGCACCCACCACCATGCCCGGCTAATTTTTTGTATTTTTAGTAGACACAGGGTTTCACTGTGTTAGCCAGGATGGTCTCAATCTCCTGACCTTGTGATCCGCCCACCTTGGCCTCCCAAAGTGCTGGGATTACAAGCATGAACCACCATGCCCGGCCCCCCAGACCTCTTTTTAACAATGGACCATCTCATTTCACTCCACTGGGAGGTAATAGGGTAGTGTGATTGTGAGTGTGACTTCAGAATCAGACCAGCATGGGTTCTAATCCTGGCTCTGCCACCCTCAAGTTACTTTCTCTTCCCCTAAGTCCTTTCAGCTGAAAAGTGGGAAATGCAGATGCCCACTGCACAGAATAACGGCAGGAATTTTTAAATAATGTAATGAGTGGTTCTTGCATTTGTTTCTTAGAATCGTAAAGTCTGGTCAGGGTGTGTCAGGGGTTACCATGTGGCTGGAACTGGCTCTCCACAGTTTCTTCCACTGACACAGATCTGCATGCCTCTGACCTGTGTATACTGGGGTTCCACGGAGGAGCTCATTGTATGACAGGCCTGTGCTGCTGGAAGTGGACAACGATAACGACTGGTTAACACCATGAGAAGGTGGCCCCTGGCCATTTCTACCTCTGCACGACTGTAACTCTTAAAGGGTCTTCCTTATACTGAGCAGAAATCCATGTCTCAGAAACTTTTACTGATTCCTGGCTCTAGTTCTGCCCTCTCCATTAACAGAGTAACATCCATCTTTCAGCAGTCCTTCCAAGTTAACGTTTCACAGCCCCATCCACCACAGGAGAAGCTGGGGCCACTCCTCCATTAGTTTTTTTGTTTGTTTGTTTGTATTGAGATGGAGTCTTGCTCTGTCTCCCAGGCTGGAGTGCAATGGCTCAATCTCAGCTCACTGCAACCTCCGCCTCCCTGGTTCAAGCCATTCTCCTGCCTCAGCCCCCCAAGTAGCTGGGATTACAGGTGCCCGCCACCACACCCAGCTAATTTTTGTATTTTTAGGAGAGACGGGGTTTCACCATGTTGGCTGGTTATTTGGCCATAGAAACAAGTGACCATCAGAACCAGTTTAAAACCCATTCTCCTTGATCAACGAGGATTTCACATCAGCAGCCAAGGGCAGGCAATCCGCAAGTCTTAAGTAACCACACTGACGCAGGCAAATGCCAACCAATCCCTAAATGCTCTGGGCACTGAAATCCCTGAACTTCATGCTTTCCAAGGCCCTGTGTGAGATCAGCTCTTCCCTTTGCTCAGAGACTGTCTCCTGCTTAGCAAGCAAGGAAGTCGGCATTCTGTTCCAAATGGGGAAGGGTAGGCTCTGCCTTTGATGGGAGGCACACAACTTAGATTGTAAGGAATAAGCAGGGTACCACCAGAAAATGACATGCTGCCAAAGAAATTGAATCAGGAGGGCTGACGGTGAGCCATTATGGGGTGAGACAGAGGGACTGGTGCTACTTTAGATGAGCTACCCAGAAAAGGCCAATGAAGACACAACTTTTGAGATAAGACATGAGCAATGAGGAAATCCATACTGAGACATTCAATGAAAGTCACGGGCTGGGCAGGTTTTGAGATGGAAAAAGCACCTCAAACCTCAAAATGAGAAATTGCAAGCTCAGAAAAATAAAACTCTAGTCCAGCAGAACCTGCTAAAGTAGGGGCCACGGCCTCAGAGAGGGGACAGGTGGTGACCATGCATGAAATCCCTGAGTTTCCAGATTCTCTGAAGCTCTTAAACTGAGACCTGGCGGGAAGGGGATGTCACCTGGGGGCCAGGCAGCAATTCTGAAATAGTAACACATAGATTTCTGCAAAATGCCATTAATAAGCCAGACTTACCATCTGTGTGGGTTCTATATCCAGCAACAATAAAAATAACAGGATCCCCAGACACCATTCTTGCTTGTAGGTGCATTATTTGCTAAGTACTTTTTAAAGCTAAAATGTTGCAGCTGTCTCTTCTCCAAAGACGTGCATGGAGATTGATGTGACAGGTGTGGCCTGCCACGCTCTGTTTAGGGGCAGCTGTAGATTAACTGCAAGTCCTGTTTGGTTGCTGATGACGTGACCTTTGCCAAGTCACCTAGCCTTTCTGCACTTCGGCTCTATCTGAAAAGCGATGGGGATAGAACATCTGTTCTACCTACATCAGGGAGTCGCAGAGGAGATGAAGAAGAAAGCTTTGAAAATTGGAAGTGCCTCAAAATATGAGATCAATACTATGTTTCTGGAAAAATGTTACATTTAAAGTACATATTTGTAGACCGAATGACACTGTACACACTTCCTTAGTTGACGGCCAGAGTCTCCTGTATTTGTGACACGCATCTCTACTAAGACTGCTCTTTCCCTAACACTGTCCTCGGCAATGCTGAGTGGGTGGGCTCCGGACTCTTGGTTCATGTGCTTCCTGCTGGAATTCCTTTCCTTTCTACATATCCAGATTCTACAACACAACCAGTTCAAGCTCTGCCTCTTTCCTGAAGCCGCCTCATAGCTCTACTTTTTATTTTTAATTGAAAAACAATTGTATATATTTATGGGGTACAATATGTTCTGATACATGTTCTACATTGTGGAATGATTAAATCAAGCTACTGAGCAAATCCATCACTTCACGTACTTATTTTTGTGTGTGGTGAAAACAACTGAAATCTACAACTTTGGAATACACAATGCATTTATGATGGTAGCTGTTCGTTCAATAGATCACTAGATCTTACTCCTCCTAAGTGAAACTTTGTACCCATTGGTGCAGCACTCCCCTTTGTTCATCCTCCTCCTTTCCTATCCTCTGATAATCACCACTCTACTCTACTTCTGAGTTCAGCTTTTTTTAGATTCTACATGTAAGTGAAATGATTGGATATTTGTTTCTGTGCCTGGCTTATTTCACATAGTGATGGACACCTAGGTTGCCTCCCTGTCTGGGCTATTGTGAACAGTGTTTTAATGGGAGTGCAGCTGTCTCTCCAGCACACTGATTTCGATTCCTCTGGATATATAGCCAGAAGTGGGATTGCCGGATCATATGGCAATTCTATTTTTAGTCTTTTTAGGAGCCTCCATATTGTCTTCTAGAATGGCTGTAATAATTCGCCTTTGCAACAGCAGTGCAAAGGGGCTCCCTTTTCTCCATACCATTCTCACAGGTGTGATGAATTCTGATAGTTTTCCAGGTGTTTCTTTTAGGTTTTCTTGGTAGCAACCACATTAGCTTCAAGGTTACTGAACACGAGATAAATGACTGTAGAACCCATGAGTGCCTGCAGGAAGAAATGATGTTCAAGAACCACTTTATCTACATTTCTATACCTCCAGCTTTCCTCCTTTTGCTCAAGATGTGACTATGGCTTGATCCCTGTCCTGATCTTCTGGACCTGTGCCTCACCCCATCCACTCACTCACTGGACAGGGCTGGCATGTATTGGGTCCTGGGGTTCAGCAGGGAATGGGTCATACAAGGCTCCTGCCTCCTGAGTCAGCATTCTAGGGGCAGGAGGGCTTGCCACGCTCTGTGGTTGTAGGGGTAGCTGTAGATTAACTGCAAGATCTGTTTGGTTGCTGATGACGCGACCTTGACAAGTCACTTAGCCTTTCTGCACTTCAGCTCTACTGAAAAGCGATGGGGACAGAACAGCTGTTCTACCTACATCAGGGAGTTGCAGGAGAAAGCTTTGAAAATTGGAAGTACCTCCAAATATGAGATCAGTGCTTTGTTTCTGGGAAAATGCCACACCAGACAATAATCAAGTGAACAAGAAAAACAGCAGACAGTGGGGAGAGCCAGGCAAGGCTTATGGTTGGGCAACACAAGAGCAACAAGGAGGGCCCTTCCCTGGGGGGTGGGCTGTGGTGAGAGGAGGCCTGTAAGGACATGGCATTGAAGCAGACGTCTGTTCTACCTACATCAGGGAGTCACAGAGGAGATGAAGAAGAAAGCTTTGAAAATTGGAAGTACCTCAAAATATGAGATCAGTACTGTGTTTCTGGAAAAATGTTACGTTTAAGGCACATATTTGTAGACTGAATGACACTGTTCAAACTTCCTTAGTTGACGGCCAGAGTCTCCCATATTTGGATACGCATCTCTGCTGAGACTGCTCTTTCTCTAACACTGCCCTCAGCTCTACTGAAAAGCGATGGGGATAGAACATCTGTTCTACCTACAACAGGGAGTTGCAGAAGAAAGCTTTCACAATTGGAAGTCCTCCAAATATGAGATCAGTGCTTTGTTTCCGGAAAAATGCCACACCAGACAATAATCAAGTGAACAAGAAAAACAGCAGATAGTGAGAAGAGTGAGCAATGCAGGTATCAGGGGGAAGCACGCCAGACAGAAACAACAATGCAGAAAAAGTTCCTGAATCGAAACAGAACTTGGTATACTTAGAGAACACACTAGACAAAAGGGAGAGTAGGAACGAGAGATGTGACATTTGTCAGGTCCTGTGATTTCCCACTCAGGAACATGGCACGTCTCTTTCGTTCAGGTCTTTCGTGATGACTGCCGGCAAAGTTTGGCATTTTCTTTTTGAGATGGAGTCTTGCTCTGTGGCCAGGCTGGAGTACAGTGGTGTGATATTGGCTCACTGCAACCTCTGCCTCCTGGGTCCAAGTAATTCACCTGCCTCAGCCTCCCAAGTAGCTGGGATTACAGGTGTGCACCACCATGCTCAGCTAACTTTTTGTATTTTTAATAGAGATGGGGTTTCACCATGTTGGTCGGGCTGGCCTCGAACTCCTGACCTCAAGTGATCTGCCCACCTTGGCCTCCCAAAGTGCTGGGATTACAGGTGTGAGCCACTGCGCCCGGCCGGCATTTTCTCTATTTAGGAATTGCACCTGTGTCGGTTTCCTAGGGCTGCCATAACAAATTTCCACATGCTGGATGGCTCACAACAACAGAAATTTATTCTGTCACTGTTTTGGGGGCTGGAAGTCCAAAATCAAGGTGCCAGCAGGGCCATATGCTCTGGAAACTCCAGAGAAGGATTCTTCCTTGCCTCTTCCAGCTTCTGCTGGCCCTGGCCAACCTTGGCGTTCCTTGGCTTGCGGCTGCATCATTCCAACCTTTGCCTTCACCTCCACAGCGTGTTGTCCCTGTGTCTGCCGACTCCCCTCTCCTTACAGGGATTTAGGCCCACCCTAGTCCAATATGACCTCGTCTTAACTAATTACATCTGCAAAGACCTTATTTCCAAATAAGGTCATATCTGTACATTTCAGGTGGAAATGAATTTTTAGAGGGCACTACTCAATCCAGCATAGCATGTTTCTAGATGGGTTTCTCCCTAATCAGTGGCAGTGAAAGACCATGTAGCATAGTGATGAGAAATAAGCTCTGGATTGGGCCAAGTGCAGTGGCTCATGCCTGTAATCCCAGCCTTCCGGGAGGCCAGGGCAGGAGGATCACTTGAGTCCAGTTCAAGACCAGCCTGGGCAACACAGTGAGATCCTGCCTCTAAAAAAAACTCTGGTATCAGGCTTTCTGGCTCTACCACTTACTGACCAGGGTTTTCACCTCTCCAAGCCTAATAAGCACCTTCATCCGGAATAATAGTAGCTACCTCATGCAATTGTTATGGGGATTAAATGAATTAACAAATGTTGAGTGCTTAAACTGTGCAGGACACACTGTAAGCATTTAATAAATGTTTTTGTTCTTTGACATAATTTGCTCCTATTTTGTGGTTTGGGTTTTTTTCTTAAGAGACAAGGTCTTGCTCTGTCACCCAGGCTAGAGTGCAGTGATGCCATCACAGCTCTTTGCAGTCCCAAACTCCTGGGCTCAAAGTGATCCTCCTGCCTCAGCCTCCTGAGTAGCTGAGACTACAGGCATGTGCAGCAAAATAGCAACACTTTGTTGCTATTTTTGAATGGCATCTCCATTATATTCTCTAATTGATTGCTGCTGGTAAATTAGAAAACTCAATTTTTGTGTACTAATCTTGTAACTATAATCTTACTGAATTCTTATAATTTTCCAGTTGTTTCTCCTAGATTTTCTTGGTAGCAATCACATTAGCTTCAAGGTACTAAAAAAATACTGAACACAAGATAAATGACTATATAACCCACAAGTGCCTGCAGGAAGAAATGATGTTCAAGAACCGCTCTGTCTACATTTTTATTACCAAAGACAGGTTCAGAGATTCCACCTCATGCCCATGCTAGGATGAAGATGTGTTTAGGATGAAAATGTGTCTGTTTTCATTGATCCAGCCCAAACACAGCTTTTGAGAGCAGGGGTCCGGGTTTTTCATCTTGACACAGTCTCATTGTGTATGATGCATGGTAGATTACCGGTACTCAGGATTTGGACTAACCTCAGGAACACATTATCTGTTACAACTTACCGATGGTTCACCCCAGAAGTGTGGCGAGAACTGGTCTTTCTTTTCCTATGTGTAACCTCTGAAGTACATGTGGCCCTTCTCTCCACCTTGTGGCCGTCCAGGCGGGAACCGTGCTGCCTGTCACACCCACTCCTTGAGCACCAGAACTAACTAAATTCTGTGGCAGTTTCCCATTGGTCTTCAAATCTGTGTTCCTCAGCAATGCCTGTGAGGCCTGGGCTGATCAGCTCTTCTCCAACCACATCTCCATCCATCTTCCCTTCTCCCCATCTCTTCCACGGAGACGTCCACTCAAAAGGTCATGTCCATCAAGCTGCCACCTCCTAGTTACTATCATAACCACTCAATTTCCCTCCTGACACTTACCAAGATCCTTTTTACACGCTAACTTATTTGACCATCTGCTCCACTAGAACATCCCCCAAGAAAGCCATATCCATCCCCAACATGAATTAGACAGTGTCCAGCTCAATATTTGTTGAAGGAATTACGTCAGTATAAAACAAGTACACATTTTCTAGATAATATTCTAGAACAGGAATTTTGTTTCGAGTTTTGCTTACACGTAAGGGGCCGTGGCTCAGCACAGGATGCTGCACAAGCTAGGGAAGGAGCTACCCAGCATTCTGGGCTCTGGGTGCCTCACTCTCGGTTTTTCCACATCCTGTATTTGTTGTTTTTCAAAGATTGCAGGGGTGACTAAACCTCTTATTAGTCTCGAGGTTGCTCCTGCAAAACCCAGCATAACCATAACGGGATATTAGGGACGGAAAGGCTCTGGAAGTCACACATTTCTCTGTTTTAAAGATGAAGTGACTCAGAATTGATCACAGCCATGGGACCTGCCAGACCACATGCCTGCTGCATTGCACCAAGGCCTGGTCCTGGGGGGTCCTGCCCCTGCAGAGTCATCATTACCACGCGCTGCCCCCTAGTGCTGGTGTCTGCACGGGAGGAGGTGCAAAATCCTTCTCTTCCGAGGTTGGCTTCCTGAGCTTTGGTCAGCAGGTCTAAGGAAGCATTGCTGGAGCTCACAGAAATGAAGCAGCATCCTCTTCAGGACAGAGGCACTTGGCAGTGGATTCACACACCCACTTCCACTGTTTCGAGATTTCCAGGATCCACCAATGCAGACAAGAACTCACAAACCAGGTCCAGGAATGGCCAACTAGAGGCCACGCTGAGCATTCAGCTGTACTTGGGAGAGCTGGGGAAGAAGGGACAGCAGCGGAAAACTGGGTACCCAGGTCCTGTAAGACCTGCTGCTTCTACCCATGGCCACCCTTCTTTAGGAGAGGACCTGGAGAACACAACCGACTTCCCCTCGTCCTGGGTTTTCTGTCACCGTTAGGCTTGCACTTGGCTTTTACTATGTCCACCCTTGCTACATTTAGAGGAGCGTCCAACAATTGTGGCTGAATGGCTGAGCAGAGTGTGCTCAGAAACAGACTAAGACAGGTGATGAAAACAAGAGTCTCCCTCACAGCCAAGGTCACTGAGAGGTCCAGAGAGGTCAAATAATTTGTCCAAGGTCACAGAGCAAGTTAATCTTTTGGACTGAGACTAAAACCCAAGGTTCCATGACAAAAAAATCAATACCGATGTTAACATCTTATGCATAAATTCTCGCTACATTTAATATTTCTATCCCAAACTATATTTTGTAATGCCATTCTTTTATCCCTTATTTGAAATAACTTATTTATATGAACAAAAATTCTTAAAAGGAAAGCCCCCCACTGAAACCAAGTCCCTTAAAGGACACTGGAAAGTTTATTGAGACCTGTAGAATCTGAACATCATTAAGTCAGACATCATGTTTGAGTTCACTTCTTACTGTAACAGGTTCTGCAGAACTCTTTTCACAAAAACCTATGAAGGACAGATACAGTTGCCAGGCCAAGTCCTCACCCAGCTGCTGTGCCCAGCTCAGACCTGCCACAGTGCACAGAGACAGCAGCTGCCAGATTAAGAAGCTCATTTTGAGGTTGATCACTGCTGAGAAGAGTGACAGACAGGACCTTTAGCCCCTTCACATATGCAAACTTAGTAAGAAAATCTAACAGGAAAACAGGCAGGGAGCCTGCTGACTTGGAGGTACGAACTCCAGCCCCACCACTGTGACTGCAAGCACTCCTGGGCATCTCCCCAGCCCTGTTTGGGTGCAACAGCTCTAGCAGGGCGCTGCATTCAATAACAGCAAGTCAGCACCTTAACCAAGCTGTTTGCAGGCCTTGGCTTGAAATCCATGCAGCTAAAGACATAACACCCTGGGAGGGTGAGGCAGGAGGAGCACTTGAAGCTGGGAGTTGAAGACCGGCATGGGCAACACAGCAAGACCCCATTTCTATAGAAAATTTAAAAATTAGCCTGGCCAGGAGCAGTGGCTCACGCCTGTAATCCCAGCACTTTGGGAGGCTGAGGCCGGCGGATCACTTGAGGTCAGGAGTTTGAGGCCAGCCCGGCAAACATGGTGAAACCCCATCTCTATGAAAAATACAAAAATTAGTCAGGTGTGGTGGTGTGTGCCTGCAGTTCCAGATACTTGGGAGGCTGAGACAGGAGAATCAGTTGAACCTGTGAGGCAGAGGTTGCAGTGAGCTGAGATTGCACCACCGCACTTCCAGCCTGGGCGACAGAGTGAGACTCCATCTCAAAAAAAAAAAAACAAGTAAATTAGGTGGGCATGGTGGCACAGGCCCATCGTCCCAGGGAGGCTGAGGCGGGAGGATCACTTGAGCCCAGGAGTTGGAGGCTACAGTGAGCTATGATTGTGCCACTGCACACCAGGCAGAGTGACAAAGTGAGACTCTGTTTAAAAATATATATATATTTAAAAATAAATATATATATAAAACCCAAGTTAAGTATCCTGTTCCTGTCTCAGTGCAAGAGCATGTTTCTTGTTTCCTTCTCTTTTTCAACAAGGGTAGGACCTCATCATGGCTGACTTTTCAGAAGATAATGTCTTTAAGACCCACCCAAGATGCTGACTCCAATGACATCAAGGGAGATAAAGTGGTTTCAGACAAAATGGGGTATCAATATGAAAGTGACATGTTCTATTAGGTCTCTATTGTGCAACTTCTCAATTGCTGGAGTAGCTCTCATACTTTTGTGAGTCGCTCAAGAACACAGGGCCAATACCACTTTCTACCACTGCTCTTGCAAAGAACTGGTTCACTCAGCATCCATAAAACCTGTTGAATTTTATCTCAATATACTAACTCAAAAAACACAGCAGGAAGGCAGGCACTACTTTGTTCTATGTATATATTTATTTAACATTTATTAAATACCTACAATAACCAAGAATCATGTTTTATTTTTAAAAAATTTCAAATCTGGGCCAGGGGCAGTGGCTCACGCCTGTAATCTCAGCACTTTGGGAGGCTGAGGGGGGTGGATCACTTGAGGTCAGGAGTTTGAGACCAGCCTGGCCAACGTGGTGAAACTCTGTCTCTACTAAAACTACAAAAATCAGCTGGGCATGGTGGTGGGTGCCTGTGATCCTAGCTACTCGGGAGGCTGAGGCAGAATTGCTTGAATCCGGGAAGTGGGGGTTGCAGTGAGCCCAGATCGCACCATTGCACACCAGCCTGGGTGACAAGAGCGAGACTCCATCTCAAAAAAAGAAAAAAAAAAATTCAAATCTGTAAAATATGGCCCCAGGTGAGAAGTTACCAAAAGCAGCAGGAAAAGTTTAAATCATTCACTCCCCAAATTTTGCTTTCAGCTTAGCTTAAAGGAAACCCCAGGATGGAGATGGCTCTGCCCAAGCCCGAGAGCAGGCAGACAGGAAAGCCAGCCCAGAAGAGGAGGCAGGTACAGGTGCCCACACCTCTGGCCTCACCTCATGCATGAAGGCACATCCCGATCTTGGCAGGATTTCTCATCTGCCCTCCAATTTGGTTTTAAACTCCTGACTTCTTCTTTCCCTTTTTCTAGTTAAAAAAAAAAAAATAAGAAAAGTAAAACAAATCAAAAAGATTCATCGGGATATATATTTATTGTCCCAATGACTTTATTTGTTGTTTAAATCAAATATAAAATTAAAGTAACAAATTGTGTCGTTTCCTTCATCCTTAATGACAAAAACTTTCCATTCAAAAACTACACTAAGACAATGTGTTCCTCAATAGTAATCCAGCTTTAATTGTAGAGCATTAATTCGCCTTACAAACAAATTACAGTCACTACGATTTATCAGTAAGTACTGTACTGGTTTTGTGTTTTCTTTTGGCAAACTTTGAACAAATCAGAGAAGAAAACATAACTATTCATCATCATGTAGAAAAAGAAAAGAAAATGAACCTCAAGTATCTACCTATGTGTCAAGTGATTCATCCTGCCAGTAAAACTAAAATCTACACTTACAGCGGAGTTTTAAACATCCTTAGTGCAAGAAACATAACCAATTAATACAGATCAACACTAATTAATGAATATGGAAAATTTTCCTATACAGAGGTAGAATCCAGGGCACAGGCTAAAACAGTATTCAGTAGTCTAAACAAGACTTGAGTCTGGTTTTATGGAATCCACTTTAAATTTTAGGTATCAGACTGTATGTACATACATACAATAAATAGACTATACAATTTTTTTAAAGTAGTTTAATAAACTCCACAAAATAATAGCAGATGCATTGAAATATTTACATAATTCGATTTTCAAATCTCTCATTCAAATAAAAGGGATAAAAATAAAATTTCTGCCTTTACGGCAGCAGAACCTCTTTCCTGAAATGGATTGGTAAAATAAGATACTTCACTGGAGAGGAACTAATTTATGTTTAAGAGGTATTCATATTCAGCTAAGAAAATACAACCCTTTTTCAGCTATATAGATTAGGGAATATAAAATGATATTTTCTACATTTTTTGACCTGTATTCAAAGTTCTAAATTCAACTTTGACTTGAAGAGAGAAGGTGATTTTGGTACCCATACAGAGTAGATCATCACAATTACAATGGAAAGATAATTAACGTTTTATATGCTGTTTATTTGCTTTTGAAAGTTTGGGTCAGAAAGGCTGTGATAATAATTCTGGCCCAAACAGGTATGCTTATACCTGACACAAATTTCACTAAAACCTAACACTTTTGGCTTGGAGTTCTTGGGATTTCGACTTTCTGAGTCCCTTCCATTTCCAAAGCATGTTTCATTGAGAGCAGGCAATGTTTGGGGATCAGGTGTATGATTCAAGACTAATTAAGATGCCAAAGTTTTCCAAGCTCACATGGGAAGAAGGTGAAACACAGACCTGCTGCTGCCACTGGCCTCCCAGAGACTTGAAAAGGGAAACAACTCAGAAACCTGTCACTGTGACCTAAGAAAATATGCAAAAACCCAAAGCATTACATATGCAAGTGACTCACACTCTTAGATTTCATATCAAATTCACTATTTGATATTCTATCATCAACTTTCATTTTACTTGATATAAAAGATTCTTATTGAGTCCATAAGGAAATCAGGGATCGTCAGAAAATGAAAAAGTATGGTCATAATTAATGAAGCATAAACCTTCACAGTTTGAATTTTGTAGAACTTCTCTAAGCACCCACAATGAAAATGCAAGTTGAGTTTTTTTTAATTCAATCATTCTGTGAAAAATACCTCAGTAAATAGTAACATTTTTCCCTTCAATGATCTTCCCACTGGAATACCCAACCCACCCTTGTTTTTTTTCTTTTTCTTTTAGATTTTTTAAAAATTTTATACAAATAGACTAACTTTGATTTAAAGTAAACATATAAAAATTGAGAAGAATATTGCTTGCAACAATGGACTTGGAAGGAGAGGAATGGATTAGGCAGGGGTACAAAGAAATGGCTCCTACTCGGTAGTTCCAGGCACATGCCCAGCACTCTGCAGAACTCTCACAGGGACACCCTCTGCTGCACCGTGTCCTTCAGCCCACAAAGTCTGACTGATTTTGTAACAACAACTTCAGGTCAGGAAAAAAACAAATGCAAGAAAATCGGAAGGCACAAGCACCCATGTGATCTAGAATGTTCTTGGGGTGAGGAATAAGGAGGGAAAGGGATACTTTTGGTTCAGCACTACAGTCAATTTCGCCATTGTTGAAGAAAAACGGTATAAAATAAGGGTGTACAGAAATGGAACAAGCACAGCCCACTGGTGAGGAAGAAAGCTCAGAAGACAGCGCGCAGAAATAGTGCAGAGAGAAATGACCAGTACTATTTATTTGGAAGTCTGCGCCATGGTGGGTACAAACTACATCCCCTGCTCTGTGGGACCAAAATCAAAACAGGGCAAAAACAAATGAACAAAAATACCCCCATCCCAAAAAAGCAGCAGAAGGAATGCAAGAAGTCTTACAGGACACACTGGCCCAGCCCTGGGTGCAGCCAGCTCTGCATCCACCGCTGCGCTCGCCAACTTCAGCTACCGCCCCCATGGGGACTCCAGAGGGCCGGGCTGCTTAACCATTTTCCCTGCCTCTCCACGACTTCCCTTTCCCTTTATTTCCTCCTCCAGGATTCGAGTCCACTTCCTCCACGAAGGAAGTGCTGTTGCTGACAGTGGGGAGAGCGAGCTGGGATCTCCAGGGCACTGACGCTTCCTCCAAGCCTTGCTGCATGGGCGCTCATCCAGGCAGCTTGACGGAGCTATGCGTAAAAAAAGAAAAGGAAAGAAAAAACAAAAACAAACCCACCCCAAGTCTGTCTTTTCTCAAACTAAAGGAGAAACTAAGGGATGGTGTGGCCTCCGGCGGGCCTCCGTAGTTAAGAGATGATGGCTGGGGACCACCGGGGCAGAGTCAGGTTGTCTGCACTGGCTGAGCGCTTCCTCGCGGATCTTCTTAGGTCCTTGTACTTGTCCTCGCAGAGGCGAGAGATGGCCTGAGGGGCAAGAAAGACAGTGTGGGTCAGGGCGGGCCATATCTGCGTCCATTGCTCACTCGTCCTGGGCGCCGAGGGCGCTGCATGAGGGACAGGCAGAGCCCCTGCCCCTGTGGAGCTCCGGCCCAGAGCCCAGCTCTCTGCTGGCAGCAGGGAGATACGAAGGGAGTGTGGACTCAGCTCTTGTTTCCCAAGAGCTTACAGTCTGAGAAAAGACTCTCAGGATGTGAAATAACAGTACAGTGTCACCTCACAGTCGGCCCGACCAGGGTCAACGCTGGCTCCCCATCTAGGGGTGTGGGACGGGCCCCACCCACACGCGTGCTGTTTTGAATCCTTGGCGTCCTCACCTGCAAGCGGGGCAAGAACAGCACCATCCTGGCAGGGCTGGCATGAAGCACGGGCTTGGAGCTGAGCCTCACAGAGAGGAGAGCTCGGCCGCTGGCGGCAAAGACAGCTGCAGCCAGACCACCAGCTAGGGACTCCACAGAAAAGGATGGAGGACTTAAGTCACCTCTAGAGGGTTGCCGAAAGAGGGACCCAGGGGGATCACAAAAATATGAGATGTGCAGATAATCAACACTTTGGTGATAAGGACGGGGGACCATGCTACTCTGGCAACAACTCTCCCAGGGCTGCCACTGGGTGTGGCTAGAACTGGCTGATGGTAAAAGCTGAGCCCACTGTCCCAGGCTTTGATTATTTGGAGAAGAGAAAGAGCAGCCTTGTCAGGATATGACTGGCCTTTTCTCCTGCCCTGCTGAACCCCTAGGGCCCGTGACACAGCAGCCCCAGAAGCAGGTGAGCTCTCCCTTCTCGGCACTCGGAGAAACCTGAGGGAACAGCAGGTGCCAACTCCACCAACCTCGGCCTGTGCTCTCAGGGTGACTGACTCAGAGCCCCAGATATTCTTCAGCAGAGAACACAAGACTCACTTTCCTGCAGAGCTGTGTAGCTGCCAGGAGCTCCGGCTTGTCTCATTAGCACTGAAGCAGCCACTAGAGCCATAGCTGGTGACGAGGGGGACCAGGGACCACAGCACAGGCTGAGAGGGGGCTCATGCTCTCAGGGAAAGCCAGATTCTACCTCACATCTGTGCTTGCGAAGGTTTCACAACATTTGCCTTCAGGAAGTCCTGCAGAGGGAGGGTTTTCCATTTTTCCTCGAATAGATGATAACTGGGAGACTGGGTGGGCTTTCCATTCCAAAGGCTGGCACACAATCACAGGGGCATGGCTGAGTTCTGAAACTCTCACTGGATTTTTATTTCTAACCAGTGCTATGCATCCAGTCTTTTCTATGGTTTACTTCTTGGAATTAACATATTACTTTTTAAATTTTTATTTAACATTTTTCTTTCTTAAGCGTGTAATCCATAACAGGTTTCTTCTCCCAGTTCTAGATCACCGTGTGGCCAAGCCATCATGATGCCACACCAACTCTGCACTGAGTGACAACATCCCACCTGGGATGGGCAGTGGTGTGGGCAGCACGAAGACCTCACAAGCTGGGGACATGACAGTGCCATCCACCACTCGGAAACACTCTATGGGATGAGACCAAGGCAGGATTGGGAAAAAAGGTGCAGAGGAGAAAGGCTGGGGCACACCCTCTCTGGAGGAGGGGTCTCTCCCCAGGGATCCTGCTTAATTACCACCCCGTCCCCTTTCCTCCTGCCAAAAGGTCAAGTGGGAAGAGCCTGGTGAACATATGAGGCGGAGCCACATACAAATATGCTGTGATGAGACCCAAAGTTACACAGCTTAATAATGACGGCCCAAAACCCAGACCAAGACCAGTGGTGCTGCCCTCAGCTCTAACTGGGCTATGGAAAAGGTATTTTGGAAAAAAAATAAAAAGCAGAATCAAATCTTTTTGGATTCCCAATTGTTAATATCATTTGGCAGCTTTTTCCTATGAAAGCGCATGCTGAGAAGTATCTTTTTGAGGGGCTTATATTGCGGGAAATGCTTTTTGGGGGGACATAATTTTCTTAAACCTGTCCGTAAAGGTAAGGGTTTTAAAAAATATTTGATTTCAAAATAGAATTGTGGTGGCTCATGCCTGTAATACCAGCACTTTAGGAGGCCAAGGTGGGCAGATCACAAGGTCAGGAGTTCTAGACCAGCCTGGCCAACATAATGAAACCCCATCCATCTCTACTAAAAATACAAAAAAAAATTAGCTGGGCGTGGTGGTGCACACCTGTAGTCCCAGCTACTAGGGAGGCTGAGGCAGAAGAATCACTTGAACCCAGGGGGCGGAGTTGTGATGAGCTGAGATCGTGCCACTGCACTCCAGCCTGGGTAACACAGCAAGACTCCATCTCAAAAAAACCCAAAAAAACAAAAAACCTTTGCTTATTAAGTATAAAGTGATATTAAACTGGTTATTAAAAATATGAAGTGGCTGGCCAGGCACAGCGGCTCACGTCTGTAATCCCAGCACTTTGGGAGGCCAAGGCAGGCAGATCACCTGAGGTCAGGAGTTTGAGACCAGCCTGGCCAACATTGTGAAACCCCATCTCTACTAAAAATACAAAAAATCAACCGGGTGTGGTGGCAGGCACCTGTAATCCCAGCTACTTGAGAGGCTGAAGCAGAATTGCTTTAACTCGGGAGGCAGAGACTGCAATGGGCCAAGATCGCACCACTGTACTCCAGGCTGGGTGACAGAGCGAGACTCCGTCTCAAAGAAAAAAGAAGCAGAACAAATCATAATCAACTGCCCAGCTATATATCCTAGTAGCTCATCTTTATTTTACATCATGTAGTGGGGGAAATGATCAATGTGACCACATGCATCTCTGGTACTCAGATGATGTATTGGCAACACTGCACCACAAAACGCTGTTTTAAACCATCTTACCTCAAGCTTGTGAGCCCTCTCCCTGCTCAGGGGCTCCAAGGGAAAGCTCAGGTTGTTCGCTTCTGCCAGAGAACGAAGATCAAAATAATACTTGGCATAGACACTGGAAGGAACATTGATGTTGAACTGCAGCAATTCAAGAAACTGTCGCTCTAGCTCGTTCCTGCAAAGCAAAGACAAAAATAGCCTATGCTTAGCTGCCACACCAGGCCACGTGGCCTGCCAAGGCAAGTTGCTGGAGACCAGACTCCAGAAAACTGCATCCTCCAGGAAGACCAGTGATCTAAGTAAATGTCTGGTTAGACCACCATATTGGGATTAAAAGCCAAATCCACTTGATCTGGTGCCCAGAAGGATGAGGACTGGTTAACTGGGATCATCACCAGGAAGCGTTTCAGGGCGAATCACTTCACTGAGATCTAACACACACACAGCAGGCTCTGGCTGCAGGTCTCCGTGAGGACAGGCTGCTAACAAAGGGTGGATGCAGCAGCCAAGAGCTGCCACGTGGAGTCCAGTGAGGGCCCTTCCGCAGGGGCCCAGAGGAAAACACTCAGCCTCTGCAGACCTAGAGGACATTGGCTTCCTCGGTGGCCCCTCCCTACCTCCAGGGAGAAAAGAAGGGAGGAACTGTGTAGGGGCTTTCTTAGGCAAAAGGCAGGGATTATGGGGGGAGGGTGTCCAGTCTCTGCCTCAGTCTCTTAAAAAGAGAACTCACAAGCCGGGAAGAATGGAAGCAGTAGTTTCCACACTTGAGCACGCACCCCATCACCTGGTGGGCTTGTTAGAACAGACAGGGGGCTCCACCTTCACACTGTGGGGATCAGTAGGTCTGCAGTGGGGCCTGAGAATGTGCATTTCTAAGGAACTCCCAGATGATGGTGAGGCTGAGGCTCTTGCCCCGGGCCCACACTCTGAGAACCACTCAACTAAAAAGGTAGGTTGGGAGAGGAGGTGCTAAGATCCACCCTGCCAACCCATCTACATGTTGATGGAATGCTGGGAGAAATTCAAAAACTTCTACTTTAAGAACTTCTCATGTCAGCTATCTTTCAAATTAGGTTTATTTCTAGATAGTTCCTCTGGGTGGGGGGAACCTTCTCAGTGAGGGAACTATCTGTGGAGCACTGGTCCTGGGTCATGCACTCAGATTCAGCACGTTCTCCCCAGGAAGCCCCCAGGGGTGCCCACCCACAGGGTGCCCACCCACTGCACACCCTCCAGGAAACCTCCTGTCCTTGCCCACACTATGCAGCATGTGGCTGCTGAACTCAGCCTCTTGGGCTGTTCTCCTCATAGTCAGGAAGTGCAACATCTGCTTTTGCATGCCTGGCCCCCAGCACATGATCTCAGAAGGCTTCCCACAGCAGTGAGAGCTGAACTGAGGTGAGGGAAGCATGGAGCTCTGGCGGAGAGGAACCAGGGCTGAGGAGGGGGTGTTTCAGGCAGAGTGGGTCCCCTCCAACCTGCTGCAGGCAGCCAAAACACACAGTCACCATTTCCTGTGAGTGAAGCCAGGGCCCTAGTGCAGGGCCTCACCCTCCTGACCCTGATCCCAGCCTCGGCATTCTAAGTCATGTCCTGCCAACTCTGCTGAACGCTGAGGGTCTGGGTCTGAGCCTCACATGCAGGCACCATCCTGTCCTGAGTGATGTCCCGAGACCCCTATGGCTGTTCCCGGTGACTCATAGCACTCAGCTATGAAGGACTGAGGAGGGCTCCACACCAGCTCAAGTTGCTGTGACAAAGGACAAGAACAGTAAGGAGGCGGGTGGGGAGGCTGGGGCTGAGCAAGGCCAGTGGCTCTGGGGAGACATGAAGCTGCTGGGGAAAGGAGCACTGGGACCTGTGGGCAGGCGGCAAGGAAGGAGGCCCGAGGAAGGCCCATTCCGGTCTCTTCATCAGATGAAGAGCGTCACTGCTTGTTTCCACACAGCCTCGTGAAAAGAGTGATAACAAGCTCCAAATGTATTTACTGTACTAAATTTCATAGTTTTAAGAATTTAGGCTGGGTGTGGTCACTCACACCTGTAATCTCAGCACTTTGGGAGGCTGAGGCGGGTGGATCACCTGAGTTTAGGAGTTTGAGACCAGCCTGGCCAACAGGGTGAAACCTCGTCTCTACTAAAAATACAAAGAAAATTAGCCGGGCATGGTGGCACATGCCTATAATTCAAGCTACTCAGGAGGCTGAGGCAGGGGAATCACTTGAACCCGGGAGGTGGAGGTTGAAGCGAGCCAAGATTGCGCCATTGCACTCCAGCCTGGACTACAAGAGCGAAACTCTGTCTCAAAAAAAAAAAAAAAAAATTAGTCAGGCATGGTGGTGGGCACCTCTAATATCCCAGCTACTCAGGAGGGTGAGGCAGGAGAATCACTTGAACCCAGGAGGCGGAAGTTGCAGTGAGCCGAGATTGCCCCACTGCACTCCAGCCTGGGCAACGAGAGCGAAACTCTGTCCCAAAAATAAATAAATAAATAATAATTTACTTTGATTTGGGATAATTTTTACTTAAAACAACTTTTATTTATGCTTCATTTAAATGAGATTTAATAAGAGATCATCCTGTGAAATACTGGAATCCAGGTAAGACTTCAACAAAACGAAAGCGTCAGAGGCCCTGCTAAGGCCAGAACTGTCAAACGTCAAAGGAGCAAATCCCAAGTGAACCTGGGAGCTGCCATGGACACACCGCCGTCTGGTGGTCAACAGGCGTCACTGCAAAGCGTATTCTCCCAATAGTAAGAAGAAAAGTCTAAGAGAACAGCCTGATAATCCTGCCCAAAATGATATACAGACACCATGGTTCCAGATGGAGGCAGACACTACGAGCAAAGTCAAGAGGAAGCTGCTTTTGAACAAGGCGGTATTTTCCCAGGGTTCCCTGGAAAACAGAACAACCTTCTCCAAGCTTGAGTTTCTGGTTAAGCTTTGGGAAAATAGATTTTAGAGCTGTTGTATTTTCAAAAAATGAATTTTTTTCTAAAGATTTAGAAAATAAAAATAATTTCCAAAACTTGAATTTCCAAACTGCAGCAGCACATCTTTTACAGGGACACTGACAGCTTGCTATGTGATAAATTATCAGAAAACTAACGTGATGCCAAGAATGGGCCTGATGGATTTACTATCTGCATTTAGATAACTATGAAGAAACAGTTTTGGTGTAAAACGTTGTAAGAAATATATTCAAGTCGACCAACAAAAACCACATTTCAGAAATATTTGTCACACTAGATCAACACTGTATAAAAACCCAATTTGGTACAATTCAGCAACTTGAAAATAGAACTCTAAAATGATGTTAAAAAGAGCTGTTTTAATCATCTAATATGCTGCCTACTTTTCTAGAAACTAGGGTCACTTCCCAAAAGAAGGAGAAACAAAGTCTTGAAAAGGTATCTGCATAGCCACACTTACAGCCTCCACTTACTAGCCCAATGTGGAGGTAACCCAAGTGTCCATGGGTGGATGAGTGGATAAACAAAATGGGACACAGACCCCCAGTGAAGTATTATACAGCCCTAAAAAGAAAGGAAATTCAGACACACTACAACATGGATCAACCCTGAGGACATTATTGGCAAGTGAAATATGCTGGACACAGAAGGACACAGACTGTATGATCCCACTTGTGTGAGGTCCTGAAAGTAGTGAAGTTCACAGAGACAAAAAGTAGGACAGTGATCACCAGGAGCTGGAGGAAGGAGGAATGGCAAGTTAGTGTTTAACAGGGGGAGAGTTTCAGTTTGCGAAAATGAAGGGTTCTAGAGATGGATGGTGGTAATGGTTGCACAACAATGTAAATGTACTTAGTGCTACAGAAATGTATACTTAAAAATGGCTACAATCATAAATTTCATGCTACATACATTTTACTACAATTTAAAAACAAAACACCACCAGAAACCAGGTATCTACAGAGGAACTGAAGTTCTTTCTCTGTGACCTTCTGTGCCATGCAATGCTTGGACAAGTCACTTGATTTCTCCTTATTTGGATTTGTCTACACATGAAAATGACATTTACGGGAACAGTGCAAAACAAAAACAAGAAACAGACAAACCTCGAGGTGTAATTTTTTTTAACAGTATTTTTGCCTACAGAACTCTGCATGGTGAAATTTCACTGTCCTTTCCCCATCCACAGCGGTTGCCACTTCTTGCTCTAAGCTGGCCTGTGATGCTGTGACCACTGATTGTTGGTGAGAGTGGGAGAAAGGCTGGCCCTTGGCCCCATCTTCCCACATGAGGTCTGCCTGAAGCTAACATCTGACTGGTGCTGGTGACTATCCACATGGCCTGGTGCCCTGACTATTCTGCCTGCAAGTCTCAGTGACACTCGTCGTACAGTGTTCTTCAGCCTGCGCCCACAGATACGCAGCTGCACAGTCAGCTGCCTTCCAAGCCAGAACCCCTCTGTCCAAAGGTACATGGGGAGACTCCCAGTCAAGTTCTCACTGTTGGATAATTCTTGAGCAGGAGATTAGCCTATGGTCAAAAATACCAGGAAGGTCACTTCAGGAAGCTGGGACACAGGAGGCCAGGAAGAAGGGTACCTAGAAGAACAAGCACTACCAAAAACCCCATTTGAAAAGGTTTCCAGCTGAAACCTGTGAGCCCTCTCCCTGCTCAGGAGCTCCAAGGGAGAGCTCGGGTTGTTTGCCTCTGCCAGGAAACTGAGACCAGCTAACCACAGATTAACACACTGCTAAATGGCAAAAAGTTTAAAACAACGCGTACAGTATGGGCCCAGTTTTGTAAAAATAAAATCTATGTAAACACTGGGAAGTTCTATATAATAAAAATGTTAGCAATATTCTTTCTGAGTGATGGGATTATAGAAAAATGCAGCAGGGCAGCCCTTGATAGGATGGAGCCCACCCCAGGATATCTGAGACTTCTCCTGCCCAAACGCCTCCCACCCCACCCTCAGGCCCAAGCCACTGACTCTTTTCCCACTTGGGGATGAAAAAGAGGATTCTAGGATCTTGGGGACTTCCACAGCGTGCCAAGAAGGACAAGCTCCTGGCACGCACCTCCCTCATTCTGGGACACCCAAGTGGGATTTGTGGAAGGAACCCATTGTTCATCTAAGGTACTGCAGGTAGGGAGTGCAGCTTGGGTGGCTGTCCAGGCCCCTGTTCTACAGGCTGTGTCATCTCAGCTCTATTCCTGAAGTTATGCTGGGAAAACTCACCGGCAGTGCCTCTGCTCATCTTTACCTTGGTGCAGGGCCCCCAGCTTCCAGTGAGCCTTGTGCTACCTCCTCTCCCCATAAAGGGCTACCGAGGAGTCATGATTTTCCCTCAGCCATTCAGCTGAGTGATGTCCAATTCCACCAATTCCTGGGCTCACACGGTTTTACTGGGAAAGACTGAATGAAGTATTCATTTCTAAAAATTCTAATAGTAAATCTATTTTACTGTGCAGGTGCCACAAAATCACTTGGAGCCTCTAGCTCCACCAGCATCTATGTCCACAGATATCTCCAGCAGCTCCTAGAATGTAGATTTCATTCCTTCTTTTAATAAAGTTTACAGGGTGTATTAGTTTGCAAGAGCTGCTGTAATGAAAATGCTAGGGGCTTAAACAACGGGAATTTTTTCCCCACAGTTTGTGGCTGTAAGTCCAAGCTGTCAGCAGACTGGTATCTCCTGAGGCTGCTCTCCGTAGCTTGCAGGTGGCTGTCTGAGTCTCACATGCTCATCCTTCTGTCTGTTCCCTGTGTTCTGATCTCTTCTTCTTATAGGACACCTGTCATATTAGGTTAGGACCCACCCAAATGAACCAATGTTAATTTAATTAGGTCTTTAAAAACCTTATCTCCAGACATGGTTACATTCTCAAACACTAGGGGTTGGGAGGGCTTTGCATGTGAATTTGAGGGGGACAAAGTTCAGCCCCGCAACACTGCCTTCGTGCCCTTCAGAATTCATGTCCATCTTACATGCAGAACACACTCACCTCATCCTAACAGCCCCAAAGTCCTAATGCATTCCCGCTCCATCTCTAAGTCCCAAATCCTATCTAAATCTCATCTGAATCAGGTATGGGTGAAGATTGAGGTATGATTCATCCTAAGGCAAAATTCCTCTCCAGCTGTGACCCAGTGACCTGCTTCTAAAATACAATGGTGGCACAGGCATAGGACAGACATAGGACAGGCATCCCCTTTCCTTCCAAAAGAAAGAAAACTCAGAAAGAAAGAGGTCACAGTGTCCAGCAAGCCCGAAATCTAGCAGGGCAAGCTCCAGGGATTGAAGACTTAAGTCCTCTCTGCTGATGCGCCATCACCCACCCCCAGGTAGGCAGCCCTGCCTTGGCCTAACCCCCTGGAGCCAAGGAGGAAACAGCCTCACTCCAGGCTGTGCCTGCTGGGCCCATGGTGGCAGTGGCAGACCTGCTGGCCTCGGTACCATCTCAGGATCATTCACCCCTTTCCTTGGAGGATATCACAAGTCATGCCAGACAGTTCTGCTGGCCCGTGGAATGCCAGAGTACGACAGCCTTGCTTCACCTGTCCTGTCTCTGGGCCCTTTGGTGCAAGCCGGCAGCGCTTCTGCTGAGATGGCTGGCTGACTGGATCCATCTGTCACATCTGTAATCTCTTTAGCAAATGCTGTCCCAGCACCCTTGTGTTGCCTCCAGAGCACACTTTCCCATTTTTTTGCCATATGGATAGACTGAGATTAGAAGATTTGAGATTTCTAAATCTTCAGCTAGAAGATTTGGTTCCTTGTTACTAAATAATTCCTCCTCCTTCTGTTTCTCTCTCTCCTCTCACAGTATACTACGAGCAACAAGAGGGACTAGGCTGTGACTTCCACACTGTGCATGGAAATCTCCTTGGCTAAAACATCCACATTCATTTCTTAAACATTCCACTTTCCACAAAACACTAGAACGCTATTTGGTCAGGTCTTTGCCACTTTTTAACAAGGATCACCTTTCCTCCAGCTCCCAGGAACATGCTCCTCACTTCTTTCTGAGACCTCACCATAAGCACCTTGGACATTCATATTGCCAACAACATTCTGTTCATGATGACATGTGAATGCATCTAAAATGGTAGAGGCATTTTCTACAGCTGTCCTCTTTTCTGAGTCTTCACCAGAATCACCTTTAATGCCCACATTTCTACCAACAATCCCTTCAAGGCAGTCTTGGGTTTTTCTAATATGCACCTCAAAACTCCTCCTGCCTCTATTCCTTACCAACTTTCAAAGCCACTTCCACATTTTTAGGTATTTGCTACAGCAGCACCTCACTTCCCAGTACCAAAATCTGTATTAGTTGGCTAGGGCTACAGACTAGCACAGGTAACAAAGTCCCACAGACTGGGTGGCTTCAACAACAGAAATTTATTTTCTCACAATTCTAGAGGCTACTAGTCCAAGATCAAGGTGTTAGTGGGGTTGGTTTCTTCCGAGACCTCTCTCCTTGGCTTGCAGACGCTACCTTCTCTGTGTCCTCACATGGCCATCCCTCTGTGTTGTCTGTGTCCTAATCTCTTCTTATGAGGACATCAGACATACTGGATTAGGGCCCACCCTAATGACCCCATTTTAATTTAATTTCCTCTTTAAAAAATATATCTCCAAATATGGTCACATTCTGAGGGTCTGGGGGTTAGGACTTCACACATCTATTTTAGAGGAGACAATTCAGCCCATGTCATGAATAGCATCTGTTACAGGACTCAGCGGGACTCTGGACTTCAAGCTGGGATATGCATTCAATTTATAGTACAGAAAGTGTCTCTAAGCATGCTTGAGAACACAGCATTAGGAAAGAGATTTCTAGATCTGTAACTTTCATTTCACTCTCCTAAAACTGACTTGCTGGAGAACAAATCTGTGTGTGCAGGTTCTCCTTCTGGCTTCTTCTTTCCCAGTTGCTCTTCTCCTACCCTGGAAGGGAAAGGCAGGCTGCTCACCTGCCCTTACTAAGGTTCACTGCCTCAGGGGGAACTCCCTCTGAGGAACCCAGGAAAGGGACTATATCCCAACATGTGGTGCTGGAAAAGTGAATGACTCTAGTGACAGGCTACTTAGATGGTTTCCAGTTTTTGCTTTCAACAAACTGAAGCAGGGGTTGGTAGGCTCATTTAAATAGCCTTTACTAATAGATGGCTGTGTAATTTTAGCATATAATTCAAAAACTGTTTTAAGACTTGAGTGACACTACTATAATAAAACTCCTCAAAATTTCACCTACTCATCTGAACATGCGCTCTGAACTCACACCAAAGAGGCAAAAGAAGAGAAAGGGGAATAAAACTGATGCTCAGCCTGGTTTCAATAATCATCATACACAAAAATATAAACTAATGAAAGAACAAACTACTGATCTCATTAAGAAATCTATTTCCCATAAGGTTTTACTTTTTGTATATTTAATAATTTATACTGACTTTTTTTTAAATATAAAATGGAGTCTTGCTCTGTTGCTAAGGCTGGAGTGCGGTGGCACGATCTCGGCTCATTGCAACCTCCGCCTCCTGGGCTCAAGCGATTCTCCTGCCTCAGCCTCCTGAGTAGCTGGGACTACAGGTGAGCGCCACCAGTACCAGCTAATTTTTGTATTTTTAGTAGAGATGGCATTTCACCATGTTGGCCAGGCTGGCTTGAACTCCTGACCTCAAGTGATCCACCCACCTCGGCCTCCCAAAGTGTTGGGATTACAGGTGTGAGCCACTGCACCCAGCTTTAGTATGTCTATATTTTGATCAACTGTGTACTAATGACAACTCAGACCTGAAAGTGTTTTTAATAAATTAGAACATTATCATCCAGAAAACACTACTGCAATTTTGACTTAAATGTACATTTTTGATATGGAGAATTTTGAAGAAGAGGCTAATGTGTGAGGAAACTAGAAAGAAAATAATGAGTTCAAGGAGAAAAAGCAGCAATGTAAAATTTTCACCTCTAAGAAAATGGGTAACTGTGAGTTTCATATTACTCTGGTATATTCAGTCTCTAATGAATACTTTTAACTTTAAAACCCTACTATATAAAATATATTGCAAATAACATCCTTTACAACAACTAAAACTTGGGATAAAAATTTTCAAATTAAGGCCGAGGTGGGCAGATCACCTAAGGTCAGGAGTTTGAGACCAGCCTGGCCAACATGGTGAAACCCCATCTGTACTAAAAATACCAAAAATTAGTCAGGACTAATGGCGGGCGCCTGTAATCCCAGCTACTCAGGAGGCTGAGGCAGGAGAATTGCTTGAACCCGGGAAGCGAAGTTGCAGTGAGCCAAGATCACGCCATTGGACTCCAGCCTGGGCAACAACAATGAAACTCTGTCTTAAAAAAAAAAAAAAAATGTAGTGAGGATATAAAATTTTCCAAACTACTTCTAGGGATAAACAGGCCAAAATGTATAAAGACCTCCACTATTGTGGTCACTGGCTGGCACCTCCAGAAAGGAATGGAGACACAACCGTGCCAAGTACCTCTGCGTAATCAGGAACTGTAAATTCCTGATTTATGTGTGGTTCAGAGCATCCTTTCAGCTATTACCCCTATCAGAAGGAAGCTCCATGCTCCCTCCAATCTTCTGTCAGGGGGAAAACGTGTCTATTCCTCCCCAAATATCCATATACGCAATTGTTTGATCAGCTTTTCTACAGAGAACATATAGAGTCTTATAGTGTGGTAATCATATAACCAAAGAGTAAACAGTATATTATAGATGGATCACAGTGGCTCTCAAAACAAACAGTAGAATAAAATATGCAAGAATCTGAACACGCAAGGACTCAGTCTGGCCAGGTTACAACTTTGCCTACTCAGGGCCTGCAGTCCTCAGAGCTCTGCAAGGAAAGCAGAGGAGCACAAGGCACCTGAGCTGCATCTCCCCATGATCTGCTCTCCAGCCTGACAGAGGGCAGTGGAAAAAGGTGGCACTCCAGTTTCTTCAGGAGAACTATTTATGGTCAGACCTTTTAGAAACATCAGGTCTTCCTGAATGCCTCCTTCCTTTGCCCAGCTACAGGCATGTGGGGCACTGATCAAATGCTGCATGAGTCACTAAGGTTCAGCCAGTGGCTCAGATGGCAATGGGGTAGCCTGGGCACCAACAGCTTTCAAAAAAGACAGAAAACAGGCTAAAAAATGATCAATTTTCTTTGGACAAAATATGGAATAGAGTTTTAACATCAATCCTACTATTCTACTAACCATAGTGCTGGTTCTTTCAAAATCTTAATGAGTAAAGCAGCAGCTTCATTCAATACAGTAACTATTAGTATTTTGCACTTGAAAAAAAATCCAACCTTATTATAATGTATAATTTTTTAAGATATTGACTGCCCATCAAAAGAACAGACATTAAGGCTATCATTATCAAAACAATTCTTGATATTAAGTTAATTTCAGCTGAATGAACACTGGCCAACTGTTTTAACTTCTCTGTGTAGAAAAAGAGTTGACTTACAAAAAACAGTTGTTTTTTAAATTAAGTATTAAATGAAACAACTGTAGCTCCAATTGCTTAGAAGAAACATAGATTGTGACTGACTTACTAGTCAAGTCACCTGGGCATCTTACTTAATTCTCAGGGCCTCGTTTCCATCTGTAAAATGGGAATAATAGTACCACCTCATGGATAAATGTGAGATGTGAATTAACGCAGAAAAATCATTTCTTTTGAGCTAGGAAGTACTCAATATAGGATAGCTGCTGCTGCTGTTGTTGTTATTGTGATTATAAATATTCCTGGTAATTGGGTTTTACTGACTTGAATTTAAACCTTCAATGAATACAACCTAAGTACCTAGAATTCCAAATGACCTGTTACTTTACCCTCCTATCTTTTTATTTAAAGAGAGAAGGAAAAATTAAAAATGAATGTTTAAAACATCTTCGTAACTGAGGACCAGTACACATCATTTTCATTTGACTACTGTATAATGAATGGTCACTGGGATTAAGAAAGATGAGCCTTTCTTAATCAGCTGGGGATAAACCTCCCCACTTGGTTATTTTGTTGGAGCATTATTGAACCTCTCTAGGCCTCAGTATCCAGATCTGTAACATGGACATCAGTACACATGTCACAGGGTTGCTGAGAGGATTCAACTGACATATGCATGAACTGGGCAGTGTGTACCTCCTGACAAATATTTTATAAACATTTCCTCAAAATTTGAAATCAACTAAGAGGATTTTCCATTGATCTTAAGTTTCCATGAAAATTCAGTTTGCTGGCATTTTGGTGAATTAAACCTGGTGGGTTAAGGATAAGAGTACAAAAGGCATCTCCTCCACACCTCTAATGTTATTCACTGGTCATTTTTCTCTGTTCTCTTTTGTTTTCATGCTTCTGTGGTATCTGCAATTTGCATTTGTCTCTCACTTCCTTTTGGAAATATAGTTAGGATACAAATCAAAATATTTAAGACCTAGTCTAATTTCATTAGGTATTCTGGCTTTAAGTGGACACACCTAGTCATGGTCGGGGGGCCCTCTGTGCTCTCACAGAACCTGAGCACCACCTAAACCAAGTCACTGGTCATGTATCATCTAACAGGAGGGGACAGCCAGGAAGTCATCATGTGACGTGCTGTTCAGTGTCAAATGATACCAAGCAGCTGAGCAAAGATAATCCCCAATAAAGAAAACAGGCCAGAATTTCTTATACCTCGCACCCAAATGTCCACCTCCTTTATGATATGAATGACAACTATTTTAGTAGCTGTTTTCACCATGAAATATAGTCAAGAATTTTATTTTTCTTACTATATAGTTCTGATTAAAAAAACTTCTTTATGTGTTTCTTACTTTATGTAATAAAGAACTAAAGACACAGGATGAAATTTTATAGGTCTGCAGCAGGAATAGGCTCTGCAACAAATGCCCTAAGAACATAAACAAGCAGTGCTTCAAAGGGTGCCACAACAATGGGTGCCTGGGGAGTCAGTAACCAGAGGCAAGGAGGGCCCTAGGCTGCTGCGGAATCCAGAACCCACATGCCCACGAGTCTGCAGCCCAGGGACACCCCTGCAGTGGTAGTTGTCACAGGCACTGGGAAGGTCCTGCATCTGAGGATTACTGGGGGCAGGGATGTGGGTGTAGACTGAGACAGAGCTGGTAACCTCCTCCAGCTTAAAGCCCCCTTGAGGAGGTTTGCCAAACAAAAAGTATGAGAAAAGTTTTAGCAACAATAATGTCAGAAGTGACTACAAATCATAAGGAACTGTAAGTCAAGTAGTGCTATCTGATTGTTTTCTACAATTCCTTCTTCCCCAAGGGCTCTGAACTCAGTTCCTGGATTCCCAGTCCCTAGAGACCCCCCAGACAACAGTCTGCAGGTGTCCTACTAATAATCCTCACCTAAATTGAAGACTGGCCCATCTGAGAAACCCTGACACTGCCCAGAGAGTGAGGGGAGTGGACAGCTCTCAGTCCCCACAACCCCCAAGGGCGATGCCCTCCCCGAGCCCTGTTCATGCTGCAAGTGGGAGCCCCAGGGACACGAGGCTGACCTGAAGCAACTGAACCTGCAAAACATGACAAAGCAGTGGATGTTTTCTCTGTGAAACTAAACAAAAATGTAAAATATTTTAGCTTTTGTGCTTTTTGGATTGCCTTATTGACCACAAAGGACTGTATGGCGGCATTACCTCTCTGTGATCAGTCTGCAGTGAGATACAAAGCCCAAATATAAACCATCACAGGCTGCTATCAGTGCTGGACCACACCTTTCTAATTAAAGGAGTGTTTGCCTACAATATAGTTTCTGTAAACCAGTTTCACAAAACCAGGAGGTGTTACCAGTACCTGTTCAAGATCCACATGATGAGAAATGCAGGTTTTCATATGTAATATTCCACAGCCATGCCCCTGTTGTAACAGCTCACAACAGACATTCAGTCAAATGCATGCATTCTGCGCTATACAGACCATTAAAAAAGGAGGCAGCTTTCTTTCCAAATGGTCTGGCCAAGACTCTGATGACCAACACCCTCTGCCCCCCAACTCACATGTCCTCCACCGTGATGTCTTTCAGGATCTGGCAGTAATCCACATTCCATACAGCCTGGTCATCCCACACCTTGGAGGCCAGCAGGATCGCCCCTAAAACAATCCGCTTCCAGTTGGCCGGACAGATATCTATCTCTGCGTATGTTAAAAGTCTTTCAAGGTACACCTGGGAAGACAAGACAATGCCAGAGCTAAGTGATTTGTTTTCTCCTAAACACCAGCACACCTCAAGAAATGCTAAAATATGTATTACATCCACCTTTAAATGGGAATTTATTACCCAATCACATTTATTTTTAAAAGGCCAAATGACTCAATGAGTCTGATGAAACGTGGGCTAAAAGTCCCACTCCATTAGTGGACAGTGTGGGTGCAGCTGGATCTTAAACAGACTCTGTGGAGGAAACAATTCCAGGAAGCACAGGCTAATTTCTCACTCTATCAACTGTGATATCCATACATGTTAATGACTGTTCCAACAGAAAGGACAGAGAATGTATAGAGAATACACTTTTTTTTTGTTTGTAGGGTTTTTTAAATTAAGCTTTTTGTTTTGAGATAACTATAGATATACATGCAGTTGTTGATAAGCCTATCTTTTAATTATTGTGGTAAAATATACACAACATGTAATTTACCATTTAACCATTTTCAGTTCAGCGGCATTAGGTACATTCACACTGTTGTGTTGTTTCTGCAGTGTGGTGGTTACCACATTCACCTGACACACTGCTGTGCAACCATCACCACCATCTATCTCCAGAACTTTATCATCTTCCCAAACTGAAACTCTATACCCGTTAAATAATAATTCCCCACTTCCTCCCTCTCCGCAGCTCCGGGCAACCACCATTCTCTATGAATCTGACTACTCTTGGCACATCATATTGGTAGAATAATAAAATATTCGTCCTTTTCTGTCTGGCTTATTATCACTTCGCATAATGACCTCAAGGTTCACCCATGTTGTGGCATGGGTCAGAACTTCCTTTTTAAGGCTGAATAATATTCAGCTGTATGCATATACACCATCATGTTTATCCATTCTTCTGTCAATGAACATTTGAGCTGTTCCCCCTGTGTGGCTATTGTGAACAATGCAGCTATGAACACTGGTGTACAAGTATCTGTTTGAATCCGTGCTTTTAATTCTTTTGGGTACATACCCAGAGGTGGAATTGCTGGATCATAGGGTAATCCTATGTTCAATTTTTGAGGAGCTGCCATATCATTTTCCACCGTATGCACCATTTCACATTTCAGCAATGCACAAGGATTCCAATTTCTCCACATCCTCCCTAACATTTCTTATTTTCTGTTTTGTTTTGGTAATAGTCATCCTAATGTGTGTGAAGTCGTATATCACTGCGATTAGGATTTTATATACCTATTTTTAAATCATTAAAATGATTGGAAAATAAAACCAAGTAATACAGGATTTCTAAACTGACAGAGTTTAGGTTGAAGACAGACATCAGAAATATCTACAAAGCCCATTAAGTTGGGCCACGAGGTAAGAATGTCTTTTTTAGTTTCCCATAGTAGAACTCTGTTTATTATTGATAGTACGTCTTACACTTCTCTGAACTATGAAATTACTACTACAGTTTTTATCAAATGCATTTGCAAAGTGAAAATGTAACAGAAAAAAAAACAAAATTAAACAGACACCATCCATGCTATTTTTAAGAACTTGCAGATAAAACCCATTAATGTTATAATTATTCACAGTATATAATGTCCATAAAGTCTTAAATATTACAAAACGCAAAAAGGTACATGTGGAAAGGAAAATGTTTACACATAAATAAAATACAGATTATTTTCAGTTAAATGATACCAACACTCCCAAATGGAATGGGAAAGGTTTTTTGTTTTGTTTTGTTTTTTAAGAAAAGGAAGAATTCACACTTGTTACTTCATTAGGATGTCTTTGAGGAGGCGGCTGAACTTTAGGAAGTTCTTGAGAAAAAGGGTAATTAACACTGATTGGGAGAGGTCTCTTACGGGATGCGAATGCACAAGGCCTGTAAAGGGGACCCAACGATCACAGAAGGTGGGCTGCTCTGGAAGACCCCCAGCTCCCGGCTTGCACAGCTAGGTAGGTGTGTTCTCTGGGACAGGGTGCACTGGGGAGGAAGAGGTTGGTAAAAGATCACAGGCCTGACTCTGGACGCTTTCTGTCTTGAAATGTCCCAGCGGATGCCACATAAGTAGTGAACATGCAGGTCTGGAGCTCAAACTGGGGTGCCAGTTTGAGAGTCTGTGACAGGCAGACAGAGCAAAGCCAGGGGCAAGGGACCTGGGGGAGGCTTAAGAACTAAGAAAAGGAGGGGCTGGTCCTGAGACTGGAGGGCCCCTTCCATTTTAAGGCTGGAGACAGGATGAAGGGGTAACAAAGAAGAGGGGGGAGTAAAACCTGGTATGTGGTGCTCTTGTTTGAGTCTTGTAATAGTTTGGAAAAGAACTTCTAAGGCAAAGCTGTGTTTGCAAGTGCCTAAACTAGGCTTACAACATATGGGGCATTTGAGAAGGAAACTGAAGTGTCCTCTTGCACAAGAAAACATTAAATTGGACGAGCAAGGACTCTAGAGGCAGTGACTGTGCAGGTGGAGGGGCAGGAGAAGCAGCAGGCATGGGGGATTCAGCAGGGAGGCCAGGGAGAGAAGGGCAAGGGAGTAAGGGTAGAGGGACAAAAGGAGTGGGGAGGGAAGACAGGGCAGAAGAGGGGGACGGAGAACAATCCTTAATGGAAGCAAAACTCCGGGCAGATTAAGGATAAAAAGACCATCAGCAAGCAGCACAGGGTCATGAGCAGTGTAAGGTCATGAGCCATAAGCAACACAGTGTCATGAGCAGTGTAGGGTCATGGGCCATGAGCAGTGCAGGGTCACAAGCACTGTAGGGTCACGGACTATGAGCAGCACAGGGTCATGAACAGTGTAGGGTCATGGGCCATGAGCAGTGCAGGGTCACGAGCACTGTAGGGTCATGTGTCATGAGCAGCGCAGGGTCACGAGCACTGTAGGGTCATGTGTCATGAGCAGCGCAGGGTCACAAGCAGTGTAGGGTCATGGGCCATGAGCAGCGCAGGGTCACGAGCACTGTAGGGTCATGTGTCATGAGCAGCGCAGGGTCACGAGCACTGTAGGGTCATGTGTCATGAGCAGCGCAGGGTCACAAGCAGTGTAGGGTCATGGGCCATGAGCAGCGCAGGGTCACGAGCACTGTAGGGTCATGTGTCATGAGCAGCGCAGGGTCACGAGCACTGTAGGGTCATGTGTCATGAGCAGCGCAGGGTCACGAGCACTGTAGGGTCATGTGTCATGAGCAGCGCAGGGTCACGAGCAGTGTAGGGTCATGGGCCATGAGCAGCGCAGGGTCACGAGCACTGTAGGGTCATGTGTCATGAGCAGCGCAGGGTCACGAGCACTGTAGGGTCATGGGCCATGAGCAGCGCAGGGTCACAAGCAGTGTAGGGTCACGGACCATGAGCAGCGCAGGGTCACGAACAGTGTAGGGTCATGGGCCATGAGCAGCGCAGGGTCACGAGCACTGTAGGGTCATGTGTCATGAGCAGCGCAGGGTCATGAGCACTGTAGGGTCATGTGTCATGAGCAGCGCAGGGTCACGAGCACTGTAGGGTCATGGGCCATGAGCAGCGCAGGGTCACGAGCACTGTAGGGTCATGGGCCATGAGCAGCACAGGGTCACGAGCACTGTAGGGTCATGTGTCATGAGCAGCGCAGGGTCACGAGCACTGTAGGGTCATGGGCCATGAGGAGCACAGGGTCACGAGCACTGTAGGGTCATAAGCCATGAGCAGCACAGGGTCACATACAGCATAGGGTCACGTGGCTTGACCAGCTACTCTGCAGAACCCCCCACCCCTCATCCCTAAACCACAGTCAGAGTGAGAGGGTCTAATGCTCCCCAAAGCAACCAGAAGCTTCCTTGTGGCTTATTTTGCCAGGTGCAGTTGTGAAGCCCCTGAGAAACTGGTGAGGTGGGGAGGGGCAGGTCAGACTCTTCTCTGCCTCTTCGAGAGAAGGGGTTTGGCATGATGAGGGGCGGGGGGGGGTGGGGTGGGTGGTGAGGGGCACGGAGTTGGCACCCAACTGTTTGCTGAATGAAAACATCCATGACTAATGGTTTCTTGCTTAAAAAGATTATTGTTCTGTGTTCAGATTACTTTTCTGTGTTCAGTGCTTTACTAATGAAACAGCAGTTTTTTAAATCTTAAAAACCTGGATTTTTATGGCTTATCAGATGTTCCTTAGAATGGATCAGGGCACTGTACTGAAGACAAAGTAAAAATCCTAAAAAGAAAGTACGGTTAACCCCTGAACAACACAGGTTCGAGCTGTGTGGATCCACTAATACGCAGATTTTTTCGGTAACAGTTACACCGAATGCACCTGCCTCTCCTGCCTCCCTTCCACCTTCTCCACCTCTTTCGCTTCCACAGCCCCAGAGGCAGCAAGACCAACCCCTCCTCCCCTCCTCAGCCTACTCAACGCGAAAACAACCAGGATGACAACCTTTATGATGATCCACTTCCACTTAATGAATGGGAAATATATTTTCTTGGCTGGGTGCGGTGGCTCAAGCCTGTAATCCCAGCACGTCGGGAGGCCAAGGTGGGCAGATCACAAGGTCAGGAGATCGAGACCATCCTGGCCAACATGGTGAAACCCCGTCTCTACTAAAAATACAAAAATTAGCTGGGCATGGTGTACGCGCCTGTGATCCCAGCTATTTGGGAGGCTGAGGCAGGAGAACTGCTTGAACCCGGGAGGCGGAGGCTGCAGTGAGCCAAGATCGTGAAACTGCACTCCAGCCTGGGTGACACAGCGAGATTCCGTCTCATAAAATATATATATATATATATACATAAATATATATATTTATATTTATGTATATATATATTTGTCCTTATTTTCTTAACATTTTCTTTTCTCTGGCTTACTTCATTGTAAGAATACAGTATAGCATACATATAACACGAAAAATAAATAATAATCAAATGTTTATGTTACAGGTAAGGCTTTCAGTCAACAGTAGGCTATTAAGTTTTGGGGGGTCAAAAGTTACATGTGGATTTTCAACTGTGCAGGGTTCCATGCCTCTAACCCTGGAGTTGTTCATGGGTCAAGTGGAGTAACATGTTTCAAATCCCAAAGGCAAATAGCCAATAAGCTGTAGTAAGAGGTTCTAAGTATACTGATAATAAAATGGAAAACCATTACAGGGAAAGACCACCTTGACCTTCCCAAATTAGTTGGGTGACCCTCTGCTTGCTCCCAATGCTGCATTTATCTCAGTAGTGTAAGGGCCTCTTCCCTGGATAGGAAGCCTGGATAAACCCTCATCTCATCCCCAGTATGTGCAGCATCTAGCCCAGGGGCCGGCAGAGCGTGCTCCCTGAATGCATCATGGGCATATGGGGTCCTGCAGGGACGACAAGGGACCGCATCCACACAGGGCTCCGGCAGGCTCTTGAAAGAGCTATGAAAGGGCAGATTTCCAGCCCAAAGGAAGTCAGCGGGACTACATACGAGTGATTCGCTAGTAAAACGACCACAAATAATGGCATTCAGGAAAGAGAACTGCATCGACAAGGTGTAGTGAATTAAGGGAAACTGAGTCCTTGGCTTGTGAGACAGGTGCAGTGGTGAACAACAAAGTTCAGAGGAGGCAGCTATGGGCACACGGGAAGCCAAAGAGACCTTCAAATAAGGCCCAGGAAGTCATGAAGCACGGCATTGTAACTGCACTGGAAAGGCCTTTGTGGGGGTTTCCAAGGGTCCTTCACTCAACAATAGCATTTGAGTGTGACAACTGTTGGTGGAAAAAAGAAAGTCACTCAAGAGAGCTGAATAACCTTATCAATTTTTGGAGATTTTCATTTTTAACGGCATTTATTATATTAAGTTTGAACAGAAAGAATAAGCTAATGTTTTAGATCATAATTGTCCTCTGTGTGAACATCGTAACTCTTCAGATAAAGATCTAGGTGAGGCTCAGTGGAATTCTAGCTGGCACTGATCTTAGGGCCCCAGGCTGCGTATTTTACAAAGGCTGATGACAAATCCTCTTACTCTCCAACAAAGAGACAACCAGAAAATGTGCAATACCACTGTGCTGAGAGCAGAAAACAGGGACTGGGCCTAAGTAAACCTCCAGATCATTAAAGCAGCAGAAAAAGAAGACTGTGACTCAATCTTCACCCAGATCCCAGAGATTCCACTCCTTTACAGACATGAGGCGCTGCAACCTCCCAAGCTCTCCGCAGAGGTCAGTGCTCACTGGCTCAATACAAAAAGCTGACTATGTTTTCTTCTGACTTTTAACTTACCTTAGTTGATGAATATTAATAACTATATTAGTAATATTTAAGAGAATACTTAATGTTTGGGAAAAAAACAAACAGTCATGAACCAGGTGTGATATTCCATTACGGCTAACTGAAGCAATCAGACAACACAATACATCCTGTAACAGAGGGAAAGCAGTTGCTATATTGGGAGATAAGGCATTCATGGTAAGCTAGACTTAAAAATATGTAATTTAGCAAAACTTGCCAATAAAACTATAGTCAAGGGTCAGCTGCAACTTCTTTAGTAAACTCCCACTTGGATATTTTAACTCTCTGCCAAGTAAAATAATACACGGTTGATTTTTCTAAACAATATCCCACGACCATTGCTAACAGGTCACTCTTACTCAGTTAAGTTTTCAGATTTAATTCATGAGAATGACTATCCTAAGAAGTCTCTCTGGAAACCACAGGTTAATGAGCAACTATGGAGCTACAAAGAGGCATCAGCTGACTGCACATCACAAAGCTGTTCAGAGGCATTTGGAGGGGATAAAACTTGTGGAATTGAGGATATATGCAAATGAGATCCCAATGATGCTGAAATTATTCCAATCCAATTTTAAAGAGTAATACTAGGCCGGTTAATTGTCTGAATCTGTACCAGATATAATTTCTTTCTGGACTTTAAATCTGCCGTCTTTCAGCTGTTTGGTTTGGATGATTAGAGCATGTTCCAATACGGCTGAGGTTGAAATCATACGGGTGAAGACTGTGAAGTGAGTTGGTAGCTTCACTCCATTCTCAATTACACCCTAATTCCAGAGTGCTGTCTCATAAACATACTATTTTGAGGGAATGGGGGTAGCTACCTAAACTCCCTGTATTCAGCAATGCTCCATAAATTATCACTTTTATGGCCAACAAAAATAATTTAAAAAAGTAATTATTATTTTCTGTTTATAAAATTTCTGCCAGTTTCACATTTGGATTCTTTTTTGTACCTGATGCTGGAAGATTTTCCAATAGCCTGGAATACACATTTATATTATTAATATAGGTTAATAAATTAATATAAAGTATAATCTTTACCCTAAACTACAGCAATAACCTCCTTGCTGGTATCCCTGGAGAGATCTTAATACAAATCTTACACGATTCTGTTGGTATCCTGTGGATATGGGTTACAGTGTGTCCCCTCTTCCAAAATGCATATGTTGAAGTCCTAACCCCAAGTGCCTCAGAATAAGGCCTTATTTGGAGACAAGGCCTTTACAGATGTAGTGGAGTTAAAACGAGGTCATTAGGGCAGGACCTAACACAATATGATTGGGGCCCTTACATAAAGGGGAAACTTGGAGACAGACATGCACACAGGAGAACGCTGCGTGAGCATGAGGCTGGGCACCCACACATTGTAATACGTCAGAGAGAGGCCTGGAGCAGAACCTTCCCTCACAGCCCTTGGAACTAACCCGGCCAGTGCCTTGATTTCGGACTTCTGGCCTCCAGGACTGGGAGACAATGAAGTTCTGGTGTTGAAGCCACCCAGTGTGCAGTACATTGTTCTGGCAGCCCCAGGGAATTAACAGAATATCTGTCTAAAGACCTTGACGGCTCCCTCCCACCTGAAGCAAAGCTGGCAATCCACAGTCCGGGAGTAGCTCACAGACAGGTTTCGTTTGGCTTGGAGATTTCTTTTAAAAATCTCAGCTAACAACAGGGAACGTTCAAAAATAAGTCTGGGTTTCTTTGAACACTGGAAGGCCCCAGCCCCTCATTTCTACATGGCAAGGATTAGTCATGTTGTGATTTTCAAATGTTACTGAGTGTACATGCGTGCACACACATGAACACATGCTTGCTTAGCATTTGCCATCAGTAACAACCCCCTCTGCCCTCTAAAAGGAGGCCTTTGCAGCCCAGGAAATGATCCTGATCATCTACCTAAAAATGTATATAAGCAGAAGAGAAAGAACAAAACAGCACAGTGTGCAGCAAAGAGTGAACACAGCAAGCCTGAGACTGCCATGCTCAGAACAGGCTGCTTCTGGGGCTGACCTCAGTTGGCATTTGAAGAGTGTCCATTTCAGGAGGGCTCCTAGCATTCCCAGGACAGGTAAGAGCAGCTCACTATGCACACAAGGTGTACAAACAAGGTGGTTTATGCTGAGCCTGCTTTCCTTCTGGGACTCTGGAATTTTGATATGTGCTAAACAGAGGATGTCTGCGTAACCAACACTCAACACAAACCTTGGGTGCTGTCTCTAATGGGCTTTGCTGGTGGACAACATCTTGGAAGTATAGTCATACGTCATTTAACAATGGGTACATTCTGAAAAATGCTTCATTAGGCAATTCAATCCTTGTGGGAATACCATAGAGTGCACTTACACAAAAGCAGGTGCTACGGCCTACTATTAACCTAGGCTATGTGGTATGACCTATTGCTCCAAGACTGCAAACCTGTATAGCACATGACTGTACTGAATATTGTTGGTAACTGGAACACAATGATGAGTATTTGTGTATCTAAATATATCTAAACAAAGAAAAAGCACCATAAAAATATGGTATTGAAGATAAAAATGGTCCACCTGTACAGGGCACTTACAGTAAATGGAGCCTGCAGGACTGGAAGTTGTTCTGGATAAGTGAGTGAGTGGTGAGTGAGTGTGAATCCTAGGGCATTACTGTACACTACTGTGGACTTGATAAATGCTGTACATTTAGGCTCTATTAAATTTATGAAAAAGATTTTCTGTAATAATAAATTAAACTTAGCTTACTATAACTTTATAAACTTTAAAAATTTTTTAAACTTTGGACTCTTGTAATAACACTTAGGTAAAAACATACATCATACAGCTGTACAAAAATATTTTCTCTCTTTATATCCTTATTCTACAAGCTATTTTATATTTAAGTTAGTTTTTAATTTCTAAACTTTTTTGTTAAAAACTAAGACATCAACACACATTAGCCTAGACCTATACAGAGTGAGGATGATCAATATCGCTGTTTTCCGCCTCCATATCTTGCCCCACTGCCAGGTCTCCAGAGGCAATAATACACACAAAGCAGTGGTCTCCTGCCTGCTTCCAGAACACCTCCTGAAGGACCTGCCTAAGGCTGTTTCACAGTTAACTTTTTTTTTTTTAAAATAAGTAGAAGGAGTACATTCTAAAGTTAAGAATAAAAAGTATAGTATAGTAAACACATTAAACAGTAACAGAGTCGTTTATTATCAAGTATTATATGTACCGTGCACATGCTAGACTTTTACATGTCTGACAGCACAGGTTTGCTTATATTAGCATCACCACAAACACCTGAAACCTAGGATACGCTAGGATGTTATGACGTCACTAGGCGACAGGAATTTCTGAGCTCCACTATAATCTTCTGGACAAATGTCATATATGTGGTCCATCGTTGACTGAAACACCATTATGTGGCACATGACCATATTGTTACAGCTCATTGCTGGGGGATCAACTGTGTCCTGTATGACTCCATTGGGAGAGGACTCTTTTTCCTTCAGACTTCGACCCATGGGCCCTCCCCTTTTTGCTGATTTTGCATTGTACCCTGACATTGTAATATGTCACAGCTGTAGAACTATATGCTGGGTCCTGTGAGTCCTTTTAGTGAATAATCAAACCTGAGGTGGTCTTGGGGACTCCCAACACACACAGTATTTTACAAATGGCAGGCTGCACCCGATTAGTGGGGTTTTAAACAAATATACAAGATTATGAACAGCATTCTTTACTGAAATTTTTTAAAAAATGAAATAGATGTTAAAGAGTAGATCTAACAAGTTGAGGTATCTGTTTATGAAATCCTGGGCAGTGATGTGCGCTAAGATGAATATAATTTGTATTGCACTTGCCTTTAACTTTACTGAATTTGCATAGGCATGGCAACTCTTAGACTCCCTGTCACTAAGTTTAGATAACTAGTGACTTGACCACCACTTATTATTTGCCAGCAATTGAAGGAACAACTGAATATGTCTGGACTCATCACTGAATAGATGCCACCTGAATAACAGCTTTTGAATTCCTCAGAATCTATTAAAAGTGACCCATAAAGGAAGTCTTTCAGGGTCAGACTCAATTGATTCCACAGTCACTTCACCATCAGAGCACAAGACTCTGAGAAGGGATTTGGAGGCTGCAGTTCAGGGGTTGAATGGCAGGCATCGGACAGCCGTGCTGCAATGGCTGGGCCCTGCCAAGGCCTCCCCAGGCTGAGACCCAACCCCACTTGGCATGACCAGTGGTCCTGACAGGCTGATGTAACAAGCACTCTTCTCAGAATGCATCACCTAGGGAGGTGGAACACAACTGCCTGCATACGTGTGGTTTGCACAGAGTGACCTCATTCGAAGGATACACAGTACAGAAAGTGGAGAAAAAGAGTGACTACAAAGCAGAGAAACCTGACAAACACAACCTCAGCCAGGGATCAAGGTTATCATCAATAGTCATGAGTCATGTTGATCAAATGTACCTTTGATGTGATGTGCTAAAAATGGTGCTTTACCTTTGTTATTTTCCTCCAAAAAAACATACAATCCCAGTCTAATCATGACAAAAACGTCAGACAAATCCCAAGTTAGGGACATTCTACAAAAAAACTAGCCAGCACTCCTCAAAACTGTCAAGATCATCAAAAACAAGGAAAGCCTGAGAAACTATCACAGCCAAGAGGAGACTAGGGAGACACGGCAACTAGATACAATATGGTGTCCTGGATGGGATCCTAAAGAAGAAAAGGGATGCTGGGTAATAACAACTAGATACAATATGGTGTCCTGGATGGGATCCTAAAGAAGAAAAGGGATGCTGGGTAATGACCACTAGATACAATATGGTGTCCTGGATGGGATCCTAAAGAAAAAAAGGGATGCTGGGTAACGACAACTAGACACAATATGGTGTCCTGGATGGGATCCTAAAGAAGAAAAGGGATGCTGGATAATGACAACTAGATACAACATGGTGTCCTGGATGGGATCCTAAAGAAGAAAAGGGATGCTGGGTAATGACAACTAGATACAAGATGGTGTCTTGGATGGGATCCTAAAGAAGAAAAGGGATGCTGGGTAAAAACTAAGTAAACTGGAGTAAAAATGAACTTCAGTTAATAATAATATATGGGCAGGTATGGTGGCTCACACCTGTAATCCTAGCACTCTGGGAGGCCGAGGAGGAAGAGTCACTTGACGACAGGAGTTCAAAGCCGGCCTGGGCAACACAGCAAGACCCAGTCTCTACAAAATATTTTTAAAAATTAAGCAAGTATGAAGGTGCACAGCTGTAGTTCCAGTTACTCAGGAGGCTGCAGGGACAGGATCACTTGAGCACAGGAGTTTGAGACTGCAGAGAGCCATGAATGGTGCCAATGCACTCTAGCCAGGGCAACAGAATGAGATCCGTCGCAAAAATAATAGAATAATAATAACCAGTATCAGTTCATTAAGTGTAACAAACAGCTCACACTAAGATACTAAATTATGTACATTATATAATTTTATAATATTATAGATGTTAAAAATAAACTGGATGTGGGATTTATAGGAACTCTGCTTTCTTCACAATTTTTATGTAAATCTAAAACTAATTTAAAACAAAAGTTTATTAAAAAATACATCTATGGAAATGAAAGTATAACCCAGCAAAATTTATGCAATGCAACTAAAGCTTAGAAATTCATAACTGTAGATGCCTGTATTAAAAAAAAATCTCAAATCAATAACCTAACTTTCCACATTAAGCAACTAGAAGAGCAAACTGAAACCAAAGTAAGTAGAAGGAAGGAAGTAATCGACATTAAAGTGGAAAGAAATGAAATAGAAATACTAAAACGAGAGAAAATCAATGAAACTGAAAGTCGATTCCTTGGAAAAAACAACAAAATTCAAAAACCTGAAGGTAGACCAACCAAGAAAAAGAGAGATGGCTCAAATAAGTAAAATCAGAAACAAAACAGAGGACATTATAGACTTTACAGAAATAAAAAGAATCATAAAGGAATACTGTGGAACAACTGCATGACAACAAATTGGGTAATGCTGATGAAATGCACAAATTCCTAGAAAAACACAAACTACTGCAACTGACTCAAGAAGAGATAACCTGAATAGACCTATAAGAAACAAGCGAAGAGACTGATTAGTAATGTAGAAACTTCCAACAGAGAAAAACCCTGACCAACATGGCTTCAGTGATAAATTCTACCAAACATTTAAATGAGAATACCAACCTTCCACAAACTCTTCAAAAAAAAAAAAGTAGAAGGAATATTTCTCAATTTGTTCTATGAGGCTACTATTACCCTGATACCAAAACCAAAGCTATCACAAGACCAAATTCCTTACAAATATGGATGTAATTATCAACAAAAGACTAGCAAACTGAGTCCAGCGACATATAAAAAGAATTATACACTGTGACCAACTGGGAATTATCCCGGAATGCGGGGTTGATTTAACATATTAATAGAACAAAAGACAAAAACTACATGATCAATCACAATAGATGCAGAAAAGCATTTAACAGAATCTAATACCCTTTCAAAATAAAAACACTACACAAATTAAGAATACAAGGAAACTTCCTCAATTGATAAAGGACATCTACAAAAAACTCACAGCACACAGCACACAGAACATTTAATGGAGAAGAATGGAAAGCTTCACACCTAATATCAATAACAAGACAAGGATGTGCACTCGTGATACTTCTATTCAACACTTTACTAGAGGTACTAACTGTGGCAACTAGGCAAGAAAACCAAATAAAAGGCATCCATAATGAAAAGGAAGAAGTAAAACTATCTCTATTTGCAGGTGATCTTCCCATGTAACATTCTAAAGAATCTACTGAAAAAATTATTAGAATAAATGAATTCAGCAATGTGGCAGGGTACAAGATCAATCTATAAAAATAAATTGTATTTCTATAGTCTAGCAATAAACCACCAAAAATGAAATTAAGAAAACAATTCAATTTATAACAGCATGCAAAAGAGTTAAATACTTAGGAATAAATTTCCTTTTCTTTTTTATTTGAGACAAAGTCTCACTCTGTCACCAGGCTGGAGTGCAGTGGCGCAATCTTGGCTCACTGCAACCTCTGCCTCCCGGGTTCAAGCGATTCTCCTGCCTCAGCCTCCCGAGTAGCTGGGACTACAGATGCATGTCACCACACCCAGCTAATTTTTGTGTTTTTAGTAGAGATGGGGTTTCACCATATTGGCCAGGATGGTCTCGATCTCTTGACCTCGTGACCCACCCTCCTCAGCCTCCCAAACTGCTGGGATTACAGGCGTGAGCCACTGCACCCTGCCCCTAGGAATAAATTTAACAAAAGAAGTGTCAGATTTGTATACTGAAAACTATAGAAAAACGTTGACAAAATGAAAGAAAATCTAAATAAATAGAAAGATATTCCATGTTAGAAGAGATTTGAATGCTTAATATTGCTAAGACTGCAATACTTCCCAAACTGATCTACATAGTCAATGCAATTCCTACTAAAATCCCAAAATTTTTGAGGTGGTGGGTGCTGACAGAAATTGACAAGCTAATTCTAATGTTCATAGGGAAATGCAAGGATCATGGATGGCATGGCCAAAACAACACTGACAGAGAAAAAGCTGGAGACTCATACTTTCCAATTTCAACTTCAAATCTATGGTAATCAAGATAGTGTAGTACTGATATAAGGAAATACATATAGATAAATGGAACAAAATTGAAAACCCAGATATAAACCTTCATGTTTATGGTCAAGTGATTTTTGACAAGGGTGACAAGACAGTTCAATGGGGAAAGGATAAAGGCACTGGGACAACTGGATATCCAAATGCACAAGAACGAATGTGGACCCCTAACTCACAAAAATTAGCTCAAAATGAATGATAGACCTAAATTTAAGAGCTACATTTATAAAACTCCTAAAGGAAGATATAGGGGTAAATCATCATGACCATGGGTTATGCAATGATTCTTAGATAAGCACAAGTGACAAAAGAAATACATTGGGCTTTGTGAAAATAAAAACCTAAGTTGCAAACTGATACCATTACAAAAAAGAAATGACAAAACAGACAAGAAAATGTGTGTGAATCATATACCTGACAAAGGACTTGTATCCAGAACATATAAAGAACTCCTATAATGCAACAACTAAAAGACAACCCGTTCTTAAAATGGGCAAAGAATGTAAATAGATACTTCTCCAAAGAAAACGTGGTCAATAAACACATGAAAAGATGTTCAACCGTCATTAATCCTCAGGGAAATGCAAATAAAAACAATGACCTAACCCTTCAAACCCACTAGAATGGCTAACATGAAAAAGACAGACACTAACAAGCATTGATAAGGATGCGATGTGGAGAAACTGAAAATCTCATTATGTTGCCAAAGGAAATCTGAAATTGTGCAGTCACTTTGAAAAACAGTCAATCTGCTGTTCCTCAAAACAGAGTTACCATATGACCCAGCAATTCCACTTCTAGATATATACCAAAAGAAATGAAGACATATGCCCACATATAAACTGTATCAGTCCATTTTCATGCTGCTGAAAAAGACATACCTGAGACTGGGCAATCTACAAAAGAAAGAAGGTTTAATTGAACCTACAGTTCCACATGGCTGGGGAAGCCTCACAATCATGGTGGAAGGCAAGGAGGAGCAGGTCACGTCTTACATGGATGGCAGCAGGCAGAGAGAGAATGAGAGCCAAGGGAAAGGAGTTTCCCCTTATAAAACCATCAGATCTCGTAAGACTTATTCACTACCATGAGAACAGTATGGGGGAAACCAGTGCCATGATTCAATTATCTCCCACCAGGTCCCTCCCACAACAAGGGGAATTATGGGAGATACAATTCAAAATGCGATCTTGGTGGGGACACAGCCAAACCGTATCATTCCACCCCGGGCCCTCCCAAATCTCATGTCCTCACATTTCAAAACCAATCATGCCTCCCTAATAGTCCCTCATTTCATCATTAACTCAAAAATCCACAGTCCAAAGTCTCATCTGAGACAAGGCAAGTCCCTTCCACCTATGAGCCTGAAAACTCAAAAGCAAGCTAGTTACTTCCTAGATACAATGGGGGTACAGGTAATGGGTAAATACAGCCATTCCAAAGGGGAAAAATTGGCCAAAACAAAGAAGTTACAGGGCCCAAGCAAGCCCGAAATCCAGCAGGGAAGTCAAATTTTAAAGCTCTAAAATGATCTCCTTTGACTCCAGGTCACGCTGATCCAAAAGGTGGGTTCTGATAGTCCTGGGCAGCTCCACCTCTGTGGTTTTGCAAGGAATAGTCCCCCTCCTGACTGCTTTCACAGGCTGGCATTGAGTGTCTGCAATTTTTCCAGGTGCATGGTGCAAGCTGCTGGTGGATCTACCATTCTGGGGTCTGGAGGATGGTGGCCCTCTTCTCACAGCTCCACTAGGCAGTGCCCCAGCAGGGACTCTGTGTGGGGGCTCTGACCCCACATTTCCCTTCCACACAGTCCTGGCAAAGGTTCTCCATTGAGGGCCCCGCCCCTGAAGCAAATTTTTGCCTGGACATCCAGGCATTTCCATACATCTTCTGAAATCTAGGCAAACCTCAATTCTTGACTTCTGGACACCTGCAGGCTCAATGCCACACAGAAGGTGCCAAGGCTTGGGGCTTCCACCCTCTGAAGCAACAGCCCGAGCTGTGCCTTGGCCCCTTTTAGTTATGACTGGAGTGGCTGGGATGCAGGGCACCAAGTCCCTAGACTGCACATAGCACAGGAACCGTGGGCCCAGGCTACAAAACGCTTTTCTCCTAGACCTCCAGGCCTGTGATGGGAGGGGTTGCCCTGAAGACCTCTGACATGCCCTGGAGACATTTTCCCCATTGTCTTGGGGATTAACATTCTCTCCTGCAAGTTTCTGCAGCCTGCATGAATTTCTCCTCAGAAAATGGTGTTTCTTTTCTATCAGACTGTCAGGCTGCAAATTTTGTGAACTTTTATGCTCTGCTTCCTTTATAAAACTGAACGCCTTTAACAGCACCCAAGTCACCTCTTGAATACTTTGCTGCTTGGAAATTTCTTCCACCAGATACCCTAAATCATCTCTCTCAAGTTCAAAGTTCCACAAATCTCTACTGCAGGGACAAAATGCCACCAGTTTCTTTGCTAAAACATAACAAGAGTCACCTTTGCTCCAGTTCCCAACAAGTTCCTCATCTCCATCTAAGGCCACCTCAGCCTGAACCTTATTGTCCATATCGCTATCACCACTTTGGGCAAAGCCATTCAACAAGTCTCTAGTAAGTTCCAAATTTTCCCACATTTTCCTGTGTTCTTCTGAGCCTTTCAAACTGTTCCAATCTCTGTCTGTTACCCAATTCTAAAGTCACTTCCATATTTTTGGGTATCTTTTCAGCAGCACCCCACTCTACTGCTACCAATTTACTGTGTTAGTCCATTTTCACACTGATGATAAAGACATACCCGAGACTGGGAAAAAAAAGAGGTTTAATTGGACTTGCAATTCCACATGGCTGGGGAGGCCTTAGAATCATGGCGGAGGGTGAAAGGCACTTCTTACATGGTACCAGCAAGAGAAAATAAGAAGGATGCAAAAATGGAAACCCCTGATAAACCCATCAGATCTCATAACACTTATCCACTACCACAAGAACAGTATGGGGGAAACTGCTGCCATGTTTCAGTTATCTCCCACCAGGTCCCTCCCACAATAATGGGAGTTATGAGACATACAATTCAAGATGAGATTTGGGTGGGGACACAGCCAAACTACATCACAAACTTATACAAATCTTATCACAAACTTATGTTCATAGCAGCAGGATTCATAATAGCCAGAAAGTAGAAACAAGTTAAATGTCCACCAACTGATGAATGAGTAAACAAAATGAAGTGCAGTGACCCTCAGCATCTGTGGAAGGTTGGTTCCAGGGGCCCCTGCAGATACTAAAATGTGAGGATGCTCAAGTCCCTGATATAAAATGGCAGAGCCATTTTCATATAACCTATGCACATCATCTTGTATACTTAAATCATCTCTACATGAGTTATAATACCTAATACAATGTAAACGCTAGGTAAATTGTGGTTATACTGTTTTGTTTAGGGAATAATGACAAGAAGAAAATTCTGTACATGTTCAGCACAGATGCAACCATCACAGGCCTAACCACATTTTCATTTTACAGTTGGCTGAATCTTCAGGTGCAAAGCCCTTGTACAAGGAGGGCCAACACTCACTCTGTCTCTCATACATATACGTATATGTATACATATACGTATACATACACATATACATACACATATAGGGAGAGAGACAGAGAGAGCCAAAAGCCTGTGGGTTGTGACCAACTCAGCATTCCACTGGAGGCTATATGATCAAACAGCAAACTGTTTATCATGAATGCAGGATGTGGGCAAACTCACAACTGCACCTGCCACCAGAAGGTTTGTTGAGTGTAATCACTCCCTGGTGCCGTGCTCCTTGAGGTTATCTACTGGAACATCTAGAGACTACTGTTCAGAGAATGCAGCTGTGCAGGCCTGCTCTAAGTCAAGCAGCTGACTGACAACCACCCCCTTCTCTGTATCTCCTTTACTCAATAAATACGAAGGGCTATAGAAGCTCTGGGCCCTTGTTCACTAAAAGCAAGGAGCCCCCTGACCCCTTCTTCCAAATACATTCTTTTGTCTTTGTCTTTATTCTCACGTTCATCCTCCTTTGTTCACTCCAACAGGGATTAGGGCTGCAGCATATATATAGATCTATATATACATACACACACACACACACACACACACACACACACATATATATAGATCTATATATATATATGTGTGTGTGTGTGTGTGTGTATGTATCCCCACTCAATGGAATATTATTTGCAATAAAAAAGGACATACTATACATGCTACAACATGGATGAATCCCAAAAACATATGCTAAGTAAAAGAAGCCAATCATGAACTATCATATGAGATACTATTGATATGAAATGTTCAGAATAGGCAAATGACATAGAAATTTGATTAGTGGTTTCCTGGGCCTGGGTGGAGGCTAAGAACGAGGAGTGAATGCCAAAGGGTAAGGGGTTTCTCTATGGGGTGAAGGGAATATTCTGAAATTAGGTTGTAGTGATGGTTGTACAATGTACTAAAACCCACTAAAATGCTCACTTTAAATGGCTGAATTGTATGGTATATAAAATATGTCCCAATAAAGCTATTAAAAAATAGGAAATAAAGAAAGGGACCACACCCCCTCCTGTCTGGTCAGCTGTCACTTTGCCACCTCGATCTCTTCTTGGTTCCCCTTCCCTTATGCCGGAATCCCTCCATCAATCACCAACTTCCTCTCTTTCTCCCTCTCCCATTGCTGTGGCTCTACAGACAGAACTAACCTCACACGGAATGCTCAATCAAGGTTCAGTTGAGTGATGTCCCCGAAGTTGACGAGTTTTTTTCTGTCCCTTCAGAAAGCTTAAGCAGGGCTGGGTGTGGTGGCGCACGCCTGTAATCCCAGAACTTTGGGAGGCTGAGGTGGGCAGATCACTTGAGGTCAGGAGTGACCAGCCTGGCCAACATGGTGAAACCCCCTTCTCTACTAAAAATTCAAGAAAAATTAGCAGGGCATGGTGGCGCAAGCCTGTAATCCCAGCTACTCAGAAGGCTGAGGCAGGAGAATCGTTTGAAACTGGGAGGTGCAGGGTGCAGTGAGCTGAGATTGTGCCACTGTACTCCAGCCTGAGCAACAAAGTGAGACTCCATCTCAAAAAAAAAAAAAAAGTTAAGCAATGAAATGAAATGTGTCAATGTTCTAAAACTACTGGGGCAGGGGAAGATAATAAATAGGTATTAAATGATCCTTATGTTTCAGGCACATCACCACCATGTACTTCAGCCAGTAGGCAGTTATTACTGTGCTCACTACATGTTCAACAAATACTTACTGAGCATTCATTATGAGCTGGGCTGTGTTCCAGATGTTGGTCGTATTGTAGTAAACCACATGGACAAAAAGACCAGACATTTCTTACGCATGGGGCTTACTGACAAAACAATAAAATTAATGACTTCAACCTAAAGCATGCTGACAGGTGATAAGCAAGTGGAGAAAAAGCAGGAAGTGATGAGCAGGGAGTGCGGTGCAGGAGGGAGGTTGCAACTTCAGATATGGTGGCCAGGCAACAGCCCCCTGATGTGCCCTTTGAGCAAAGATGGGGAGGAGGAGGGCAGGACGCATCTCAAACACACCTGGGACAGAGGGAGCTGGGTGCCAAGGGGTGGAGGAAGTCCTGAGGTGCAGAAGTCCCGAGGCAGGTGTGTGTCCGGTACATCCAGGGAACAGAGCAGCTGCAGCATGACACTGAGGAGAGTGGAGGCAGCTGGGCAGAGATGGGAGGCTTAATCTTGCTAGGCCCCGTCAGTAACATAAGGGCTTTGTGTTTTCCTTTGAGGAAGATGGGAACCACCACAGGTTCTGAACAGAGGAGCGTGCAAAGTGAGAAAAAAAAGAGCAGGACCAAGCTCCTTCAACTCTGGGTCATGACTGATTTTTCTACAGATGAACATCTGACCCCAAAGGAACTGGGGCCAGTCAAAATCTCCCCTCTCCAAAACTGAAAGAGGAGACTGGGTTAGAGGGTGTGCGGCCTTAAACGGAGAGGTGATGAAGGGTGGGGAAAGCTATTAATACTGTCCTGCCACATCCCATCCGAAGCAAGAAAGCCGACCTGCACATTAAGGCCCCAGAGCCACAGCAGTGCGCAAAGGTGAGAGAAGCAGCCCAAAGGAAGAGAAACCTGCAGTGGGCCTCATTCTACAGCCTGATGTCCTTCCAGACCTACAGGACAAGGGATATGCGAGACCTGCCTGGACCTTCCAATATATCTCCTTCTGCCTTGGCCTCTGGCTTTCTCATCCTTCCAACAGAAGATCCCAGTTCAGACAGGCAATGAGCTTTTCATGTTGTCGAAGTACCGCATAGGACTAAAGTGGGTGCCATGCATGGTTCTCAGGATCAGTCAGCTTGGGTGACTCCTGAGGGAAGGGAAGGGCCTCGTGGAGGGGCAGCTGGATGCCAAGGCCTTTCTGCCCACTTCACTGCAGGCCTGGCTTCCTCCAGCTGCTGCAGGTACACCACAAAGGCCTCTACATAACTCATCAAGGTGCAAATCAATTACCTCACTCCCTTTCAAATTTCCTCATGTGGCAGTATCCATAGGAGAGCTTTCAGCATATTCTAGGAGGCTAAAAAATACACTTAGTGATCTAAGTTATTGTTACTCTTTTAAAAGGAAGTTGATTAAGCTGTGAAATATTTGCTTTGGGTGAAGTAGGTTTGGGTGTTTGAAGGGCCTGTAGGCTCTCTGTCCACAGCAGGCTGCAGTCCTACTCCGTGTGGGAAGCACGGCCAGGGCTAACTGCTCTTCCTCCTCCATTGCCTGCTGAGCAGCATGCCAAGATGCCAAACACATGCCCAGTGAAAATAAGGGCTTAATGAATGCATCTCTGTCAACTCCAGGCCAGACTTGTCCTGAATGACTGTTTCTAACTCTAGGGAACACGAGGAGGGAAGAACAATCCTACAAGAGTCTTGCTCAAGGCACACGTCTCTGTGCCCTCTACCCACAAGCATGCAGCTGCGCTGATGAGCCTCAGCAGACAGCAGAGACCAGAGGATGGGCTGCAGGGCTGCACCTACCACGAAGGCCTCCAAGGCTGCTCCTCTCCAGCTGCAACCAACAAGACCCCCATACAAACTGGTATCCTGGTCAACACCAGTCTATTTCATAGGACAAATGAAGATTTCAATAGTTACAATTATTCACAAGAAAAGTGCCAGTCCTACACTACTCCAAAGAAATGAACTCATCAGCCCTGTCACCTTTGGTGAGTGATGCAGAGGGCAGCAAGGGATGCCTGTTAGATGTTCTCTCAAGGCAGACACTGGGTGAGCTGTGGGGTTTAAATGCTGGCCCTGAACATCCTTCAAGCTAAATAATAATCCCGACCAGGAAGGCACTATCTTTCACAGCCAGGCCATATTTTTCTTAGGAATTAAAGGTAGAAAAAATCCCCGCCACTTTCCATCTACAGCAACTTCAAAATAAATCCTTCCTCATGGCATGTATTCCAGTACTAATTTCATCTATGGTTTCATCTGCTTTTCTTAATCTTCTTTTCCCTTCACTGAATTTCCCTACATAAAAATCTCAACCCTGTTGCCCTGTTGCGTGTTTTGGTTAGAACTTAAAATCCCTTTGAGGAACAAAGCTGGGCAGTACATACATTACTCAATTATGACATAGGAACCTGCAATCATTCCTAATCATCTAATGATTACTTGATTGTCTGTTCTATTATCCTTCAGGCTGTGAGTTCAATGAGAAGGAATGAACAAACAGATGAACAGATGAATGAATGAGCAACAAGCCAACAGGGTTTCTGTTCAGTTAGCCTCGGAGCACACAGCTCTTCATGTGGCGGAGACACAAAGAGTCCTTCGGTCGCCTGTAAAGCTTCTACTAGACAATTGTCTCTTCTCAGAAACTACAGGAAATGGTATTCTGATCTCCAGGATAGCTCATGCACAGGCAAAGCTAATTTCTCATCTAAGTTATACACAATGTAAAAGGTCAGTGACAAAAAGGGTTCCATTGTTAAATCTATTTCCCAAGTGAGATTTGACCTAAATAGTGCATAACATTTTAAGAATCCAAGTAAGAATACTTTTTCTTTTGAGACAGGGTCTCGCTCTGCCCCTCGGGCTGGAGTGCAGTGGCATGATCATAGCTCACTGCAGCCTGACCTCCTGGGCTTAAGTGATCCTTTCACCTCAGCCTTCCAAGTAGCTGGGACCACAGGTACGTGCCACCATGGCCAGCTGACTTTTAAATTTTGTAGAGTCGGGGTTTCACTATGTTGTCCAGACTGGTCTCAAACTCCTGGGCTCAAGTGATCCTCCCACCTTGACCTCCCAAAGTGCTGAAATTACTGACGTGAGCCATGGAGCCCAGCTGTAAAAACAAATTTTTATTTTTTCTTGAGTCTTAAAATATACGTTACCTCCATACTGTCTCTGAATATCCTGCAGACACATTTACTCAAAAGTCACAAAACAGAAGCTAGGAATATACACACTCCTTCCTAGACAAGTGTTCATATAAGATGAATGTATTCATCATATCTTACTAATACTATTACAATCTTTGTAGGGAATCAACACCAGGAAACCTAGACGTATACAGGGAGTACCTTGGCCATATAACCACTCTCTTAGCCCTACTGTTTTACTTACCTGCATTTTTAATTTCAGCATTTCCTGGATTTGAACGTGATTTCACAAATGACTTTAGGTGGGGGCTACAGAACAATCTTCACAATCTCTTCCGGGATATCTATCCTCTATTCTCCCAGGAGAACGACAACACTGAAGCTTATGCCACGGTGTCCACAGGGTAACCTGGTGAGGATTCCCTGCTCCAACCTCACTCCGCTGAGTAACAGGAACGGGCCCTGGACCACCTCGGCTGGGGATGGGTGTGGCCATCCTGAGGGCACTCACCAGGGTGACGATGGCACATTCAGCCGTCAGCTGAGCAGCACTGAACAGTGTCCGAACGAACCGGTAAATCTGCTTCTGCTCTGGGTTGTGTTTGTCATAATCTGGTGGCACTTCGGATTTCTGGGGAAGAAAATATTTTCAGATGACTGATCTCCCGATTGGAGCAAAAGAGAAATAATTAAATCATCTCATGAAACACACGGAGGAGATTACCGAAAGAGGGTGAAGATTTTCATCAAAAATATCTAAGAGCATCCTTCCATCTGGGTCCCTGGTAGGGAAAATAATAGAAAATGAAACTTACTTTCTGCAAGAATGTCATTCAAATAAAACAAAAATACATTTTAATTCAATGACTTTTTTTTTTTTTTTGGGATACGGAGTCTCACTCTGTTGCCCAGGCTGGAGTGCAGTGGCGCCATCTCAGCTCACTGCAACCTCCACCTCCTGGGTTCAAGTGATTCTCCTGCTTCAGCCTTCCAATTAGCTGGGATTACAGGCACACAACACCACACCCGGCTAATTTTTTTTTTTTGTATTTTTAGTAGAGACAAGGTTTCACCATGTTAGCCAGGCTGGTCTCGAACTCCTGACCTCAGGAGATCCACCTGCTTTGTCCTCCCAAAGTTCTGGGATTACAGGTGTGAGCCACTGCACCCAGCCAATTCAACTATTTCAAGAAACACAAGTCAGTGCTAAATGGTTATTCATGAATAATGATTTTTCTTGGGTGCAATACTTAATCACTTATGATTAAAATAGCCCAAGGAAATAAAGGTTATAAACCACACTTAGCTAAATTAAGTAAAAATTTAATTTTAATTTTTTGAGTTTTCAAATGAATCGAATCTAGGCAAATGACTTAAATTTGACATCTTATTTCCAAGCAAAGGTTGTTGGATCTGCTTAAGCCATCAACATACTGTGGGTGATAGGAAAGAAGCGCCAGGGTAAGAATGAATATCAATGTATCCTAGAGATCAGTCTGATTATTCACAACACGCAACGTCACTACTTCATTTAAGTTTCACAATTTTATACTGAAAAACAACAGGTGACAGATAAAAAGTCTTTAGTCAATAACCTATATGTGAACAGTTAGCTCTTACCAGGCTGGTACGTGCACAGAACCACTTAAAGAGGTAGCTTTCACTGTGAACACAGTACCGTGGGCCGCTGGGCTCTGCGGGGACCCTCCGTACCTCACGAGTGACAGCTCTACTTTCATCTGTTATATGAAATTTAAGTTTTGCCTAAAAAATTTTCTTTAAACAACCAAACTTGGAAATGACAGCTTTTGGCTAGCTGCATGTAATTTCCATAGTCTGTGCTTCAGTGTCAGGCTTCAGAACTTCAGAAGGCTACAGACCTGTCCCTAACACACACTTATCATGACAAACATTACAATTTCTGCTTTAGAAATTTACCATCTGTGTAAAAATAAAAGAGAAAGAGCTTAACAAAACAGCTCAATTTTCATTCCTACATTTGCACAACAGCAATTATTATTATTATTTTTTGAGACGGAGTCTTGCTCTGTCACCAGGCTGGAGTGCACTGGTGCAATCTCGGCTCACTGCAACCTCCACCTCCCGGGTTCAAGCGATTCTCCTGCCTCAGCCTCCTTGTAGAGGCTGCCTCAATATCCCTTGTAGCTGGGATTATAAGCACGCGCCACCAGGCCCAGCTGATTTTTGTATTTTTAGTAGAGACGGAGTTTCAGCATGTTGGCCAGGATGGTCTCAATCTCCAGACCTCGTGATCCGCCTGCCTCGGCCTCCCAAAGTGCTAGGATTACAGGCGTAAGCCACTGCGCTCAGCCACAGCAATTATTTTTAAAGCTCTGGGCATTCACACCTGTGCTCATTTACATTTGCCTGCATGAACACAGGCAGCACAGACACAGATCAACCCAAGCGAAAGAAAGGTTCAACCCAGCAGGTAGTCTGTGAGCAAAAAGCAGCTTCTGGGTGCACGTGGTTACACTCTGATACCAACCTGGGCTACAAAGAATCAGCGGATTCCCTCACCTTATTTACTGAGTTTTCAAATAAACCAAATCTTGAATCTCTATGAGGCATTCAAGATGCTACAGGAGAGACAGAACCTGGCCCAGGACCCCATTCCTCAGCAGTTGAGCCCCATTCAATTTTCCTGGAGAATGAGAGCCCCTGAAAGCATCCAGCACCCTAGAGAAACATTCGCCTGAAGTAATTTTTAAAATGAGAACAGAGTCTAAAAATATAAATGAGAATTAAGAGCTCGAGCTAAGACGACTCAGGAAAGGGGATTCTGGAGAATCCTCTGAGAAGTAGACTGTTTCCTTACTTCCTCTAAAAGCTGTGTGTCCCAACTGAACAGCACCACACCACCTTTATCAAGCTAACAGGTCTATCACCAGCACCAAAGGCCAGCCTAGTATGAGAGCGAAGAGAAGGCATGCAGACGGGCATCCCTCCTCATACCTAGAGACATGCAGGTGGCAATCTGTACATTAATCTTGCTTGTTTACAAATGCTCAATTTTTCAGCTGGACTTTCTCTACTTCCACTCACTTACTTTTGGTGCAATTTATCATCATTAATCTAGGAGAGCAATAGATTAATGGTCTGAGTGGTAGATTGAATTCATTTCCCAATTCCCCAATTTACTAGTTGTATCATCTTAGTCAAATTAATCTCTCTGTGCCTCAATTTCTTTATCTGTAAAATGAAGATACCAGTATCACCTTAAGGAGTTGTTATTAAAGCATGTAAAGAACTGACCAGAGCAGTCAGAGTAGGTGCTTCACAAAGCCAACTCATTATTATCAGCTCTGGCTACATTCACTTCAGGATCCATCATAGTCTAAGTAAGTACTGAGAAATATCTTAGAGATTCTAATGCAAAATTGTCTTGAAAGCACAACTGAGCTTCATCAATGGGATTACACTGTTTCTTAAGCCTTACAAGTTTAAAAGGTTTGAACTAGTATAGAAATAGGCAACAAGATAAAATCTACACTTTCACTGATACATTACTCTAATTCAAGATTTAGAGTTCCAAAGTTGCACTGTTTTGTAAGTTCTTAAATCCAAAATTCTCAAGCACCATAAAGAACCATGAATCACAATTACAGTATGGAAATAGGTGATCATAGAGAATCCCTTTCTAGGTGTCTGCTTCTGGATATTCGTGTTTTCTCCAATACTGTTCATTAGAAGCTGTCATCCAACCTCCCCTGCACTGACTAACCACGCTTTGTAAACCGACAACGTGTGGGGCTCCCACGGGCTGAGCTCTGCACTTAGCATGTGGTGGCTCTGCTTGTTCCCAAACTAGTTCACACCAGCTGTGCTTAGCAGACTCGTGTAACATACATGAATGTCACATTATGCATGAAATATGATTACCATGAGAGTGGCTATGTCCTCATGAAAACGAAGGAGGACGCTTTGGAAAGATCCGATAAAAGGAAATCACTAAAAATAAATTTGCTGTAGATTAGGTGTGGTCAAAACTGGAAAAATTTTATACTCATCTGTTATGTAAATGTCTTCAAGCTTTCTCACTACTGACAAAAAAAAAAAAAAAACTTGGAAAGGATGCATTAATGATAGCTGTGGCTTATGAAAGAAATACATTTTGGTTCTCCAATCAATGTCCTGTGCTTGAAGCAAATGTCTTGAAGTTGCATTTTTAAAAACTGGCAAATGAATGTATTCTTACATGTTTTATGTTGAAATAAAATGTATAAGGTAGAGTTTTTTTTCACTCCCTGTTTTAACTGACTTTTAAAATTAACCAACTATTGCCAGATACACTTACATCAGAGAGGGCTTCTATATTAAAATAGTTCATGCCTAAATTTACACCAAAATTGCCTCTACTGAATTCAAACTATAAATTAAACATTTTTTCCTGTTAAAGTTGCACCCAGTGAACTTTTAAAGTGACATTTTACAAAAGACAGAATGTTTCAACAAATTTTTCAGAAAATAAAGAAGAAAAAGGAAGCCAAACATCGTTGAGAAGCTTTGTCTGTTTTGCTGGTTTCAACCACGCTCATTTGGTTTCCACTGATTCTAAAGCAGTTCAGCACTTACCTGGGAAGTTTTAGTAAATTATATTACCTTTAGAAATTCTATGAAAATATGAGTTAAGAAAGTATAATTCAAAGGTTTAAGCAACTAGAATATGAAAAAATAGGAACAACATAACAGAAGATAACGTATGATGTTTTTAGCACACAACCATCCACATACCTGTTTTTGATGTGATAATATATTGCAAGAGCGACACTGTAAAAATAGAATGCAGAGGTTCAGTGTCCATGAGCATATTCAAGACCTTACACATTACCTGGCCACAGTCTGAACATAAATATTTAAACAGAAGTAAAAGTCTAACAATCTTTCTGAACAGTCCCATCTCATTCACAATGCTCATTAGGAAAATGTCCTCTTCTGAGTAAATCAATGTGGCACTAATTCCCAGGAATTATTACATCTCTTCTAGAAACAAAAGAACTTCAAGTGATATTTAGAAACAAACTGCTCTTTCTATTCAGAAATTTTCAGCTTTCCTCACTTGTGGGAAAAAAAAAAGCGCTATGTAAAAAATAGGTGGTATAAAGAAAACACCTTTAGAAATCTCCAACTCATAACCTACTAGTTTAAAAAATTCATGGTTTATTTATAAATACCAGAAAAATGTGAATATCACCCAAGAAGTCTGCTATTTTTCCCTTAATAACCTCTTGGCAATCCGCTCAAGTTATTCATTCACTTGCTGAAATGGTACTGTAACTTTTATTTGTAGCACTACCTTAACATTTTATTTTACATTTTAAAAGGTCTGAATTTAATGAACAATTACATTCCCTTCCCTGAACTTTTTCTTTTCTAAAACAATTTTTTTCTGACTAGAAAACATATTCATTGTAGAAATTTTGGAGAACATATTTAGAAAATGTAAGAAAAATATTCCGCCCAAATAAAACTATTAGCTTAAGATATATAGCTTTCTATAAATTATGTGTGTAAGGAGTCAGGTTTCCATCCTACTTTTAACTTTTTTCATGTTAACTTTTTTTTATCATTAAAAACATGATTTTAAATGGCTGATTATATTCCTTCATATGATTGTCGAATAATTTACTTAACTATTCCCCTACTAATGAACATTTAGGTTGTTTCTAATACTTTGCAATTATAATTAATACCATAATGAACATCCCAATATTTGTGCCATCTACAACTATATTATTTCCACAAGGATACATCCTATAATTGGAATCACTTGACCTCAAGTCATTAACAATGGTGAGGCTCTCAACACATATTGCCAAACATCTTTGCGGAAAGTCTACACCAGTGGACTTCCCACCAGCATCTGTTTCAACTCACACTCACTGACACTGACCCGAATGTTTTGACCAAGTGGTCTCCAACTGGACAGGTAAAAAAACAAGCAAACAAAAAAGTTTTCCTTTTTCTATCTGAGTTTCTTTAAACTCCTATCAGGTTGGCAGGGTTATTCATGTTCTGGACAATTTTTTAAAATTTCCTCTTTCAAAAACTGTCTAGATACTTCCACTATTTGTGTTTTACATTAAAATGTATTGAGGAGGCCAAAAAAATTATTTTTAAGCCTCTAAGAACATAGGTAACTGGCTGCAACAGACGGTGTTCTGATCCTCTCAGGGTACCGACTCGGCCCGAACATTTCCGCTTACTCAGCCACACCGGCTTAGAGACATGAGCACGCACCTTGGATTCCAAAGCACTCAGATGTTTTCCTGTGACTTAACATGACAGTAGCTAATCTCACTCTCTTATATTCTTCCAAACCTCTCTCTTTCCAGAGCTCTTCATTCAAATGACTTCAGCCTAGTTGAAAGTACTCATGAGCAAATAAGTGCTAATACATCCTTTTTCTCCTAACATCTTGAAAAGCATTGAAGCTGATGAAGAAATTGTAACTGGGGTATAAAAGAGCTTCAGAATTTATAAAAAATAGTAAGGTTTTCAAAGTGTTTTCACGTATGTTAACAGTCCTGCAAGAAAAAATAGATGTTATTGATTCTATTTTATAAATGGGAAAAACTCAGGTTCAGACGGTAGCTGCCAGGATTTCTGGCTTGTATAAGGCTGTGTGCCCTTCTGTTTTGACCATGTAGCCTCTGGGAAAGGGAGGAATTAGTTTCATTCGTTTACTAGTCATGCTGTGATGACTGTTCTTCTAATCTAATGTTACATTTCAAAGGAATATTTCATGTGATTAGTTTAATGTCTTTGAGAAAGAAGATGTTCCTGCTTCCCCTGTGAGGGAGCATACAGCAGTAGAAATATCACTAGACTGAAGTCACATCAGCCTGGGTTCTGAACCTGGCTCCTTCCTCCTTATTAGTGCTAATTCACCTCTCAGAGCTTTCATTTCCTCATTTATAAAATTAGAACAATACAACCCACATCATGGAGTTGTAATTATGATCAAATAAAAAAAGTATATAAAAGCATGATCTTATATTAACTTTTAAAAGAAAAGTTACTATTATTGATATTCCCCTAGTAAGAGGTCCTCTGGCTTCTGCCGAATGGGCGAGAATCTTCAGGGCCCCAAGATCACTATCTCCCAAGCTAAAGCCAAGATTGGATATTATCACGGCTTAAGACCTCCAGGAAAAGTAGAGCCACTCTGTAGGCCAATTTCCACTCAAGGTTATATCCCAGAAGTGAGACCACCAGGATGAGGGTTCAGGCACAGTACAGCTCCATGGACTAGTTTAGCAGTCGTCTTGAAGGAAGTGACTGCCCAAAGAGGCCATCAGCTGACAACTGAATCAGGCCCAGGCTTGTAGCTTCACTCTACACACAGTCTCTTTTGTCAAACCTGAGGCTGGAATCACCCCAAAAACGCATCTCTGCCCCACTGCGCCCCCTTTTAATTAGGCAGTAAGATGGCCTGAGACAGTGGGCCAAGTGGAAATGAAGGTCCTTTCATATCTTTGTGGCTCTACAAAGGTCTGCAATATTTCAACTGCTTGCAGCTGTGTCTTTTGTCAAATACGGCTGTTGGAAAAACCAGCTTCACCCGACTAGACCATGTTCAGGACTTTTATGGTGTCCCCTGGTTCCTGGACTTTCTGTTGGTTGACAACCTATCCTCTGGGAATTGTAGGTGTTTTAGAACCTTTTGGGTAGCCTTTTTTAAAAGACTCAAACCTGTGTAAGTCAGTGACATATTATCTATACAATGTTTTAGGCGACCTGCAAGGCATTCACCCGAACAGCCAGGTCTCTGGCCATCAAGCCAAGGCAGTAGTGGGGTTTTGTGAGCACCCCTGGAGGAAAACCTGAAGGGTCCACTGGGGGCCTCACCGGTGAAGGCAAACATGTCCTGGGACTCTGGGTCTAAGGGTATGTTCAAGAAAGTTTTGTTATAGGACAATCTTTCATATTCCTAAACAAGCAGTTAGTCTTTTGGGGCTAACATTTGGGACCGCAGCATGTGTGGCCAGAGTCACCTTAGTTTTTGGTAATCAACCATCATCCTTCGGGTGCTGTTACATTTTTGCATCGGCCACACAGAGCTGTTGTATGGGTTCTGTGTAGGATGCACAATCCTCACCCTCTTTAGTTTTGGAGTAGCTGCTGTTACCTTTCTGAGTCTTCCTGGGAGACGTGTATCTATACAATCTATCTTGGGTGGGGTCACATACTGACTCTCATTTGGCCTCCCCCTGGAGTGTGGCTCTTATTGCCCTTGCCCAGAGATGGAATTTGTCTGCGTTCCTCTAAAGGCAGCTCCCAGGAGAATGTTTCTCCCCAAACTGTGTTTTGAGACTGATATGTAGACCCACAGTGGGGTAAGAGGAGCATGTCTAATTTGTAACAGGAGGCGTGCTCATCTCGCAAAGGCAGGTGGATGGATCTCTGGATCCACATTTATAAGTCAGGGGCCCAGAAACTGTGAGGATCAGCAGGCATGGAGTACGCTCAGCCCTGGAGCCACCAGAGTCAAAACTCTTTGTTTAGAGGGAACCAATGAATGGCACCACATTGAAGAAAACTTTGCTTTCTTGTCAGTGTAGAGGTGGCGGTGCTCACCACCTTCTGTCCTTGGGTTTTTTTCTAGAGGCAGTGCCCAGGGTTTAGGATTAACCCTAGTGGTAAACTGGCGCTCTGGCTTTAGGGACTTTTAAAAGTCTAAGGAGAATTGTACTGGGCTGTCTATTTTGTTTTTGGACCTGTCTTTAGAAGGTCTTGTCAAATTTGGCTCCTTGACACCCGTTTTGTTGGATCTCCCTTTTTTTCTGGTCTCTTTTCAGGTTCCCTTGTTTTTGCAGCACTCCTCAGCTTAGCTGTGCCGGTCATTGTTTTTACTTCCCCTATTTCAGCCACGAAGCCCCATCCAAGGGACCTAAGATGGGAAACAGTGTCCTTCCATCCAGGTGGAGCAGTCTTGAGGGGCTTACCGTGCATGCTGGCAGTGAACGGGGTGCCATCCGGCCCCTGGAAAGCAGGGGCATAGATAGCCACCCTCACTGTCAATCTGTGCAACAAAGCCTGTGCCTTGTTTATAGGCTTCTATGGTGAAGGACCCCAAGGCATATCCCCTTCGCAGGGCCAGAACGATCCAGTCTCTCAGAGAACAGCCCAGGAGCCATGTAGGTGCTGTCCGACGGAGGAGTGCTGTGACACTGCTAATTTTTTCTGCCTCACCTCCAGACAGAACCAGTGTCTACCCTACCAGACAAGTGCCTAAGGCCTCCTTTAGTTTCTGCCCAGAGTGGCTAACCAGATCAATTAACCCTGGCGAGCCACAGAGTTAACCGGCTCTTACCACCCTTATCAAATCCAAGTTTACCAGGCCAAAGAGCGGTCAAGGCACTCTGATTATCGGTTAGGACACAGAAAGAACTCAGGGGACCTGGGGGACCCGGAGTGCCCAACTTCAGAGGCTTGGTCAGCTCTGCCAAGACCTCAGAAAATGGTGCAGTTTCACCAAGGAAGGGCCAGAGCCCTATCAGGGAACAAAACATTTGGACTATAGGGTTTGCTCAGCAGCTTTTGCCACATAGCTGGGGAGGAAGTAAATGCTATTTTCTTGCACAAGAAAACAAAATGGATTTGTGACTTTTGGCACTTCATTTGTCTTCTTACCCAGAGCTAAATTAGCAATGTATATGACAATCCTAAAACCTTTGAAGGGCAAGAGGGGGTGAGTTCTAGCAGCACAGTGGGGCTGAGCCATAGACAGGGCTGTGACGGGCATTAGCTGTTCCCTGGCCCTGGAGGCCAAGGACCCTGATGGTATGGCCAAGTGCGCAAAGGGGCTCCCCACCACCCTCCGCTCTTTTCTTTGATCATCATCTTATGCTTGTCAGAGGACTTGGTGGGGAGGGGTTGGCTGCAGAGGCACAAAGTGTGGCTGACAAACTCTAAATTCATACCACAGCTGTTGGCATTTAGGGGAAAAATAGGAAAATCAAGTTCTCAAAATAAAAAATTATGTCTACAGAAAGAGTGAGCACTGAATGAGTACCCAACTTTTTTATAGCTTTTCTTTCACTGTTAGATTAGCATTCAACCCTCCACCCATCCCCAGCTAGAATTTGCAAATACGTTTATTTCTGGCAATCCCCACTTTACAGGTGGATTATTTTCCAAAAATCAGCTTATAAATCGCTGTTTAGAACCTAGGGCATTCTTCTCACAGTTACAACCTTGTAACTGGATTTCAGATAGCAACTCTGGCCCATAAATGCTCACTTATGCCCACCATGAAGCTGAACTACAATATTAATGATTGTGTTATCAGTTTTAATGTCTGGAGTAGGGTGCAAGAGGACCTGGGTTAACGGGAGGCAAAGAAAGCAAAAAAGAAAATAGGAGTTTTCTTTGGACAGGAGTAGGGCAAGATGTAGGCAAAATTTTAGAATGGGATGGCATGTGGATTTCACAACTTCCTATCTTTTTCACTACTCTTCCTTCTGAGTATCCCTTTCCTCTCATATTGTCAACCCTCTAGCTGAAGAACTCAACTGGACCTGCTAATGTCTCTAAATGTTTTTGACTCTTTAGCTACACCAAGTGTGAGATGCTGGTATTTCCAGGGAAGGATTCTGATGGCTCTACTTCAGTTGGTCCCACCCTGCCCAGCTCCCAGTGTGCATTTTAAAAAGAGGATACTTTTGGCTGGGCACTGTGGCTGACGCCTATAATCTCAGCACTTTGGGAGGCCAAGGTGGGTAGATTGCTTGAGCCCAGCCTACGCAACAAGGTGAAACAAATGTCTCTACAAAAAATGCAAAAATTAGCTGGCCATGGTAGTGTGTACCTGTAATCCCAGCTACTCGGAAGGCTAAGGCGGGAGGATCTCTTGAGCCTGGGAGGCGGAGTTACAGTGAGCTGAGATCATGCCACTGCACTCCAGCCTGGGGACAGAGATCCTGTCTCAAAAAAAAAAAAAAAAAAAAAAAAAGAAAAGAAAAGAAAAAGAAGATACTTTTTAAAGCAACTGAATTACAGACTGAAGAAGTTTCAGATGTGTGCAGTGCAGAGACCATGTCTTCGGATCAGGGAAGCCCAGAATCTACACTGAAGTCTCATAGCTTGTTCCTACTCTTCAGCTTCTCTGTTCTCTACATTCTAACCCGCAGTTCATTTAAAAGTGGCAGGGGGACATTGGTGGGGGAGGGGAGGGTAGCTGTCCACTTCCATCTGGGGTCTTCAACTTTGGCTGCCTGTGAGACTCTCCTGGGGAGGTTTAAAAATCCAGATACTCACAGTATGCCTCAGCCAGATTCAATCAAGATCTGTTAAAAATCCAGACACCCAGAGAATGCCTCAGCCAGATTCAATCAAGATCTGTTAAAAATCCAGATACCCACAGTATACCTCAGCCAGATTCAATCAAGATCTGTTAAAAATCCAGATACCCAGAGAATGCCTCAGCCAGATTCAATCAAGATCTGTTAAAAATCCAGATACTCACAGTATACCTCAGCCAGATTCAATCAAGAGCTGTTACAAATCCAAATACCCACAGTATGCCTCAGCCAGATTCAATCAAGATCTGTTAAAAATCCAGATACTCACAGTATACCTCAGCCAAATTCAATCAAGATCTGTTAAAAATCCAGATACTCACAGCATACCTCAGCCAGATTCAATCAAGATCTGTTAAAAATCCAGATACTCACAATATACCTCAGCCAGATTCAATCAAGAGCTGTTACAAATCCAAATACCCACAGTATGCCTCAGCCAGATTCAATCAAGATCTGTTAAAAATCCAGATACCCACAGTATACCTCAGCCAGATTCAATCAAGATCTGTTAAAAATCCAGATACCCAGAGAATGCCTCAGCCAGATTCAATCAAGATCTGTTAAAAATCCAGATACTCACAGCATACCTCAGCCAGATTCAATCAAGATCTGTTAAAAATCCAGATACTCACAATTTACCTCAGCCAGATTCAATCAAGAGCTGTTACAAATCCAAATACCCACAGTATGCCTCAGCCAGATTCAATCAAGAGCTGTTAAAAATCCAGATACCCACAGTATACCTCAGCCAGATTCAATCAAGATCTGTTAAAAATCCAGATACCCAGAGAATGCCTCAGCCAGATTCAATCAAGATCTGTTAAAAATCCAGATACTCACAGCATACCTCAGCCAGATTCAATCAAGATCTGTTAAAAATCCAGATACTCACAATTTACCTCAGCCAGATTCAATCAAGAGCTGTTACACATCCAAATAACCACAGTATGCCTCAGCCAGATTCAATCAAGAGCTGTTAAAAATCCAGATACCCACAGTATACCTCAGCCAGATTCAATCAAAGTCTGTTAAAAGTCCAGATACCCACAGTATGCCTCAGCCAGATTCAATCAAGATCTGTAAGGAGACCTCAATCATCAGTGTGTTTTTAAGCTCCCAGGTGACTCCTAGGTGCAGCCAGGGCCAGAAACAGTGATTTACACAGACAACATATTTCTAACTTAGGTGTTTGTGCCTCCTAGAGTTGACCGATGAACTATCAAATTGTCACACAGTTCTCTCACTAGGCTCCTAAGTGTCTGTGTCACAGCCAGTGGCAATTTTAAGTGGTCCAAGGATGAAAGTGTTGAGCAACTAAGACAGAGCCACCTGTGAATCCCAAGAGCTCCCGCTGCCCCAGGATGGGAAACTGTGCTACTCTGCCCTGGCTTCCAATGAGAGGAGTCCAGGATTAAAGGGAAGTTAGCAGCTTCTGTTCTGGGCTCCTCAGAGATTGAGCAGAAGCCAACAGTCATGTGGTACACAGATCTTCAGGGCTTTCCACTTCTCTCCGCGAGTCCTAATAACCTAATCTGGAAAATACTTCCAAAGGTACTGCACACCCCATTTCCCCTCAGTAAACCACAGCCCAAGGGTAAACGTGGCTCAGGCAAGGGCATGCGTGGTGGAGCTAAGACAGAGCTCTGTGAGTGCTGCCAGTGTGAGTTTATGCCCACTAGTCACTTCCCGTGCACTCCGGTGCTGAGGAAGTAAGGAAGAGGCTGCATTGCCACTTAGATCCTGGAAGCACGGAACCTGACAAGCGCAGTGCCAACAGGCAGCCTCTACCCAAGCGGCCTTGTCCTCCACCTTCTGCCTAGAGCAGACACTGACTACAGATGGCTATAGTCCTCACTGCCTGACTCATCATCACATGTGGTCATACTCAGAACAGGGCTTCTAGGCCTGAAAACCTGGCCCACTGAAATGGACGAATACTCCTTATTTAAAATTTAAACACTTATTTCATATGCTGACATGTATTGTGAAATGTGTGCTTTCTGAAACAAGTATAGAGATAAAATTCAGATTTTTTAAAACTGAGCTGCTGACCACAGGCCCAAGCACATCAGGTTCTCTATAGTACTTGCCAAGGGTCATTATTACCATAATGCTAGTGGTACAATAAAGGAAAAACCAGTGTTCCCTCCCTCTTTAAAGTACGGAAACTGAAGCACCGTAAGGGAAAGAAGTTTATCCCAAGACTCCCCCTTCCTTCCTCCCTTATAAACTCCATTTAAAAATATGGAATTAAAGGCCCCACAGAAAGGATCCCACCCACGTTCTCTTTGTTGGTGAGAGAGCCATGGTCAGAACTCAGATCTCCAGACCCCAGGCAAGTGTACCTTCACTAGGCCAGGCAGGCTTTCTACTGGAGCCCCGGGTCTCCAACTGGGAACATAGGAGTCTCATTTTATTTAGAAGGTAAAAAGTTAGTGGAGTTATGCCAGGATGGCTTCAATAAAAAGTGCAAGGGTAGAAAGCATGAACAAAAATAAAAAATATATTTTAAGTAATCTACATTTAAAATACTTTAAGATTCTGGTCTTTTAATGTAAATAGTACTATGTAAAAATATTTCAATACCCCACACTTAACTACCAAAATCATTTTTTAAAAAGATTTCCTGAATTATCAGTGCTACCCCTACTCCCACCCATCCAATCTTATCACTCCCAGACCCCACAACCAACCAGCTTAGCTGTCAGGTTAAGGAACAGAAAAAGCATTCAGTTAAGTAAAAAAAAAAAAAAAAAAAAAAAAAAAGGAAGGAAGGAAGGAAGGAAATAAATCCATATACCCACCATTTAATTGTATACTTGAGGTTTGGTTGACTGACTGTGCTATCATCTAGGAAAATGGTGGAGCAGGAACTGTATTTCCTTGCTATTTGTCCTGGAGGATGCTAGAAAACAACAGCAAGAAGATTAAGGCAATTACACAGGGCTCAGAATTCTTCCAAGAAACATCACCCCCGCTTAACTTGAGATAAGACCACAGAGGAAAAATGTCTTAGCAAGAAATGTCAACATTACCACCAAGAACAGTACAAAAACACTTTATTCATAAAATGAACTTCCTTGCTCTTCCATATATAAAAGTCACCAGGACCACACCTAGTCCCTAACTTCCTGCATCAGGAGAACAGTAAACTCTTGCAATCAAGCATCAAAAAGCATGTTTCAGAGTCCACAAAAATCACCTGCCCCATGGCTTGTATGAAACATGGGATCTACTAAACTAACAAAAGCCTGCAATTTAGATGGTGGCCTGGTTTTACGCACTAAGATCAAGACAAGTGTCCACTGTACCCACTTTCCTTACTCTTGAAATACAGTTGATTTAGGGGCCATGGAAAATGCAGCCAATGTTAATTTAGAATCTCCTGGTTAATCTGCTTGAATTTCAGCAGGTAAAGTTATAATGAAAAAATATTGCTTTGTTAAGGACAAAGTAAGTTTTAAAGGGGAAGATTATCTGATACTTTTGAAAATACAACCAATGAATGACCTTTAGATAGTTCTTTGTGTGGTCTTATGACAGGTTCTTTCATAACTGTACAACTTTTGGGCTCTTTGGAGAACTTTAGAACAGAATTCCTTCTAGAAGGTACTGGTGAAGTAAATAGAATTTATAGCACACACTGATGACACCTAGTTGAACACTAAATAGATTTCTGGCAACAATCGGGCAATATGATTAGTACACATCAATCTGGATAGTTCCTGATCAAAAGCAAACTAGAAAAAAAGTTAAATTATGCAAACAAGTTTCCACGTGCCTGATGCTATGTTGAATGTCTAAGTGTCATTTTCAGCAACAAAAAAACTTAATAATCCCTTGGGGATCACAATGTCTTCTGCCTGACCTGCCCGCCTGCAACACACCCTGGGTGTACACAGTTCACAAATTTAGTAAAGGAAGCCTCAACGTTAGAGACCAAATGCCCTGTTCAATATCTTAAAATTTATTTCTCATTTAATAAGGTTTCCTCAGTAATAAAGTAAGGAAAATGTGAGGCAGTCTGAGAAATATATAAACAATGTTATAAACAGAATCTCTTCTCAAAACTAGATAACAAATGATACTAGTTACTTCTTTGGGGTTCCAATTTCTTAAATCACAGTTAGCACTGCGCTGCTGAAGCATCCTGACCCTCGGAGCCCTAGTCTCACATCAACAGCAAACAGGTTAGAAGGAAAGAACCACAACCAGGAAAATTCAGAAGCTGAGGCCTCTCCCCAGGGTTCTTTCCTTAGGCTTACACTCTCAAGTGCCTATGTGGGGACAGGGCATAGAGAACGCTTGTGAAATTCAAGTCTGAAGTCAAATGTCAGTTTTCACATGGCATTTAACATCTATCAAATGAATCACATTTCATTAAGAAAATCCAGACATTTAAACCAATTCTCTTCCTCTTTTTAAACTCTTGTAGAATCACATGTAAGTCACAGAAGACGCACTAAAGCCTCAGACTCTAATAACAGCTATTACCATAGGTGATAAACTAAAAATGCTTAAGGAATTTTTCCTACAGATGTAAAATCTACTACAAACAAAAAATCTATGTTTAACACAGATACCATATTTAACATTAAAAGTCAGTAATTAATTAAATTTTTTCTGGTGTTAATAAACTTTTAGAGATATGGGATAACTTTAGAAATCCCAACAATGAAGGAAAAGGACAATAATATTTCATTTGTGTTTCTTGTGGGTTTCAATTGTTTCCTCTGATGCAAACTCCTTCCAGATTAAAATGTAACAGGGCTTGCAAAGAATAAATGGTTTCCCTAAGAAAATATAAGCCACAAAGTCAGGGAAAGAAGAGTGATGCACGGGGTCATGGGAACCCTCAGAATACAGAGAATGTCCCATCATAATCTAGGAAGTAACCTTTGTGAGTTGACAGGGAGGGCACCACCCCTCTGTGTGCACCATCCCTAAGGTTCAGAGGGTTAACTCAAAGCCAGCCACACAAAGGGACCCTGCCCTGGCCTGAGGACTGCCCCACCTGCGGGTCTGAGCACCCCAGAACTAAGGGCTGATCTGCCAAAGCCCTCGATCCCAGGGGGATGCCAACCCAGCTTTTAAACTATTTAATAACTTCGAAACTGAATAAAGATCCCAAGTATTGAGTTATAAAGATTTTAGTTTCAGAGTATCTCAACACTCTAAAGACCATTTAGGCACTAAGTCATTTATTGACTGTCAGGACTACAAGACTCATAGAATGTGAACTTCTCTTGATCTGAACCCCACATCACTAAAAAGCCGAAATAGCTGTAATCCTTCTACTAGAAATGCTCTTGACCCCAGGGTTGTCTCTGTTTTTTTTTTTTTTTTTTTTTTGAACTGGTCCTCTCAGGGTGTGGTGGAGGAAAGTACAACACCTCCTGCTGTGTGGTACCATCCAACAACTGACTGATGCTCGGCCTCTGGAAGCAGCAGAGGTGTATCACTCACAGAACAGAGCATTCTAATTCGATAGTTTTCATAAGCACACGTGTGTCAGGTAGTTCTCAGTGTCACTCAAAATATTTTTGTTAATGTATTGCTCCATGATTCTGAAACACTGGTATGCTTGTACATGTGCGTGCACATGCACACACAGACCCTCCCACTTAGGTTCCCATCTTTGCTAGTAAATGACACAGCAAAGTGATGTGCTGGAGAAACAGCAGGGCATGACTCTTGGTAGTTAATCTGACTTGGACATAACTAGCTGCGTGGCCTGGGCAAGTTACCTGGCCTCCCTCTCTGCCCCTCAGTTTCCTCAGCTGTAAAACAGAGATGAAAATGACAGACCCTACCTCATGGGTCTATCAGAAGGAGTGCATGAATTAGTATTTGTAAAGCACCTTGAGCAGGGCGAGTGTGTGGGAAGCACCTGCAGGTAATCGTTAAGTAGAAACTGCGTTAAACAGGTCAAAAAAGCAACAGGGATGTTCTTTATGCCTAATGCCTGCAACATTTTGGAAAACCATAAAAGGAAATGTCTAAGGCAATGTTTTACTTGCAAAGGATGGGCATCACCCTATAAACAATTTAGAAAGATTGTCCCAAATACAGTAAGTGTCTTGGTGAGAGCGCAGATACTACAGAGTTAACCACGAACTGCTTAGAAGGGGAGCCTGATGAGTGAGAAGCCCAATTATGAATTATTCTAAAGAAATAAAATTTATATCTTTGAAATAATGTGAACCTTACAGATTAAGCTATGAATATGCAGAATAATCGAATTTTAGAGCTAGACTGAAGCAAGGTCATTTAGTCCATGTATTCACACAATGTCTATAGTACAAAATATGATTTACATCAAGGTCCATTAATATACAAAAATTGTTGAATGATATATTTAAGAAGATTTTATTGAAGAGTTATCATGTGTCCCAAATAATGAGATTATCCCCTTAGATAATTCCAATACTGATGTCTGTCAGATACAAAGATACATGGATACACACATGTACATGCACACACAAACATACGATCAAAGCGCAGGATGATGAGGAGGAGGAAGCAGGGATAAGACTTCCACTGGACCTTCCACAATGACCCCAAATCTTCCTCCCAACTATTTCAACTGCTCCCACCCGCGACACCTCCTCAAATCCTCCACCCATCACCATGCTGAGCTCCCCACAGGGAGTTTGAGTCACAGAACCCAGAGGCCACCAGACAGCGTCCCCTCAACCTTCTTGCCTCTTTCTTGGCAAATCGGTCATCCCTCCCCCTACCTGGAGTAGAAGCCCTAACTCTCTTCAGGCCAGAACTAATTAGTCCCTCGGCTTCTTCAAAATGTCTTTCTGAATTCGCTCAACCTCCACACTCCCTCCCCATTCACAAAAAACTCTAAGTCCGCTATGCAGATGGGTCCTCTGCAGTCCTCCTACCAATTTGATATTTGAACTGAAGCTTTTTTCTTTCTGGGGTTTCCTCCTTGCTTTCCCCCATCTTTCTGGCTACTCAGTCGCAGTCCCTTTGTGGACTCTGCTTCTCTGAATTTCCTCAAATGTAATGGTCTTTTCTTCTTCCTCTAAACACTTTCCCAGGGGACTCTCACCCACTCTCATTAATTCAACTTCCTTCTCCCCTCTGTTGGGTCCCAAATCTCTCCTTTCTGGCCCCAACTTCTCTTCTGAGCTCACTACTTGCCTGGTTGACCCCTCCATCTCAATGTTCCTCATGGGTACCTCAAATGCCAAACTAATTTGTTCCTCTAATCAACTGTAATGGCTTAAAACCAGAAATCCACAAAATATTCTTGAATTTTGTTTTCCTTTCTGTTGGTTTCCTTGTATCAAGTGCTATCGATTCTATTCCAAGTACATTTCCACATCATCCTTTCCCTTGCACCCCTCTAGCCACTATCTGGTATATGAAAGCCACGTGGACTCTCACCTGTATCACTACAGTAACCACCTTGCCTCGAGGCTCACTCCTCTCTAAACCATTCTTCTTCAAGTGCTACTGTCACCTTAATACAAAGCAAATCAGATCGTGTTGCCTCCCTGCCTAGATGGTTCTGACGTTCTCCACTGGGGAGAGACACACGAGTCAACTCTCCATCTCTCCAGGTTCACGGTTCACTTCCTCTTTCCCTGCACACCACACTTGGACATAATTCAAAGATGAAAGGAACAACGGCCACTTTTATTTAATGGCCATCAAAGATGAACCCACAGTGTTCTGGGTTACTTTACGTGTATTCACTTAGAGCTCACAAACATTCAGAGCCCTGCACTGCAGGGTAGAATTCCCATTTTACAGACAAGGAGATCAGAGAAATGAAGTAGCATTTCCAACACCAAATCTAAGACACCAGAGCTTAAAGCCATGTTTGTCTGACTACCAAGTCCGTGCCTCCCTCTCTGGGGTTCTGCAGCCCTTCCCTTGAGCTGTTCATTCCTAAACCTTCTTGTACAATACCCTACAGACCTTTTCCCCTCCCTGACTCCACTCATCCTTCAGCACTCTGCTGACAGTGCTTCCTCTAGATGCCTTCCTACCACCAGACCACCTGGGCTGGGTACCCCTCTGTGTGTTCTATGCCCGTGTTCACCCTCCACAGCACCAGTCACTCTCCATTGTCATTTCTGGCTCACTTTTCTATATGTCTCCGGGGTCTAGACTGCAGGTGTCTTGGAGGTACAGACTGGTATTTTCTTGAATCAGCAAATGAAGAACAGCTCCATCCCGGGACTAGAGTGCTCACTGCCCCCAACTGTGGGAAGTCGTCTGCCTCCATTATGGCACAGGATCCTCTGTGAGGGAGACCACAGTGTGGCCACAGCAGCTGTGTTACGGCAGAAAGGGGCATGCTGTGTGGCAATGAGCTGGCCGCAGGGGCCTGCACCATTGGGCAGTGAAATGCTGACACGTTCCGAACACATGAAGTGAGGCATGGCAGGCAGATCAAGGAGCCAAGTTCATGTGGACGAGACACTCCAGACAGGCAGGGCAGGAGCACAGTGGAGTCAGAAAGCCCAGTGCTTGGCTGCAGCTCTGCCACTGACGAGTTGTGTAAATGTGGGCAAGTTACTTACAGAGGACAATCACACATCCTGGCTTGATCAGGACAGCCGTAGTTTGTCCCTGTTGTCCTAGAATAACCAATAATAGTAACCCCTTTCGTAATTAATTAAAATGTATAAGCCTATCACCTTAGGCTTAGCCTCCCCAAGCTTCAATGTCTTCATCAATAAAATTCAGATACAGAACCTGTCCTTCATTGTGGTGCTGTGAAGAATAACACCTGTAAAGTGCCTAGCACGTACATGAACTGAATAAATATTAAGTCATTTAACACTTAAGAGTCTCTAGGCTTTAACTTCCCATTTTCAATGACTGTCTTACTACTTCTTAGAAAGGTTTGTTAGGATCAAAAAAAAGCATTAAATAATGTAAGGCCCAGGCATGGTAGCTCATGCCTATAATTCCAGCACTTTGGGAAGCCCAAGTGGGAGAATCAATTGAGCCCAGGAGTTCGAGACCAACCTGAGCCATACAGCAAGACCTCATCTCTACAAAAAATAGAAATAAATTAGCCAGGTGTGGTGATGCATGCCTGTGGTGCCAGCTACCCAGGAGGCTGAGGCAGGAAGATCGGTTGGGCCCAGGAAGTCAAGACTGCTGTGAGCCATGATTGTGCCACTACACTCCACCCTGAGTGACAGAGTGAAACCTTGTCTCACAAATAAATAAATAAATAAAATGAAGTATTATTATTAGAGGAAAAGAAGGAGTAAAAGTTTGTGAAAAGAAGTGATATAAATGAAATCTCTAAATATGAAAGCTCCACAATTTTTTTTAATCTTAAGGAGGGCAAACTATGACCTTGATAGAGGAGGCAGGTTTTGGTCTGCAGCCTCCTCGGGCCACAGAGAACTGGCCACTTGCACTGGCATTCCTTGACTAGGAATGAACGAAAGGCCTGCTGGAGTGCAGAAGTGGAGGGGAGGCTGGGTTGCAGGATCACACCTGCCACCTGCTGAACTCCCAGCTCACAGACAGTCTCCACGAAACCATAAAGGCCACTCATTTTGCAGAACTGTCTTTGCCTTATTCACACAGCTAATACAGGGTGGAGTGGAATTCAAGAACTTTGTGTGGGATTCTGAAGCCTGTGAAACCCAGAGCACTGATCAGCAAGAGCAGGTGTGCTCACAGGGGGATGCCCATGCGGGGAAGGCACCCGGCTGGGAGAGAGGAAAGCACCATCATCACTTTTCCAGGACCACCAGGGGTCACAGAGACACAAAGACAAAAAGCAAAATAAGAAAAAAATCTTCCTCTCTGACCTCAAAGTGTTCACAAACTAATGTTCCATAGAAAGAAAAAGAAGGTACAGGTTAGGCACAGTGGCTCATGGCTGTAATCCCAGCACTTTCGGAGGCCAAGGCAGCTGGATCACTTGAGGTCAGGAGTTTGAGACCAGCCTGGCCAACATGGTGAAACCCCGTCTCTATTAAAAATACAAAAATTAGCTGGGCGTGGTGGAAGGTGCCTGTAATCCCAGCTACTCAGGAGGCTGAGGCAGGAGAATCACTTGAACCGGGAAGGCAGAGGTTGCAGTGAGCCAAGATCACACCACTGTACTCCAGCCTGGGTGACAGAGCAAGACTCTGACCCCCTACCCCCAGCCCCCAAAAAAGGGTACAGCTTTTAGCAGGATCAATTATTTACAGCAAGACTAAAGCAGAAGGCAAATACCCATGGAGTTAAGAACCCAGGTGAACCAAATCATTCTCTATGAAAGCGAGAAAATAAGCCAACTTTGGATCTCAGAACAAAAATTGGGAAAATGCCAACTTTATGGTAGAATTCTGCTCTGTAGAAATGTATTTGGCCATAAAAAGGAATGAAGTACTGAGATACACGGATGAACCTTGAGAACATTATGCTAAGTGAAAGAAGCCACTCACAAAAGGCCATGTATTATATGATTACATTTATATAAAATATCCAAAATAGACAAATCTACAAACAGTAGACTAGTGGGGGAGGGGAAGGAGTAGGAATGACTGCTAATGGGTACAGGGTTTCTTTTGGGGGTGATGAATATGTTCTAAAATTAACTGTGATGACAGTTGCACACCTCTGTGGTTACACTAAAAACCACTGAACTGTATATTTTTAAAAGGTGAATTTTACATGTTAATTATGTATCAATAAAACTTAATTGAAAAATAAGTTTTTCAGTAGAAATTAAAAAGTCAAAGGCCAAGGTCAAGAAAAAACCCTATGGGATAGACTGGAATGGGAAATTTAAAGTAACAGTATGAATTCATGATTTCTGAAATGTCTGTTTCCTAGCTACACCTGCTAAATGGGCCTAGAAGCAATAGCACCCCAGCAGCAATGAGCACACATGGTGTCCAGACCTTGGTTCTAGCACTGTTTGCCACTAAAAGGAATCAGGACTCCCTGGAGAAATGGCTATCCAGGGTTGAGGCAGAGGTACAAGATGAGCCTGAAATATCTTATTGTGCCAGAAAGCAAAGGAGTTCGCAAAACAAAACGAAAGGATGGAGCATGTCACAAGAACACAAAACCAGTATCAAAAGACTGCCACTACCCAAATCTAGGACATCGAAATATTTAAGCACAAGCATGAACTAGGTATCATTAGAAAAGCAGAAATCCAGGAATCTGTACTGAAAATGGCTGGATGGACAGACAGATGGACAGATGGGAAGAGAAGGCTCTCTCTTAAGCAGAACACCTACTGACAAAGGGAGAGAAGTATGGTAGGGCTGGAAAACCACCATTTTGTAACCAAAAATAATAAAGATTGATTCGGTCAAGCCTGATCAACAGATGCTAAATCTGGGGGTGGGGATAAAGTGCAGGATATCTACATGGTTTTAAAGTACCTGCCCAGAGACTGCTTATTAGTTGCAAAGGGAAAACGAGTAAACAGACAGTGGAGGATCCAGGCAGCACCTTGCCCGGTAATCAAAATCAACATCAGCAACAAGAGTCAGATGAAACTGCCTGCCTCTCGATTTGATGTCTTGAAAAGGGCAAGGGAACACTCCATGTAGTATTCTGGCTGTAAATGTTTAACTGAATCCTTCGGGCAAATCCAAAATGAGAAACATTACATTATTATTTAAAAAAAAAAAAAAAACTGGCCCTGTATTCTTCAACAGTGTCAATGTCCTGAAAGACTGAGAAAGGCTGAGAATCTGCTCCAGATTAAAGGACATAGAGCGTGCATGCCAACTAAATGCCATGTGTCAGGCTGGAGTGAAACCCATACCACAGAAAAACACGCTGTAGCGGACATTACGGAGCCACTTAACATTGCTGGAATATGATCAGTTAATTAGAAGAAACATATCAATGTTAAATTCTTTATTTTGATAATATTGTGGTTACACAGAGAATAGCCTTGGTCTTAGGAAATACACAGTGGAGTATTAGGGAGAAAAGGCAGAATGCAGACAACCTACTTCCAAACAATTCAGAAAAAATAATAAAAGACAATGACCAAGGATGTGCAGAATGTGAGAGAATATTGGTTTAAAACTGATGAATCTGGCTAAAGGGTAGATGAGAGTTTTCTGTATTACTACTATTAAAATCATTCTGTAAGTTTGAAATAAAAGTTAAAACATATATATGTACACACACATATATATACACACACATATATATGTATATATAAAGTCAAAGAACAGATTATAACACAAGGCTAAGGGATACAAAGTCTGCTTCTTAAAGGGCTTTTCTGACAAAGTTCCTGCTTCAAGTAGAATGCTCCTTCAAGGCTTCACTTCATTCCTTTCTTCTCTCTACTCCAGAAGTCCCTGAGCAAGGTGATGGAGTTGAAAACTGAGGAGGTTAGGAGAGCAATGAAGTGACAAGTAGAATGCACAGTGAAGAGGCCCTCAGTGCCTGCCCAGCTAGCAGGAGTGGTTGTGCTTCCCCTAACTCTGGGAATGGCAGCAATGGAACCAAGAGTCAGTGACTGACTAAAATGAGAACAGCTCCTTCCCCACATGTAGCAGTGTCAGAGCAATGTGAAAACCAGGCAGCTGTGGTCAAGAATTTGTGCTGGCTAATTAAGGGATGATATCCTAACACTATATACAAAAGATCAGGGCTTCCAACATAGGAACTTCCATGGAGAACACACCATGAGTTACCAGGCTAAATCATAACAACAGCTCAGTGGCCCCGTCACTTGTGTGTCTTAACAAGGACAATGTAGCTTTCAAAATGACCTTCCACAAAGGCACTAGGGAAGCAATTCCACCTGTCGGCTGCCCTGTATTTGAATGGACCATTACACTTTACAAGTGCCACTTCCTTTGTGCCTCATTACAAGAGTGACAGCATGAAGAAAGGGAAGAAGGGGTGAAGAAGAAACAGAAAGAGGTAAGAAAAGAGAAAGTCCTCCACAGACATAACCAATACACTTAAGGAATTGATGTCCTACCCAAGCTTCTCAATGTACCAGTGTGTGTAACATTATCATTATCATTTCTAGACATTCCGCAAAAAGAAGAAGAAAAAACAAAAAGAAGAGAGAAAATAACAAAACACCTACCCCATGTCAACATCCCTGGGTGAAGCAGAACAGGGGGTCTGAGAACCAGAGCATCTAAGGTTCCTTTAGTCACATGAAAATCCTGTACTCTCAATTATTGCTGTTACTTTTCTATACATTTGAAATTATTTCAAAGTAAAAGCTGGATTTCTTTAATCTTATTGGATTTTTAAAATTTTTACTGATATTTTAAAAACTTAGTCTTCTTTCACATCCTCCAAGCATATGGCATTGATGCTAACACAGCAGCTGCTCAATAAACTCTCATTCTATTCCAGAGGCAAAAGCAAGATTTAAAATGTTTTAAATTTCAGTTCCTAGATGTAGCTCACTGTATTACTTGACTTTTATGACTTACAGATGAAGCCTATAACCAGAATAGACACCTTTTTACAAGGACTCCTATTCCTACCTCACTCAAAGCTAAAAGGCAGAAACTGATTTGGAACTGAACTGTGTTAAGAGGAGCAAATGATTCAAGTCAGTATTCTCCAAAGGGAGCTGAACAGAATATACTCCTCCCAGAAAATCCTGGTCTTAATGATTATGAAAAAACTATATCCATACTCAAAATACCAGAAAGACTTTCATCAGTTTTGATATTGAACTTGGAAAATTAAATCAATTTTACCTAAATTCCAATGGACAATAATAATACAACATACGTATATGGTGTTATAATTAGGCTGCAAATCACTACCTTTGAGTCAAGTAGGTCTGGAATTATGACCCACCCTAGGAGATAAGAAAACTGAGATTTCAAGATGTTTCCAAGATTGCCCAATTAGCAGGTGGCAGAACGAGGGTTTGAACAAAGTTCTTTTGGCTCCAAGTCCCACTAATAATAATGTGACTCTTGCTTAGCTGATAAGTAACTCTCCCTAGTTGCTTTACTTCCTCACAAAGTTTCCTCAACTATCACCAGACTCAGTGTTGAGACAAATGCTTTGGTTTTTTTTTTTTTGAGGATCACACTACACAGAATTCCCAGTCTGGCTTTCTCGTTTCAAAGTGCACCTATGGCAAACAAGACAAAGGAAGCTGGCTATTCAACTCCTCATTCATTCTGTTTTCACATCTTTTTTTTTTTTTTAACTTCTTAGAATAACCCATTCATTTTTGGTGTGCTATCACCAGGTGGCAGGAAGATAATCATAGAAAAGTGAGGCTAAGGTAAAAAGCATACATTCTGAGTTTCAGGAGTGATTTTTTTTTTTCAGGAGTGATTCTTAACTCCAACCACCTACAATGTCACCCACAATCTATAATCAGAGATTTTTACACTTTAATTAAAAGATTCATAAAAACAGCTAACCTTAAAAAAAAAAAAGCAAAGTCAAAATGTCAGCAAATTTTAAATAAACTTTACATAAATCCCTTTACACAGCCTTTTAAAAATACGTGTATCTTTCATATGCATTAAATTTTCCTAGCTGGACGCAGTGGCTCATGCTTGTAATCCCAGCACTTTGGGAAGCTAAGGCGGGTGGATCACCTGAGGTCAGGGGTTCAAGACCAGCCTGGCCAACATAGCTAATTCCTGTCTCTACTAAAAATACAAAAATTAGCCGGGTATGGTGGCGCATGCTTTTAATCCCAGCTACTTGGGAGGCTGAGGCAGGTGAATAGTTTGAACCCGGGTTGGGGAGGTTGCAGTGAGCCAAGATCGTACCAATGCCCTCCAGCCTGGGTGACAGAGCGAGACTCCATCTCAAAAACAACAACAACAACAACAACAACAAAAACCTTCCTATACCTGTTCACTTTAATTACATCTAAAACATAGGTGCTGATTAAAATATTAACCTTTATAATTCACCCTGATTGAACCTGCTGTCAAAACATCCAAAGTGGTTTATTTTCAAATGGCTTCAAGCTTCAAAACCTGGAATAATTCCTTGAGAAGTGGTCTCCTTTCACTTAATCCTCTGAGTCTCTCTTGGCTGTTTTGAGCCAGTTAAAGGCCCCTCTCATTTTCCAGCCTGGGGGACCATTCTCTACTGCCCCATTCCCTGGAGAATGTCCTGGGTCATAGTCCACTCTTTTCACTTGCTTATGTGTGTTGTTTGCTGGAAACCAGGAAAGCCTTACTTTTCTCCACCTGGAGGAGGTTATTTCCCCTGCAGTTATCATGGTCCTGGGGGTAGAGGTGAACACTCGCCTTGTCTTAAATGGCTTACCTACACAACTGTATTCATTTCTCTTAAATAGTAGCCTCTTTGTAGGTTAACTTAGCAACATGTACTAAGTGGGTTCTTCAAAACTTGAAAGAGAAATTAAAGAAACAACATCCCTCACAATAAAGCAAATAAAAAATGAAATGGTATAATAAGGGCGAAAAATAACTATCACTCCAGAGTTCAGTAACAAACTAAATGATAAATTTCAGTTGAGATCCATATTCAGAAATGAACCCTAGAGACTGTCCCATACAAATTTAATTATAAATGTTATCTCTAAGTTCAGATAAGCAAGCTAAACAACCTCTGTCACATGGGAACTGGTGTTATTATCTGAGGAACACAGAGGGTGCGAGCTAAGTGGCGTGCTTGAAGCAGACCACCTGGGACTCAACCCGGGCTCCACTGTCTACTTGGCTAACTTCTTTGTGCCTCATCTCCTCATCTGTAAAACAGTAATACTGAATTGTGCCTACCTAGCATGGCCATTGTGCTAACTAAATGAGTCCATTAAACCAATTACAGCAGAGCCTGGCACACACACTTTAAAGCACTCAGCAGATGGGACCGATTATTATTATTGCTCGTCCTTTCTCCACTGTTCTAACTTACTATTCCTAAGTTTCAAAACCTGAAAAGTACAGCTGCTTTATTAGCCTAATTGAATCTGCAGGTAATTTCACTCAAATGATATTTCAGCTGGTGGGACTGGCACACTCCCACGGCTTTTCCTAGCGTGGCAGGACTGATGGCGCTCATTTGCAGCGAGGTCTGTTCACAGTTTAGAGGGTCACGCTGCTTGTTACAGGGTCATCTGTTATGTAAGAAACTTAGCACCCAGATTTCTTTTCTATAGGAACAGGTGCATTTGCAGAGATCTCAACAACTGTGTGATTTCACTCTGTGTCAGCAGATGTGATTTTACAGAGGTTTGAATGCTGGGCTGGGCGTTAGAAGATACTGTGCATGAGAATGCATGGCCTCCCATACTAATCCATGTGCTGGGTGCAGCAGATGTGTTCTCAAGTGTGTGGCAGGTGCTCAGACTATACAGGACACGAAATGGCAAGGTTAGGTGTGTGCCTGTTGGGGGGGTGGGGCGTGCAGGGATGTTAAAAGAGGTATGCAGGTTAGAACTGTGGGAGCACACCTCTGTATCATCAGCTACAATGATAACAGAGCGACACAAACTCCTATCCTCCTCTTTCTTCAATGCACCTTCCATGGAGCTGCAGTGAACAGGAAAGATGGCCTGGATGCAGTTCCAGCTCTTCTCCTTCCCTTGCAAGCTCCTTGGCAGGCATGCTAATGAGTGTAATGAGTGGGAAAGCATTCAAGTGCACCCAGCAGGCAAAGAAATGGAAGCAAGGATTTAGAGAATTCGTTCCAATCGCTCAAATTTTTATATCCAGGTATATACTGCTTTCAAAAAAAAAAAGGCATGGCAATTTTCATATTTTCCTCATGACACAGATTGCAATTTCAAAGGTGCTTTAAACAGATGCTTTGAAATTTAAGGGGCCGAGGGAAAAGGTCACAGATTGCTTTAAGAATCTGCTAAAAATAATAAGCCCTCTGACCCCTAGAAAACTGTATATGTGCATATATATTAACACTGACTACAAAGAAGTCATCAGTCTCCTAAGGGCGTAGCATCATGTCCCTTGAGTGTAAGGGCCCAGCTTATGAATTTCTTCCCAACTGCATTTTGTCCATATTTTCAAAGGGCAGAGAATACAACATTATGGCTTTAAGTCTCTTTAATACACAGCTTTAGGACTATTTCAAGATCTTCAAATACACAGATGCAGACAGTCTAAAAATCCTGAGAAAGACCCTTGTGTGGTTCTGTTTTTAGAATGAGGACTTAGAGCATACTTATTTTGATAATTTACACCTGTTTCATCATTCCATCCCTCTCGGAGAGTTTTCTTTCCTAAAGGGCCATATTTCTAAGAAGAAGGTGTGGCTAGGACTTGCCTGGTATATAGGGTGTGGAGTAGGTGCTGGAGCCAGCCAGCTACATCTCTGCTCAAGGAAGGAAGAGGGATGAAGTATCTCAATGGGGCACCTGCACCTGGCCACCAGGGGAGGGAGACATGGCTAAGAATGGCCAAAAGACTCCAGCCAAATGTTTGAACATCTTTTTTAAATTTAGTGTTATCAAGTTTATCCTTTCTTGGAGCATCAGAAGAACACGCAGACTCTACTGGACCCACAAACAACAAATGGGAAGAGTCAAGTGTGGAGACAGAGAGCCTCATGGAAAACAACTATGTGTTTATTCAAATGGAACTGAGCTACAAGAGAAAAAGAATAATTTGGGGGTGAGGGTAGAGAAAGGAAAGGATTCAAAATTAAAAAGAAGTGGCTTTCGCTTGGACTTGCTGGGTGATGTTTGATATGTTATTGTTCACACACATCATCTCATGAACAATAGTGGTCTAGGGCTTCTGGAAAAATATTTGGGACAGTGGACAAATACTGAGTGATGCTTGTCCAATTACAAACCAAACTAAGCATAAGTACACTGCAACATTCTTCCAAGTATCTACAAAGCACATGAGCCATTTTCATCCATCACAGACAGTTATTTTAGCTCTTTACACTGTACAGTCATTATGAAGAACACAGGGAGACAGCTTCACTTACATGGTTAATGAAGAGACTCTTGCGTTTTTCTCTCACTGTGAAAACAAAAGATGCAACAGAAATGTTATATGCCTGCATGCCAACCCCTGGCAGGTGGATGAGGACTGGGCCTCTGTGTCGTGGTCCCGTCCTTCCACCAACCAACATACCCACTTGCTCATTTATCAAACATAAGAATACAGGACCTGCACAAATGCAGATCTGAATGAACTTGGCTCACAGAGGGAAATATACATCCATTTAAACAAGAGCACCCTAACAAAATAACTGCAGCTGAAATCAATTAAGGGGTAACAGATTTCCATTAACTGAATAAAAAAGTAATTAGTAACCCTCATAAAACTCATATGCATCTATTAGTTTAACATAATTAACAAATGATAGGACTATTTATTCCCAACCCTACCAGACCCATAAAGCTCCACAGTATATAAGGGAAATATAAATAACAATAATATCTAGAAAGCATTGAGATCCAGGAAGACGATGTACATCAGCAGCATTACTTATCATGGAAACCCATTATTCTCCATGCTGGGTGCTGGTGAATACAGCTGGGCTTCTGTCTGGGAGCCCCTGGAGCTCCTTGTGGCACCCAACCCCAACCCCATAAGGCTGACAGAGGTCACCATAATTGATACTGCTCTAACAGTCACCATAATTGATACTGCTCTAACAAGGTGGCTTCTCACACTGCATGCATGGCCTGTGCTGAGCAGCTCAGCCTGCAGTGTCCCCAGATACCAGTGTTTCTCAGAATGGGAGCCTGCTGCCCCAGAGAGGTAGAAGGGTCAGTCACAGGGAACACGAAGAGCTTGTAATAACCTAGTATCACTGAACTTTGCATTTTCTTTTCTGAAGGCTCATTTTGTGGGTACAGATGAATCCATCAACACATTTATTCGTTACTGTAAAAGACATGAAGAATAGGTTTCATTCAAGGAGATAACATCCTAGGTCCCCAGGAATCAACAATGTTATCTTGGGGTACCCTAAAACAGCAGTGTACAAAAGATAGAAGAAGGTTTTCTCCTTACAGTCCATGCCTCTGCAAAGAAGATTCACTACTGTTTTCAAAAGCCTTCCTGCTGATCTGTTGAAGGGACTATGGAACTGTTTTTCTATCACTCATATGCTGTTCTTAGACTCACAAAAAAACACTTCTCTTTTCCTTAGAAGTCTTGTCCTCTCTGGAATGAATGCTGCCTTCCACTCTTGATATCTCAAAGATAACAAAAGCAAAAATGCAAAAGCAAAAATTAGTCTGAGGATACTGTTGAGTACTTTAAAAAGAGAGACTGACACATAGAAGGCAGCTCCATCAAGCCATCGGATGGACGCATGTGCAGGCGATCAGCCCCCTGCTGTCACAGGACAGGGCACCCTGGCCATGCATGAGGCCAGACTAGCGCACACAGAGCACGAGTGCACAGACAGCAGCAACAAACTGGTCTGCTATGCACAGCATGGAGGCAGAGGGATTACATTTTACCTGACTCCAAGGAAGAATCCACATGAAAACCATAGCAAAACAAACAGGATGGTCTGGCTGGAAGCTCTGGGTTTTAACTTCCTGGCATACATACATACATATATAGAGCGTGTGCATGCACATGTGTGAATTAAATTAATTCATACTAAACTATTATACATGTAGCCAAGGATGGGGATATGATGATAATTCTATGGTGATTTCCCACTGACTGAAGGGACCCGGAAACCCTTTCTACATGGGCCACAGAACTGACAGGGTTCCCACTACATTCTGAGATGACACTTAACCCTTCTCAGAGCAACCCAGTGATAGGTTTGTGCAAAAGAGACACAAGTCTCCCAACTGTGGGAACCACCACCCATACTAAGGTCACCTCAACACCCTACATCAGCCCCTGCCTTCAGCAAATGAAAGATATCCATGCCTCAAAAAATACCAGCACTTCCTATATGGGTACTATTGAGAAGATTAGGAATTATTCACGTGTAGAAGTAATGGCTGAGATGCATAACCTTCAATAGTTCTGACTATAAGTCCGACCAAGAAAGCTGATATGGTTTGGCTGTGTCCCCACCCAAATCTCATCTTGAATTCCCACATGTTGTGGGAGGGACCTGGTGGAAGGTAATTGAATCATGGGGGCAGGTCTTTCCCATGCTGTTCTCATGATAGTGATAAGTCTCATGAGATCTGATGATTGTAAAAACAGGAGTTTCTCTGCACAAGCCCTCTTCTCTTCTCTGCCGCGATGTGAGACGTGCCTGAGATACCTTCCACCATGACTGTGACGCCTCCCCAGCTACGTGGAACTGTAAGTCCCTTAAACCTCTTTTGTAAACTGCCCAGTCTGGGGTATATCTTTATCAGCAGTGTGAAAACATACTAATACAAAAGCTTTCAAACAAACAAAAAAAAAACTACAGCAGACACAGAAGAATATTATAAACACATATGCCATTTTTGTCCACCACCTACAAGGATCAATCTCAGGGAGGAATCAGGCTATTTTCATGAACTCCAACTGGCTGCAATCAGAATGGTGAAGAAAAACGAAAGTTCACTAAGACTATTACAGAACACCTGAGGATAAGCTATCTGAATCTATTACAGAATCTCTCAGGCATTCACTGCTTCTATGCAAATGAACACCTACACACTACCCTATTTCCTCAGAGCAACCTGGGGCTCCTGGGGCCTGAATCAGGTGCCACTTTCCTGTATGGTTTTGTAATGCTCCTCCTAACATAAGAGGGTCTTTGGCAGATGAAGTCTGCACAGTTTCTGAGAAGATTTTCCACACATGCATCTCTATGGCCGACTTGCTTCTGGAGCGTCTTCCGCGCCCCCAAACCAACAACCTGTCCCTACCCAGATGGGAAGAATGCCTGATATCCACGTTAGACCATGTGACCCATTACTCTGACCATCCTGCCTGGATTGGGGGGTAACTTTACCCTCTCTGGGCTAACTCCTTCTCCTGGGAATCTGGAGTTGGGACATACTCAAAGGGCTCTGCTCAACCTTAACTGAGGGTATGATGTGTAAACTTCAGACTGGGGTGGGACTCCGCTGTGCAGGAAAGAGTGAAGCAGCAGATCTGACAGCCATCCTTAAAGGGCCTGTTGCAAGGCTGGCCCTTGGCTGGTATCTGGGAACTTGGATTTAGGAGGGTTCCTTCCCATCATTTCCTAACTGGTAGGAGTGGCTCACTGTGCCTAAGCTGTCTGCACAAACAATATGCTCTATGCCGCACACAGTATGGTTTATTTCCTTCTGGGAGTCTGGAACTTTGGTACTTAACAGGCAGAGCCTTCTTACATGAGTGGTCCTCCATAAAAATCCTGGGTGCTGGGTCTCTACCCAGGAGTTTCCCTGGCTGACAACATTCCACAGGTGTTTTCACAACTCATTTGTGAATGGGGGGATAAAGTGCAACCTGTGTGGCTCCATGGGAGAGGACTCGCCCTGTGCACCTCTTCCCTGTACTGAGTTTGCCTCATGTGCTTGCACTGTAATAAGTTACAGTCATGAGTGTGACTGTATTTTGTGTCTTATGATTCCTGGACCCCCATAAAGCAGTGGTGTCCCTCTGCCATGCAGAGAAACACGGCAGAGGGAGATGGGCAGAAGGCAGGTGCTGCCTTAGTCCTAACAGCTTTTAGTACCCAGTTCCACCAATTCATGAGCTGTCTGAGATACCCTCAGTGCCCTTAAAATTAATTACTCCTTTTCCCCTAAGCTAGCAGGAGCACAACCAAGACATTACCATAGGGGGAATAAGATAAGTAGAATTTTTTTTTTTTTTTTTTTTTTTGAGACGGAGTCTCGCTCTGTAATCCAGGCTGGAGGGAAGTGAGCTGACTCACTCCACCTCCCAGGTTCAAGCAATTCTCCTGCCTCTCCTGCCTAAGTAGCTGAGAGTACAGGGGTGCACCACCACATCCAGCTAATTTTTTGTATTTTTTAGTAGAGACAGGGTTTTGCCATGTTGGCCAGGCTGGTCTCGAACTCCTCACCTCAAGTGATCCACCTGCCTCGGCCTCCCAAAGCGCTGGGATTACAGGCGTGAACCACCACACCCAGTGATAAGCAGAATATTTTACAGTGGTGTATCACCTGAAAAGACTGACAGAATTGCCCAAATCTAAATCTGTCTTTAAAATAAATTTGAAACCACTGAGGCTGATGTGGGTACAGCTCTGAAATTCAAAATGCTTTAGCTATTTTATGTAATGGTATAAGCAATATGCCAACTCATTTCTAATAGGTGGTTTTAGTCATCTTTAACACTTCAATATTTTTGGTTACTATAACAATCAATCAAAATCTCTGGAGTTTTCTGAGTTAATGTCTAACTGAATTAACTAATAATTATGTTTTGCTTCTTTAGAGAAAACAGGCAATAAATTGATATGGATCATAAATTTTTTCTTTCCTGGGAGAGGAATAACAGCAATCTCCTTTGACACAATCTATGATAGTTAAGAGGATTTTTAATTGGCTACAGTGACAGTCCATAAAGATGTAAACAGAAAATGGACCAGAGGCTTTAAAAATAAGCCATCTAAAATCAGCAAAAACAATACAGTTGGCATTAAAAGTCTTCTCCTGATAAAATGGGGAGTGAAGAGAGTAAAAGGCAGTGTTTGCAATCTGAGGGACAAACAAAATTACACTTAAGTTGCTATGGGACACTCTCTTGCCACAATGTCACACAAGTGACTCTTTAAAATACAACTTTCAACCTAGTGTGTGATTATTAATGAGGATTTGTTAACAATCTAAACACCATTTCAGCTGATTCCTGTCATAGGTAGGCATTTAAAAGATTACCTTGGTTTCTCCTCTTCCATTTCCAATTTTTTTCTTTTTTAGAGATGAGATCTCACTATGTCGCCCAGGCTGGTATTGAACTCCTGAGCTCAAGCAATCCTCCTGTCTCAGCACCCCCCAAAGTTTTGGGATTACAGGTATGAGCCACCGCACCTGACTCTCCTCTTCCATTTCTAAAATAGACCGACCTTCCAATGGCAAGTGTTAGCCACCACCAAGCCATAGGATGCTGGTACTAAAAAGGTCCTAAGATACCTAAGATACTCTTTCTTTGGCAAACTAGGGAAGAGCCCAAGCAGGCCAAGGAAGGGAAGGCCCAGAAGAAGAAGAGAGGAGACCGCGTGTAGGACCCCTTCCTCTATACATCCGCCCTCCAACAAGAACATCACTGGTGTGCACAGGCATCCTTGGCATCTGCATAAAACGAGTCCCATTTAAAAACAGAATGACAATTAGAACCAGGTATGAATAGAGCTGTGCTATTCTACAAAGAAAATTTACTTAACTGATTAACTACTCTGGATGTGAAGGACTGGCAGGCCACACAAGAGGCAGGCTTCAACTAAAGAATGACAGAATTTTGTTTGGATATACGAAGCTGATTGCTGAGATAGCTCCAATGCAGATCACAAAGATCTGGTTGAAAAGAAAAGGTTTCATTTCCCTTTCCTTTTTCCTGTGGGTAGCACAGATCAGGCCTTGAACAATAAAATTAAAAGTTTACTATTAACTTTTCTTATAGTAAATTTGAGATGACCACACAGTTCCTACAGTTTTCAATAATTCAGTGAATTCACTCACTCACTCACTCACTCACTCAATTCAAAACAACTGTTGAGCCCCTGTTCAGAATGCACATGGAGGCTCCTGCCCTGCTGAGCTCCTGCCCTGACAGGGAAGTCGTCATGAACACAAACGGCCAGGACACAAAGTGCACTGTAGCAGGAACATCACCCACACTTTGGAGCCCAGAACAAAGCATCCTGGTGTGGCCATTTCCCCCCAAGGCACACCTCCTGTGCTGCAGGAAGGGAGCTTCCAATTAGACCTCTGGCCTGCTCTGAACTGTCCAGGACCTGCTCTTATTTCGAAATCTGGGCACAGAGGAACGTGACATTCTGTGCATTCAAAGTGAAATCTAAATAAGCAAAGCCAATGAAACAAAAATGAAAAGACATAGAAACATTTCTAAGATGTTGAGGGCACAGCCAGTCATGGAGAGGAGAAAATTCCAGGGAAGAGAATAGGAAGTAGACGAAGGAAGAACATAAGGAGAAAACTATTCAAAGAACAAATATCCACCTAAGCTGCCAACACACTTGAGAGGTTTTCTGTTTCTCACAGAGAATATCTAAGGCCAAAGGATTTCTTCAGAAGCACAGAAACTTCAGCTAAGTGGCATCCATTTAAAACTTTCTGCTAATCAGAAAAGAAATGCATGCTTATTGCAGAAAATTTGGAAAATACAGAGCCATATAAAGAAGAAAATGCAACTGCAAATAAAAATTAAAAGCTTGCTTGGAAAACACAGAGATACATAAAACATACACACACACAGAGTATCCTTATCACCCCTTATCTGAAATGCGTGGGTCCAGAAGTATTGTGGATTTAGGATATTTTTTATCAGATTTTGAAATTCTGCATTATTTGAGCATCCCAAATCCAAAAATGTGAAATCCAAAATGCTCCAATGAGTATTTCCTTTGAACATCAGGTTGGTGCTCAGTAAGTTGCAGATCCATCTTGGAGCATTTCAGATTTCAAATTTTTGAATTTGAGAGGCCCAACCTGTTTAATCCAACAATCCAGAGACAATCACTATTAATATTCTGATGTGTATCCTTTGAGTCTCTTTTGTGCGCATATATACAAAGCAAGCATGATGTGTACTTTTGCATATGAATGTATTTGTATATAAGTATGTGCAAGTATACATGTGCTCATATATGAACATGCCAACAGAAATATGCCCATTTTTCTATTGGTGTGTTAGCATTTTGACTGATTGTATAATAATTCTTTAATACATAAAGGCATTAATCCTTTTTCCTATAGATTGTGATATTTCCATCACTGATGATTTCATTGTTAGATGCATTTGGACATGAGTTTTCATTTTTAGGCAACTTCCTTCATTGCTTCTACAAACTTACATGCCCCTTCCCCATTCTGACACTAAATATTCACGTATACTATTTCTAGATGATTATGATTGTATTTGTTACATTTACTCTACCACTAGTCAATCCATCAGAAATCTATCCTGACACATGGTGGAGGTGACGTTATCATTTTATTTTTTAAGTGAGACTTAAAGTGCTGTGTATTCTAATATAATGAGCTGCTATCAAATGCTGGCTGATATAATTTCAGACCTGGCCTCTTTCTGGTTTGCTTCCAAGGTGTGTTGAAGCAACTCTTTCTTTAAAAAAAAAAAATCTTTATTTTTTTGTAGAAATGGGGGGGGGGGTCTCACTATGCTGTCCAGGCTGGTCTTGAACTCCTGGGCTCAAGCAATCCTCCCCACTCAGCCTCCCAAAATGCTGGGATTACAGGAGTGAGCCACTGTGCCTAACCTGGAAGCAACTCTAAGATGTGGGGGTCCACGATCTATCTTTATCAAGGAAAACACAGAAAAAGATGGGACTGGGCACAGCAGTGCACAGAAGCCACCCTCTACTCTTGTCCTGGTATCCATCCCTTCTCCTCCTGGTCAGGCCCAGTGTTCTGGTGCAAGGTGTCACAGTCAGCACAGAGGAGCTGTCAGCACAGACAAGCTAGAAGATGGCACAGACCCAAGTCAGGGAAGAAACTCAATCCAGCTGAGCAAATGAGAACCTACACTCTAGGGTAAGGATTATATTTACTGAGAACTTGTGTTGTCTTACGTACAGGGCTCGGTGCTTTGATGGATTATGCATTTAGTCCTCCTGACAATCTCACAAAGAGGTACTAACTCCATTTTACAGTGATAAAATTGAGATTGAGGGAAATCATGTGGAAATGGATCATATGCACCAAGATTATGTGGAGAGTGTTGGATCTAAGCCTCCAGTTCAGGCAGTCTGATTCCAGAGGATCGCTATCTTCAGGCAATCATTCCAAGGCATTAACTATTCTTACATGGTGACTGCATCAGATTATCCTGAAATTCAGCTGCCTCCCTAGATGTCACGGGGCAGCCAGCCAAAAACATAAGCCACGTAAGGTAAGCTATAAACATGGTAAGCTATGAAAAGTATTTACAAGGTTATCAGTCTGTGCCAACTGAAGGGGAAATGCAGGTGCTCAGAGTTTTTAAAAAGAGAATTGAAAAGTAAGTTTATGGCTACCAGCAGGCCACAGGTGCTGTCTAACAGTAGGACAAGGCTGTGGTAGACGGGGCATCAAACTCCCCCCAGCCTGGGGGAATTATCCCTGCTAACCTCTATTCTGGATCTGTGCTCACTGAGCAATGTTCTGACTGGGAACAGCGCAGGTCAGGAGAGAGGATATGATAAAAGGTACGGAGAAAACTGACATTCTGGGTCTAAATGATTTCATCTGAGTTTGTACTATATCAGCAGCTTTCTCCACACTGGAAAGCCCAAGGGATGAAATACTGGAGTCAGGTGATGCACCCAAGAAAAGTGAGCCACGGCACCCAAAGAGCGCCTCTGACTTACAGGGCGAGGCCTGGCCAAGAAACCTGATACCTGCCCTCCCCCCCCCATGCACCTCAAGAGAAGACTGCAGAGGGGAGAGGGGAGAGCTGGCCTGAGGGTGGCACGGTCATGCTGAGTTCTGACCCGGAATAGGAAAGCCCAAATACACCACCTGAGCCTAAAAAAACCTACATCCTCCTGTCCCTAAATAATGGATGTGTCGTTTTCTAACAAAGCTAGGGAAGGTAGGAGAAGGTAAAGCTGCAACACAAAACAGAAAGCCACTACTCAGGGAAGACTGCCACCGTGCCACGGCAAGTCTGCCCAGGGTGGGTCATGATGCCCTGCCTTCATTCCTTCATTCCCCTATGCTTGTGAGTTTCTTCTATGTGCTAGCCACTGCAGAGACTGCGGAATGTGAAAGGCACAGTTCCTATCCATGAGCAAGATGCAATCCAGCAGATAAACAGAAAGCTATTTATTTCTATACCACAAAAATAATCACCTCCACACAGAGGAATATGCAAACTGCACTGAACGTAATGCCACTGATTTTCTGATAAACCATTACTCTATGTGTCACTAAGAAAGAAAAAAAAAATGCTGCCAATTAAATTTTGGCAAGTCACTGACTGTGCTGATTTCAGAGGTGTTCCAGCCAAGGAAAGGTGTCTATCACAATCAATGGAATGAAGAGAAACAGGGAAGCATCACCTATGAGGCAGCCATTGGGCCAGCATGGACAGAGGGCAGGTGCTGCGGGCAGAGCATGCCACAGATGATGGCCTCTCAGGCCTGGAGGGGAGGGGACCCACAAGAAGGGTGAAAAGGGCTCTGTGTGTGTGCTGGTGTCTCACTGTTCCAGTGGTGAGGAGACAGACGGTCAGGCAGGGAGGGGCCTAAGAGAAGCTCCACTTGCAGACAGGTGGAAGAAAGGTTTGAGAGAGGACATGATGGAGGCAGGAGACTGGGAAGGGGCTCGCCACAGACTGGGTGAGGAAGGAGGAAACGAGAGTCCAGGCAGGAAGGGGAGGATGGGAGAAATTCAGGGCATATAGGTGCAGCTTAGACACTGACTACAGGACTCTGGGGGTGCCCATTAAGACCCAGACAAGCAATGGGTTTATTCTTAAAAACTAGGTTATGAGGCCGGGCGTGGTCGCTCACACCTGTAATCCCAGCACTTTGGAGGGCCGAGGCGGGTGGGATCACGAGGTCAGGAGATCGAGACCATCCTGGCTAACATGGTGAAACCCCATCTCTACTAAAAATACAAAAAATTAGCCAGGTGTGGGGGCAGGCACCTGTAGTCCCAGCTACTCGGGAGGCTGAGGCAGGAGAATGGTGTGAACCCGGGAGGCAGAGCATGCAGTGAGCCGAGATCGTGCCACTGCACTCCAGCCTGGGCGACAGAGCGTCTCAAAAAAATAAATAAATAAATAAAAAATTAGGTGACAAGGGAGAGGAAGCTGGCAGGAGAGGAAAGACGCTGACTTCTGATTTGGACATGCCAACCCCAAGGAGCATGTACGATTTCCAGACTGGCTGTCTACCAGGCGGCAGAAAACATCTCTGGAACACATGCTTACACTGGCAGGACGGGGTGGCTCCTCTTGCCAGGGGTCCTGGAAGAGGCTGGCTCAAGAGATCCCCAGTGAGGATCCCAAAGTACCTGTTACATCACAAGTCAATGAGCAGACATTGCTGAGGGCTCGCTGTGTGCCTGGGACTCACCCTACTGCTTCAGGAGAGCAATCTTCTAAGGAGACAGGTGTGTCCATTGTCAATTTATAGGAAGTTATGACCCAAGAGATTATGTGACTATAAATCCCACTAATGGAAGACAAAGGCCTAACGCAGAGCTGGGTCCTAGAGCCTTGCCTAACTGGAGGCCAGAGGCTGGTTCCCTGCCACTGGGGTGGCCACAGGTTGGCAAGGGCATGGGCAGCCCAGCACGCACAAATGGACCTGTCTGCACACTCAACTACTCATGGCTTTTGAGTACCCACCCTCCTCCACACACCCCAAACTAGAGGGAAAGACAGGTGAGGTAGTAGTTTTTGCAATTCTTTTATTGAAATGGTCTGTCACAAGTAACTTAGGGCTAGACTAGAGCAAAGGTCCTCAAACCAAGTATTCAAAGAGACCTTCAAATGGGCTGAGGTGTGATGCAGGAACCACCTTCCTCCCTCACAACTTCACAAAGAAAGGCAGGCACACCTGAGCTGAGGCCTGCACTGACCTGGTGTGAAAACCTCCAGGGGCACCAGATGGAAAGACAAGCAGCCACTGGGGTTGTGGTAACCACCTTCAATCCAGGTTCATGTGTCTTTCATCTCCTGCCAGCCTCCTGTGGCACAACCTGGAGGCTTCTTTGTCCTATGGACTTTCCCTGGAGGGGTGCTGGAAAGACTTCCGGCTCTGGGTTTACAGATATCACAGTGAGGATGGTTTCCAACAGGACCTGCCTCTTCAGGCGTTAGACCCCCAAGCAAAGCTCGGGGAGCAGCGAGGGCAGCAGTGCAGGAGGACACAGGGAAGGGCGGGAAGGTGCAGTGGACCGCAGACTGCTGCCTAGGTGTGCACTCCCCTGCGCCTGTCTGGCCATTTATGATCAGAAGCACAAAGGCAGCCATGGGCATGCACATTAACATGTTATGTGAATTGCAAAAATAAAATCAGACTTTTTCTCACAGAAGGTAAGACTGATTCTAAGAAACAGGTGTGATAGGCAAAAATACAAATAAAGAAATACATAATTAAAAATAATGTAAGACTGATTTGACTGACTGGATTGACTATGATGCCTGGCTTTGCCAACAAAGTCATATGAAGAACCTGTAGCATTCTGAGGAAAATATATTTAAATCAAAAGAGAAGCTGAAAACATTAGTTCAGAGGAAAAGAGCAGGTGGGGGTTCCTCCATTCAACATATATTTGAGTTCTTTCTATGGGCCTGGCACTGTGAATGGCAGAGATGTATAAACATGAAGACTTGGAATAAATCACGATACGCTGAAGACCTCTGCGGCGACAGAGGGACATGCAGAATGCGGTGGGGCAGCAGTCAGGGAAGGTGTTCTGAGATTAGGCCTAGATTTATTCTCCCAAAGCTCCCAAGGATATCAGGTTAAACTAGGTGCCACCAAATGTAAAGAGTAGTAGATATAATTGAAAGTCATGTGCTACATTTGGTAAACCTTTTTTGATGTACTTCCCAGAAACTGTAAAAATGAGGGACTCCTCTAACTGAGTAATTCTTTTGCAAATCAAATAGATTCCAATTCTCTACTGTCAATAAAATAGAAGGAGAACAAAACTGAACTGTAGCTGATTATTAGGAATTATTTTGGCTGACAAATCCCTTGGAGATTTTTCGACATATAAACTAGACAGAGTAGAAAGAATTCAATGATATGACTATAATAAAAATCTTTCTATTTCCATCTATTTATATAGATGAACAAAGTTCCTCAGCACTTACATCTATAAAAACAAAGGCTTGGCTGGGTGCAGTGGCTCATGAGGTCAGAAGATCGAGACCACCCTGGCTAACATGGTGAAACCCCATCTCTACTAAAAATACAAAAAATTAGCTGGGCGTGGTGGTGGGCGCCTGTAGTCCCAGCTACTCGGGAGGCTGAGGCAGGAGAATGGTATGAACCCAGGAGGCAGAGCTTGCAGTGAGCCAAGATAGTGCCACCGCACTCCAGCCTCAGCGACAGAGCGAGACTCCGTCTCAAAAACAAAACAAAACAAAACAAAAAACAAAGGCTTTGATGATGAATACTGCCTCATTTCAGTAATAAGTAATATCAACCCATAGAGGCATCTCACCAAGAAATGTTTTTCCAAAAAATATTTCATTTTTTTGTTTAATAATTATCCGGTAAAATGTAAGACTACAGGCACCTGCCACCACGCCCAGTTAGTTTTTTGTATTTTTGGTAGAGACAGGGTTTCACTGTTAGCCAGGATGGTCTCGATCTCCTGACCTCGTGATCCGCTTGCCTCAGCCTCCCAAAGTGCTGGGATTACAGGCGTGAGCCACCGTGCCCGGCCTAGGTCATATTTTTATAGAAAAGAATATGATAGTGTGATAAATGACTTTTCAAAATCAAAATACATTATACTAGTATAACATTTTATGGAGAAAATAGTATGGAAATACAAGTTCAAGATGATAAAGGAGTGATATGAAATTTCCAACTGTTAGGAGCATGTTCATACATTTTTAAAGGACTGAAGGTGGGTATCAAATCACTCTGGTATTAAAATTTCATCTGAAATATTTGTTAAAGAAGGCCAGTTTATTTTAAAATATCAACGTTTATAATCCATCAGAAATTATGTGCTTTGATAGGGTAAAAAAATTTTAAGGTCAACGTAAAAATGCTTGAGGGACTTCAGTTTTTCAAAATTGTTTTCCATAGTATGTAAGCAAAGGAACAAAGCATGAAAATCACTGGTGTAAGCTTAGGTCTTCCCTATGGCACTTGACATGCCCTGAAGGAGACACACCGAGCAACTGAGGGCAGCTGGAGAAAGGGGCACCCCAGCACCTGCACACCTGCACACACGAACGAGCCAAAGACAGCTGGGAATGCAAGTGAGGTGAGGACAGCAAGGCCATGGCAGCGCTCGGAGGAAAGCAATCCCGACAGGGCAGTGGAAAGTTGCTCCTAAATGCTAGATAAGAGGAGGACAAAAAGGGTGGTTGTTTCACCACGCAAAAGTTCAACACTGCCCGGTAACCAAAACACGACCCCAATGAGGACAGCCACAGAATATTTTTTCAATTTCAGTATTTCTAAAAGGTTGTGCAACTAAAACTAAGAATCATATTTTTATTTCTGAATTTTAATGTTTCTACTTTGGCTCAAGCCACTCAAGGGATGGATAGTTTTTATTCCTTTAATTATTTCAAGGGACTCCTGAGAAACACAGATTCCGCAAACTTAGGGTTTTTTCCTCCAAATTCTTTGTTAAGACAATAAATCTCTAAAAATCACACTAATTAAAAGGAAAAAGATGTGGCTTGGCTGCTTTCTCATATTATTTAAGAATATTAAGCTCTCACATCTTTGAAAATGATGAACTAAAATAAGTACAGAAAAGGAAAGGACATGAGGAACTACAATTCTTCCCCACAAGTAATGATAGTAGCATGAAAAACCATGGCAGGTCTCGCAACCTAACTTCTCTCTGGCCTGGCAAACTTCTCTACCCCCATGAGGAACTCTTGGTCCCTTCTCTGCTGAGTGGCTCCTGTACAAAGTCTGCAATGTCATCCTCTTTGTGTGAAGAAAGAAAGCAGTCACTCTGGCTTTGGATAAAATACCCTTACCTTCAGCCTCTGGAGGGGTCTGATGAGCAGGCTACTTAACCAGTTTTGTTGGAGTTCCTAGTCTCCTGCTTGGAACAAGAAAAAAGTTCCACGTCCAGCCTAAATCTCTTGGATATCCAGAAGGAAAAGGAATTCAGCAATCACGAAAACTCTGATGACATCATGCAAGTGCCATCTAAATCAGTCTAGTGAACAGCTGGGAGGTGGGATGCATGGCCGACAACTTGTTTCCCACATCATGAAGTGCTGAGGGGAAAGAGAATGTGGGGTCTGCAGAAACACGGAGCTGTCAAGACCCAGGAGCTGCATGTCTGTGGTCCAAGCAGCAGCTGCCCTAACATGACTGTCCTCATCCCAATCATGGCTTCCTATCCACAAATCAAATCTAAACTACTGTCAAAGTATATTAACCTGAATGAAGGAAAGAGGAGAAATCACCAGATTCAAAAGAAAAGACTCTAATAGAAGTATGCCTTACTGTCTCAGACTATATTTCTTCCAACTAGAAAAAAAATAGGGTAGAAGACCCACAGTTGTGGTCTTGTAATGGAAATATAAGTTTATCCAAGTGACGAATTATCACAATCAAATCAAGAATGTTTCCTGGTTTTGTCATCTTCCTTCTTTCA